>NC_000002.12:105065375-105368405 GCF_000001405.40 Homo sapiens
GCTGCTTCTTGGTCTGTAAAATGGAGCTCATGAATGCATGCTATTTTATGTGAAATAATGTGCTTTACAAAACTGAATATTTTTGTATAGTTAATTAATATTTAGTGAATGACTACTAGTTGTATTTTTATAAATACCTTTTTAAATTCTCACAACAACTAGATAAAATTGATATCCTTGCACATCAGAATCACTGGGAGTGGTAGTATTTGAAAAGTCTTCTTATGGTTATAATAAGACACAGTGAGGATTATGTTATTATTTACACTTTCACCATGTTTTCGTGTTCACTGCTTCCTTTCTTTTGAACTCTGCAATGTTTAGTGGAAGTAAAGATTTTCCTGTTTTATAGCACATAATGGTCTGCCCAAAACATATCTGTAGGCTGTTCAACTCAGTACTAACACTCAAGATTCTCTTGTTATATGTATTTGTTGTTTATCTCAAAAGGATATTCATCTACTTGTGTTTTAACAACTGTGTGGTAACTGAAAGTTAAGCAGACACAGAAAGCAACATAATTTTTTTTCATAGCCAGGTAGTCCTTTGTTTGCTTCAGAATTTGTAAAAGAAAAGAAAAAGAAAGAAAAAGAAAAAAATCTGCATAGAATGCCCATAGGAGATAAATGGAAGTAATAGGTTAGGTCCTGTTAGTACTATTCCATGCATACTAAACAGATGGCAGACAGCGTGCCAGGAATGTGCCTTTTCTGTTTTGTATGTTTTGTTATTTGGTTTTAAAACAACTGGCTTATTTTATTTCCTATTCCCTCTTTTGTTCATTTTTCTTTCATCTTTTGTTTTTCATTGTTTTCACTGAATTTGCAATAGTGCTTTTTATCTGACATGGTATCTTTTGCTCTGTGGACCTTTTCCACAGTATTTGGTACAATACTTAGTATAGTGAGGGATTATAAATTAATAAGTGTGTATTAATTTACTTTTAGCTGAGAAAAATTTTTAAAGGCAAAGACACATTTTCTGATACTTTCAGAAGACTTCTAGCGAATTCTTTGTTGGCTTGTTTTTGTCTTTTTAAAAGAGATATTGCCTGTAAGCCCCAGACATCCTTTGCAATCAATGCTTTCTTTTCAGTTTCCACCAATTAGCTTCCTCATGACTTTTCTGTCTTAGTCTTCATGACAGATCCAACTGTAGGTTGGAATTCTTCAATTTTCATTTCCGTCTAGGATTCTATTCATTGGTCACCTAAATTAACAGTAATTTTCATATTTGGAAATGTTGCCGATGACAGCTTGAAACTCAGTTGAATTGTCTCCTTTGTGGTTGCAGTGTGTTCACCCTAAGTTGAAGAATTATGCTTAGTCTTCCACGCCATCTAGTATTCTGATCCAGGCCCTGGCTTCAGTGGTCCCTTTGCTAAGATGCCAACCAGCCTTGGGCTGCCCTGTATGACTGAGAACGAGGCCTGAGGTCTAGATGGCCCACAAGTGCTGTAGGCTAGTGTTGGCTTTGCTGAGACAGGTTGTGTTTGGGAAAATCTTATTTATTTTTAAATTTTTAACATTTGTCCCACCTTTTTATTTTGAAACTTTTCAAATTTCCAGAAAAGTTGAATATTCATTGAATAAATATAAACGCATACCCCCATCACCTAGATTTGCCAGATTTTCACATTTTGCCACATTTTCTTTATCGCTTTGTATATGTAAAACATTTTTTATTGATCCACTGAAAACTGCACATTATAAACTTAACCCCCAAATACATCAGTATGTACTTAACCCCTAAATGCTTGCATTCTTCATACTGTTATCTCCCACAATATCATTATCACATCTGATACAATTATAATAATTCTATATGCCATATATATAATCTTCGTGAAAATTTCCTCAGTTTTCCCCAGAATGTCTTTGTAGCTGACTAATTGTTTTGTAGAATCCAGGCCACTTGTCTTGTACAGTTGTGTCACATTCTGGCTTTCTGCTTGCTTTCTCGTGATCAGACTTAGAATGTATAAAGGATACTGCTTAGGTGATATTGTATACTTCTCGTTACATCCACGAAGTCTGAGAGGTACATAGTCAGTTTGTCCTGCTGTTGATGATGATGTGACTGATCCCTTGGTTACAGTGATGACCACTAGACCTCTTTATTGTAAAAGTAGCCTTTTCCCTTTGTAACCAGTCTATAGGGTAATATTCTGAGTTCATGCGAATTTTCCATTCTTTAGTAACCTTTCAGCCAGTGGCTTTAGCATTTGTTGGTGATCCTTGCCTGAAATTGATGGTTAATTTGGAAGTTGTAAAATGGTGATTTTCTACTTCTGTCACTCCTTTTACTTTTATAACATATTGTTCTGTAAAGTAGCTTTCTTTTTCTTCTTGCCCCTTCTCCTGAGTGTGTGTGTGTGTGTATGTGTACATGTGTGCGTGTGCATGCACATGAATGTGCATGTCACATATTGAGTGTGTTGTGAAGCATTATCATTATTCTTTTATTTTCAGAGACAGGGTCTTGCTCCATCAACCAGGCTATAGTGTAGTGATGCTGTCATAGCTCACTGCAGACTTGAACTCTTGGGCTCAAGCAATCCTCTCACTTTAGCTTCCTGAGTAGCTGGGACTACAGTCATGTGCCACCACACTTCTTAAAAATTTTTTTTGTAGAGATGGGATCTCAGTATCTCTAAAAAGAGATAGTGAGAATGTCTCAGACTCATTTTGTGCTTTGTCTGCCTTACACCTAGAATCAGCCATTTCTCCAAGGTACTTGGTTCCTTATACTGGGATGTATGTAGAAACCAGTTGACCCTCCCATTGCTCCTAAAGTTCCATTCCTTTATGCTTTTTCAGGGAACAGAACTAGGAAATAATATTTTTTGAATATTACAGGAAATAGTTTTTAAGATAATAGTTTATATTACTTAACATTATAGGGTTTTCCCTTGTACATTTATATCTCTTCTATAATAAAATATCAGTCTCCATAAAATTAATATATTTACTTATTTGCTTTATGCTGCAGTGTACATAAAATATTTCAGAATTATAGTATCAGTGTTATGACTGACTATAAGCCTACCAAGTAAAGATGAAGATTTCTTTGCAATTATTTTGTTGTTGTTATTTGTTTCTGGTTATATTTTTAGAGTTTCTTTGTAAATATTATTCTTTAATACATAAAACATTTACATGCTTCAGGGCTTAACTATACAAGGGAGGCCCAGAGGAGTTTGCCCTTATCCCTATGCCCCTCCCTCTACTCTCACCCAACCCTTGAGAAATCATTTTTATTGGTTTCTACTTAACATTTTTGTGTTTTATGTTTGCAAAAAGAAGCTTATGTGTATTTTCCCCCTGTATTTATACGTCTTTTCTTTTTCTGTTTCTTACACCAAAGCAGCATTCTAGGTACATTTCTTTTGTATCTTGGCTTTTCTGTCTGTTTTACAGCTCTATAGTACTTGATTGCACAGATGTGCCCTCATTTATTCAGCCAGCCTCTTATGCATGGGGATTTGGTTGTTTTCAGTATTTTGTTCTCATAAATCAGTGAATAACACGTGCTTATGTTCTTTTGTATTCATAGGGGTGTATCTTCTGGGTAAATTCATTGAGTCAGATTGCTAGGGAAATATATATGTAATGTTGTTAGAAAGCTCCCACCTTCCCGCTGAAGAGGTTATAGCACTTGGCATTCCCACCAGCAAGGTGGCAGGGTGTTTTTTTATAGCCTCGCCAACAGTGTGCTGTCAGACTTTTGAACTTTTGCTAGTCCTATTAGATAAAATGTGTTCTCTCAGTAGTTTTAATTGCACTTATCTTATTATGAGCCATATACTTCTTTTACAAATATAGTTTAATTGGTCAATCTTTTTTTTTTTTTTTTTTGAGACAGAGTCTCGCCCTGTCACCCAGGCTGGCGTGCAATGGCGCGATCTCAGCTCACTGCAACCTCCGCCTTCCAGGTTCAAACGATTCTCCTGCCTCAGCCTCCCAAGTAGCTGGGATTACAGGCGCCCGCCACCATGCCCAGCTAATTTTTGTATTTTTAGTAGATACGGGGTTTCACCACGTTGGCCAGTCTGGTCTCGAACTCCTGACCTCGTGATCCACCCACCTCAGCCTCTCAAAGTGCTGGGATGACAGGCGTGAGCCACCAGGCCCAGCCTGTCAATCTTTTTTAAAAAGTTACTTATAAATTTTGAGTCATAGTTATGAAAGACTTTTCCATTGCTTAGTTATAAAGGAATTCACTCATGTCATATGTGAGTATTTGTTTTTATTTTGTATGTTTAGCCCTCTCACTCATTTGGAGTTTACTCTGCTGTATATGATGTGAGGTTTGGATTTTGGTTGTATCTTTTTCCAAATGGCAATCAGTTGCAGTATCATTTATTAAGGCTCATGTGTGTAATCCCAATACTGGTAGGCCAAGGCAAGAAGATCATTTGAGCTCAGGAGTTCAAGACCAGCCTGAGCAACATAGTGAGACCCTCATCTCTACAAAAAAAAAAAAAAATTACCTGGGTGTGATGGTGCAAGCCTCTAGCCCCAGCTACTCCTGAGGCTGAGGTGGGAGGATTGCATGAGCCTGGGAGGTCAAGGCTGCAGTGAGCATGATTGTGTCACTGCACTCCAGCCTCAGCGACAGAGTGAGGTTCTGATCTAATAAAAGAAAAAGTCTACCTTTTTTCCCTGCAGCAAAGGAAGGGGGTAGGTGGGGAGGGACCTGGTTAAAACAAAAAAGAGTTTGCTAAAGGGGCACACTGATGTTTGATCTAAGTTTTTTATTTGTTTGTTTATTTTGCACTCCAGCCTGCGTGACAAAGCATGTTGCCCAGGCTGGTTTATAACACCTGGCCTCATCCTCCCACATCAGCCTCCCACAGTACTGGGATTACCAGCATGAGCCACCGTGCCTGACCTAGGTTTTTTGTTTTGTTTTAAGTGTAATTTTGTTCTGAAAAAAGTTGAATAAGAGAATGAAGCTTGATCCAGAGACACAATTAGGCTCCCTAATATGACTGAATTTATACCCCCAAATTATAGACCTCTCCTTTTGGTGGCAGAGTCTGATCCAGCACATTTACTATGCGGGTAGGCAGAGAAGGCCCACTCAGAACAGGCTCTCTAAATGAGCAGAAGTGTATTTAAATGCACTACTGGATCCCAGGCCATAGACTCTTCATCGGCACTGTTCAACAAGAAGGAAAGTGTACATTTTGTTGTTGTGAGGCGGGGCATTGGAGAAGACACTATAAAAGGCTTAAGCTATTGTTCTCAGCTGGGAGGCAGTGCTGCTCCCTAGGACGTAGGGGCATTTGGAAAGGTGTGGGGGTGAGATTTGTCATGAGCACTGGTTATTACTGATGCCGACTGGAAAAAAGCCAGGAATACTAAATGACCTGCAGTATGGAAAAAGGGTGCCTATGATGGAGCTGTCACACCCACAATGCCAGTAGCATCCCTATTGAAAAACAGACATGGAAGAAGAACTTGTTTGGAAAGAGTGTAGTTTAAAAACTCTGGAAAAAGTTGAAAGAACATCTAAAAACATCAGGGGTGTCATGATGGGTGAGACTTAGAGCCTGCTCTTTGCAGCCTGCTCTTTGATATGTGCACGACCAGCTGGGAGCTGGAACAATTGCTCTTAAGCACATTTCCACAGAATCCAGACAGGAGCATCTCTAAGTGATCCCTTAAAAGAGAGATTATTTGTGCTCTCATATTCAAGGAATGACATGTTTAAAGCTGACACTTGAAAATTGTCAATAACCAGTTTAATAGTTAAATTTTTTTCTTTTTGGATTGTGTGTAGTAATTTTATCATCCCATTGAAACATTTATGAAGTAAGATAATGCTTTGAAACTCTAGTTCAATGTCCAGCATATAGAAAGCACTCTATAACTATTAGTTCTAACCTTGTTTATATAACAGTTGTTAACTAACCTTTGTGTATATTTTCAGAGAGCTATTGCTTACCTTTTCCCAAGTGGTTTGTTTGAGAAACGAGCCAGGCCAGTAATGAAGGTAGTTATCTTAATTACTATTTTAAAAATTTCACTTTTATATGTTATGATAATTATCTAATACATTATTAATTTATTTTACAGCATCCTGAACAGATTTTTCCAAGACAAAGAGGTAAGTTTGTTCAAGAATGAGAGAAACAGTTTTTTCTTTACCGTATTCCGGTGTTAGGTTATGTATCAGCGGTTGCTCACATATCGTAGGGTGGCCTTCCTGTGTCACAGTAGTTGTGAAGTAGGTCAAAAAATTTTGTAACAATGAATGAGTGAAGTTTGCAAACCATATCTTTTAAATTAAATACTAAAATTAGATGTGTTTAGAGCTTAGGACTATACCAATGTCATACTAATTATTTGCATTCCAATATGTCCTTTTGAGGGAGAGTTTGGTACAGATCTGCTGGCAACTAATTCAACTTCTGTTTATATGAAAATTTAAAACTTTTCTTGATTTTGGAAGCACATTTTCACTGACTGTAGATTTTCTTTTCTGTTCTTTCAATACTTTAATGATGTAATTCCATTGTCTTGTCTTACATAGTTTCTAATGAGCAATTAGCCATCATTCTAATTGTGTCTCCTGTTTTCTCTGGCTTCTCTTAAGATATTCTCTTTATCTTTTAAATGTGTAAAAAAAAAAAATTGAAGAAAATACACAGCAAGCTTTAAGGTTGTCAAGAAATTGAATAATATATTTACTATACATTAGAAACCTCTTATCCAGTGAGGACCAGTAGTTCTCTGTTAACTTAAAAAGTATTAAAGCTAGAAATCATTTCTTTAAAAAACACTCAAAATGTAACCTGTACTTACCCATCAAGCTTTTGCTGTGACCCTAGAGGTTTGGTGGTTTTGAGTGTGTCTGCTGCTCCCCGTTGCTTTTATGTAACCATGCTGCTGATGCATCATCGCAGTCTTTCAGTTTTGATTTTCTTGCAGTGGAGCAGTGAACTTACACTTCCTAAGAAATCTGAGTGCAGAATATTTTTGTATTTCTACAGATTCTTCCCATCAACCTTACTGAAGTTGACACAACTTTTTTTTTTTTTAGCAACTTGCCTTTCTAGAGCATTCAACCTAGTTTTCTTAGAAGTAGCAACTTTTATGTTTGCACTCATATTTAATTTATTTATGTAATACTTAATTCATGTATTTATAGAAATAAGTACAACTGTAATAAAATAGGCTTGGGAGTAAACATAACTATTAGTAAGCATGAAACTCAGCAGCAAAAATGTGTGGATCTACTTGAGAATAGCTTGGTGGCCACAGGTTCTCAATACGCAGGCCGCTTTATCAGTGTGTTTAGAATTAAATAGAAATTGGTAAGATAGCAGATATTTCTATAGAAGACTTATTTATTTTGCAGTGGTATTTCTGCTAAGTCATATTTTTATTCAAAGCTAGGCATTTATTCTCTTATTCCAGTTCACTCTTGGAAATGATAACTTTTAGTTTGAATCTTATTATAAATGTTTTGAATCTTTTTATAAATATGCTCTATCATTTGTATTCCCTCAGTTCTTAATCATGGTTGATTATAAATTATACCATCGATTTAATAATAGCTTTTGGGGAAATAATAAATGAAGACTATGTTAAAAATGCACATCACTTTTGCAGATACAACTCAGTGTTACAGAAGTAAAACTATGCACAGGGCACAGTAACTTACATTAAACACCTAGTAGCTTTTCGGTAAATGTTTGTAATGACAGTGATTTTTTTTTCTTCTTCTTCTTTACTAACTCTTCTATTTTTTTAAACCTCTCAGGCTCCTCACCTATTTCTCTCTCTCTTTGTTCTTTATATCTCTACTAGTTGCATCTCTTCTTATACATCTGCCCCTCTAAGACTGGTTTGTTCTTTCAAATCATACCAGCTTCTCAGTATTAGAAGTTTATTGTTACTAGCAGCCAGGTTGTGACAACTGAAACTTCTATATATCCCTGCAAAATGCCCATGTGTTATTTTGAAAATATGTCACTCCTGGTAGGATTATCTTAAGTTGTAGTTTACTATATGTAACTGTATGTAAACAGTACTCCTCTAGAATTAGTAAAATTTTTTTGTTGCTTACCTACCTACCTCCCAATTTTGTTGTATTTCATAAATATAGGATAAACTGATTTTTTTGTATGCTAAAAAAGTAACAGTGAATTTTAGATTTGGATAGATTTTGACACTTATAGTGTACTAACACTTTCCTTATTAAAAGATGGAAGCTTCTAGATTGAGTTAACATGAAATCTTGCTCTGTATGTTTTAAAGCAAGTGATAAAAATATTAAGTGAAACAAAGATGACTACTGGGTCAACAGGAGCAAAGAGTAGCACTCATATTAGACAAAATGGAATTCAAGGAGTGTGAGGAATACTTCAACGAAGCAAGAATGTTAATTTATGTTGATAAAACCTAATCTCCATTGAGTAGATTTGATGACCACAAACCTTTTTGCACCAACATTTAGCATCGAAATGTTCAAAACAAAAGCCGTTAACTTAAGGCTATAACGAATTTGAATAACACAGCATGATTTTATAGTTACAGATACAAAGAATACATTTTCTATGCAGAGGCCTATGGACTATTAATAGAATTATGATGTAATTGGACATAAAGAAAACCTAACGAATTCCAAGTAGTAAAAATCATATCATTCGATTTTTCTGAGTTAAGATCAATAGAACCATATGACTGTTGAGTTAAAGAGAAAATCAAAATTGAGGTTACAGACATGACAATGACAACAGTTCCTATTAAATCCTATGGAATATGGACATTGTATTATACAGAGACAAGCATATATTTGTTAGAAATTAAGAAAGACTGAATATAAATGAACTAAATTTTCGGTTCAGGAAGCCAGAAAAAGAAAAATAGAATAGAGGAACATAGCGAAGAAATTGAAAAGAAGGGGTATGATAAACAAAACCATGTCATTCTTTGAAAAAGCTAGTGAAATCAATCAACTTCTAGCAAATCTGGCCAGGGAAAAAAGAGAAAACATAAGAGGACAATATTAAGAATTGTAAATAATAATATTCAGAGGGTAATTTTAAAGTATGCAGTTGTTATGGGTAACTTTATTCTAACTTGAAAAATCTCTCAAGTAAGAATTGTTAGCATTTATTGAAACAGAGTAGGCCAGGCATAGTTCTAAGTGCTTCCTGTGTGTTAACTTACACTCTTCACAACAGGTTTTTTAAGTAGATACTGTAATTTTCCCCACTGCACAAATGTAGGAATTAAAAGCACATGGAGTTTAACTTACCAAGGACGTAACAGCCAGGAAATAGTTGAGCCAGAATGTAGGGAGGCCCAGGCAGTTGTGGCACACACACATATGTATGACCACCAGACTCAACTGACTCTCAGACATGTAGTTGAAAGAATAATATAATTGCCACAGTTGTCTCAATCAGGAGAATAGTGGTTAAACCGGTGGTCCCCAGCCTTTTTGGCGCCAGGGACCAATTTTGTGAAGGACGATTTCACGGACCAGGGGTTGGGGGATGGTTTCGGGATGATTCAAGCTCATTACATTTATTGTGAGCTTTATTTCTATTATTACATTGTAAGATATAATGAAATAATTATACAACTCACCGTAATGTAGAATCAGTGTGAGGCCTGGGCTTGTTTTTCTGCAACTACATTGTCCCATGTGGTGTTGATGGGAGACAGTGACAGATCGTCAGGCCTTAGATTCTCATAAGGAGCATGCAACCTAGATCCCTCGCATGTGCTGTTCACAATAGGGTTCACGCTCCTATGAGAATCTAATCGCACTGTTGATCTGACAGGATGTGGCACTCAGGCGGTAATGTGAGCAATGGGGAATGTCTATAAATACAGATGAAGCTATGCTGGTCTGTGGTCTAGGGGCTGGGGACCCCTACTGTAGAACCAAGTGCTCTTACTGCGAAACACCCACTCTGGTCCCAGTTGACCAGTCATGACAGCAAATACAAATCAATAGAACCTGGTACCTGTCTGTGGCCCAGGGGTTGGGTACCCCTGTGTTAATCTAAAAGCTGCAGAAGTTATAAAGGAGCGCCAAAGGTCTAATGAGAAAGGCCCAGGCCTAGAAGGTTTTGTCGGGAAGCTCTGACATACCTTGAAGGAGGATGTAACTATTGTTATCATTTAAACTTGTAGAGCAGAAGAAAAGAATGAAAGCTTCTAAATTCCCTTCAGAGGGTCACACAATTATCAAATCTGGACATAAATTTCATGAAAAAGAAAGCTATAGTCTGTTGTCACTAAATAAAACACTAGCAAACCAAGTAAAGCTTTATATTAAGAGAGTATACCAGAGGGCCTTTTTTTCTCTCCAGGAAAATAAGGATGATTTATGTAATTCTCTGTGTTAATTGAGTCAAGGTTAAAACATTTCAATAAAAAAGTTAATTAACAAAATTGAGCATTAATTTTTTTGGTAAAAACACAACCTAGAAATAAAAAGAAACTTTCTTAGTTTGAGAAAGCATATCAAGACAAACAGAAACACATCAAATTTAAAAATATATCAATAGATCCCATTAAGTTCAGGAATAAGACAGTTATGTGCATACTCGCCTGTGTTATTTGGCATTGTTTTGGAAGTTTTACCTAGCATGGTTAAAAAAAAAAGTGTGGCTAAAAAAGTATGAATTAGAAAACTGAAAGAAATTAGGAAAATCGATTATTATTCACAGATGTTATGACTGCCTACTTAGAAAATAGAAAACATTCACTAAAAACTATATTAGAATTTCAGCAGACTACCATTATTTGGGTACCTGAATTCAAAACATTTAAACTATGAATTGTTCTGAAAATTTTAAAAATGATACCCTCTTATAAAAGCATGCCACAGTATAGTTACTGGGCGAAATGCTGATCCTGCAGAGATCATATGAGCATCCTGTCAGTTGATGACTCTGTGGCAGCCACATCTACACACAAAGAAATCAGTGTGGAATGGCATGTAATGATGAACTAAATAACATGATGGTCTTACTGGTAGCAAATGAATTGCAATCTTTCACTTCCTTTATGTATTTTGGCAGACAAGAACTGTTTTAAAAACGCTGAATTCCAACTATACAAATACATACCTACATATTCATACAGACACATACATACGTATATACATACATGTACCTCCTTTTTCTCAATTCATTTAATGGAATGCTGAAAAATAGACTATGCAGAAGATAACAGAGTTTGGTCAAGACTTTAAAAATTATTGTGTGTTTTTGGAGTTAAGAAATTCAAACTCTAGAACAGAAATAAGGTGGCTAGTTGAAGAATATACATACAGCTTTCAATACTTTTAAAGTAATAGATATTATGTCCTTAAAATCACAAAAACTAAAGGACAAAGATGACAAATTACTTATGTTGAAGTTAAAAATTTCTCTTTGACAAAGACACTAGGAAATTTGAAACATGCCAGAGGCCTGATACCTAGAATAAATTACTCACAAATTAACAAAAGCAGCTTACTAGAGAAATGAGCAAAGGCAAATAAGCAATTCATAAATAGAAAAAATTAAAGTACCAGTAAGCATTTGAAAATATCAGAGATCAGAAATAACATCTTATGGATGGGCATGGTGGCTCACCCCTGTAATCCCAGCACTTTGGGAGGCCGAGGCAGGTGGATCACAAGGTCAGGAGTTCAAGACCAGCCTGGCCAACATGGGGAAACCCCATCTCTACTAAAAATACAAAATAGCCGGGCGTGGTGGCGCACGCCTGTAGTCCCAGCTACTCGGGAGGCTAAGGCAGGAGAATCACTTGAACCCAGGAGGTGGAGGTTGCAGTGAGCCAAGATTGTGCCACTGCACTCCAGCCTGGGCAATAGAGGGAGACTCCATCTCAAAAAAAAAAAAGAAGAAGAAAAGAAATAACATCTTGTAAAACAATAATGAGAGACAATTATCACAATCATCAGGTTGGAAATTGTAAATATTGTATCAGCAACAAATTGGAAAAAGTCTAAATGTTCATCATAGGGTAGCTAAATAAACTCATGCTGTGGAATAATATACAGGCCGTAAAAAGAGTGAGATAGAGCTAGTTGTGCTAGTAGAGGTGTAACTTTGAGTGGAAAAAGCAAGTAAAAAAATGGTGTATGTAGCATAAATACAGTTTAATACCGTTTATATCTTTAAAAGAACCACACAAACAACCCTATTTCATGCAGGCATACATAGGTAAATGCACAGAGAGTCCAGAACAATAAACTCCCGCCTTGTTCTGGCAACGGAATTTTAACATGTGATCTGGGAAGTATGTGTTACTTGTGTAAAATTATGTTTTTATTATAGATAACTGAATAGGGGAGGGCAGTATCAAGAGAAACAGAAACTAAAATACACAAATAAGACTTGCAAAATATATGAGATTTATATAGAAAATTATGATAACTCAGTTAAAGATCAGAAGTGAAAATCTGAACAGTTGGAAAAATTCCATGGTTCTCTAAGGGAAGACAATATTCCAGAGTTGCTGCTTTCTAAATTATTGATAAATTGAATATAACTTTACTTAAAGTTTTGGCACAACTTTTGGGAGAAACTTGTCAAGTCTAGTTGTGCAAGAAGCAGTGGGAAAAAAAATTGTTTTAAGTAATGAAGTAAGCTCATCATACCTGGTATCAAAACCCAGCAAAAAGCTCTGCTAATTAAAATGGTGGTTACTGACGCAGAGTAGACAGACCAATGAGCAAAGTCCTGGCAGCACGTGTTTGTGCCTTATTCAGTTAATTCTAAGACTTTTTTTTTTTTTTTTTTCAAATTTTAATGTCTGACAGCAGGGAACACTTCACAATTTTTGTAAACTATGATACATATCATGGTTTGACAGTATTTTTTCTCTTTCTTTGTGATATATAAAATACATGATGAGGCATCTTAAAATCTGTGATACCTTAGGTTCGGTGAAGTCAAGTGTGTGTGTGTGTGTGTGTGTGTGTATACATTCACATATGTAATGAAATCAATCCCATGATATGAGACTCAACTCAAGCATCTCTCCAAGCTTACCAGTAGAGTCTTGTCTGCAGCCATGATGTTTGTCATTTTTTATCACTTTCTGACGGACTAACCATACAGTGAAAATCAATTGCATAAGAAAAGAAAAATATTAGAAAATATGCCGGATTTGATTCATGAAGTCTATGACAATGATTTTGGAAAAGTGCTGAAATCAACCATAAGCCATTAGCAAATAAGAATTTGGTTTTTCAAGCTAAATACCCAAGCAAGACTTTCTTTTTAGCATTTATTATGAAAATGTGGTCTTTGTTTCAGAAGAAAGACATCCTACATATAATACAGGTGGTATTTCAATAGAAAAGCATGTACTATTCAAAAAACTGTAGAGAGATAATGACTCTTTACTGAACAAAATAGTTCTTGGATTTCTGCCTCACAAACATAAATTCCAGATAGATTAAATATTTGAACATGAAAATAAAATAAAAATTCCAGAAGAAATACAAGAAAATAGTTTTAGAGAGCCCAAAGCCTTAAAGCATGTTTCCTCAGTGGGGGCAAAGACTGGTTCACGGGGGTGGGGAAACCTAACTGTTACAATGGTTTGTGGCCCTCCAGTGGGCCACAGTATACTTCAGCAGATGTGTAGTGTATCTGTGGTATTAACATTTCATGCGGGGGCGGAAATTAGGGAGAAAATGCCTATAAAGGATTCCTTCATGGGATGAATCATGAAAAAACAAGTCATGCTGCCGTAGAGGAAAAGCGACAGATTTGACTATTTACATATTTTAAACTTCTCGATTATGAAAGGTAACATAAGTAAAAGTAAAAGGCAAGTGACAGCCTGGGGGAAAATAGTTTACAACTTCTGTAATGGACCAGGAAGTATAATCTGCTTCAGAGAAACAACAGAGATAGTATGCGCAAAGGACACAGAGTTAGCATACAACAGAGATAGTATGCGCAAAGGACACAGAGTTAGCATTCGTCTTGTTTCTTAGACTAACACCACTTCTCAGTTTGCTTGGTGGTGGTTAGTTAGATATGAATGCCCATCTGTATTTCAGAAGGAATTACACCCAACACCTTTTTGAGGCTTTTCTGTTGTTGATGTTTTAAACTCTCGGAGGTTGATGACCACTGGGTTGAAACAAATGATGTAGCATAGAAAAATACATTCTTTAGTTTTCATTTGTTTACCTGTTTTAGATTCTCTGAATGCACTGCATTTTTTTACTTTATCAGTTTTCCCTTTTAAAAATATGGGAGGGAGTTATGTTTATGGCCAAACCTAAATTTTTTTATTCTAACAAGATGATTTGGGCTATTTTATAAGCTTTTATTTGAAACAATACAGAAATTCTCATAGTGAAATATTTAGTAATTTTTAAATTAAATGTAAACATTGTTTTATGTTAATGGTATGAAATATTTAATATCCTAAATATTTGCATATAAATATGCTAAACTAAATATTAAAATTCTAAATGTTGGTGATTTTTTTGTATTTTTTATTACTCAATTATAAATGTGTCTCATAACTGTGGTTAAATGCAGCTATTTGGTCTGTCTCTGTGTATATTTTTATTTGCTTTCATCTGGCTTTTTTAAATCAGCAATCCAGTGGGGAGAAGATGGCCGTCCATTTCACTATCTCTTCTATACTGGCAAACAGTCATACTATTCATTAATGCATGTAAGTATATTGCATTTATGATAAATAATATGAGCTGTAAGCTACAAAACTAATTATACTGGATACTGTTCGCAGCTTCAGAATTTACCTAGTATTTTATAATTGACAAAAATAAGACTTCTAGAGGTAGGACAGTGTGTTGATGAAATGATTTATAGTAATTCATTTTTGCTAAAGGTGAACTTTATAGAGTTTATATCAGAATGGTTTGTCTTTAAAATGCTTTTACTTAGAAATTGAAATCATGTTCCAAGATAGATGTTCAACTCAATTATAGTGTGTACATGTGCTTCCAGGGTAAAGAAGGAGGAGGCCAAGTGTATGATGCTGTCGGGGGCTGTGAGGCATTTGCCTTGAAAAAGAATCAAATGGTTATTTCTCATTTTTTGTTGTTTTATATATATATAATTTTTGCCTTTCATAGGTTAATGCAGTGTATGAGCCTAGAATTTGGGCCCCAAAACAACCTAAGAAATTATTTTATTACAGTTTGACTTCCAACTGCATTTAGTATGCTGTGAACAATTTTTGTTTTGTTTTCAGAGCTATAAGTGTCTGATAGTGTGCAAATTTGGAAGAGTTCCCCAGAACTGCTATGGAAAAAAAGGCTGGATGCCAATATTCTGTTTTTATTTTTAGAACATGATATCAAGTTCTATTTTACTCATTATATGATTTTTTAAAGTTTCAAAAATATTTATTGGGCTTCCCCCATCTACAGTCAGATTGCAGTGGCTTGAATCAGTGCACACATTTACTCTGCTTTTTAGAATTATCTGCTGTTTATTTGTGCTCCACAAACCCAAAGGACAAAATTCCCACTTGTCAGGTACATTTATTTCTTGGGGGAAAAAAAAAAACAACCTTCTTTTCGCTTTTTGTTGACCTTGGGCAAATGAGCTTCTTGCCCTGGCAGAAATGAAATGAATGATAAATGTAGAGTGTGTCTTTGCTGAGTAATGGAGCTGCGGCTCCGGCTCGGTAGAGGTTCTCTCCCGCACAGCCTGAGGCTGCCCGGGGACCCCTGCTGTTCATTTAAATAGGTATGTCAAATCTGCCTCCAAACGCCGCCGGTTTGATCTGTGGTAATATTTGTGAAGGTTCCATATGGACTTGAGCCCCCTGCAGTGCTAAGAAATAATGTACAACGCTTCATGGTGCAGACGCAAATTTTCTCTGAAAAGGGATGCAATGCTGCGTTTTAGCTGTCGGAGGGGATGATGGAGCTGACGCGCTAGGCCTGTCAACTTGTTACACGGATGGGTTGCACGCAGCGAAGCTGTGGAAAATCTGTGCCTTTTAACTTTTCTACTTAATCACGGTTGTAGCATTGCCTTTAGACTGTATGCTACATTAATTCTCTTCCTGCCTTCTGCCTTTCATCCCAAGTTTCACGGAAAAAAGTAAAGCATGCAGGTCTTGTAGAGGAGCCTTATCAAACAGCTGTCATCTGACATGCCATTTGCATTTGTTTTGGCTGAAACCGAGCAACCCAAGGGCAAGATATTTTGTTACATTCCATCATAATGAGGAAATTACACATCCTATAAGAGACCTAACTTTTCTAAGTTTGTTTTTATGTTTTAAAAGGTATTGTTCAAGAAACTGATCAGTTTCTAAGTGGATGAAATGTTACCATACTCTCTGACTAAAATGTCAAATGATATCTGATTAATAAACATTCTTTGTTTTTGAGTAATTTAAGTTTTGTTACGTATCTATAGAAGAGTCCTTTGGGCTTTTATATTTTAGTTCAATGCAGTAATTTCTAAGTGTATGCCTTATGCATACATTTCAGCATTATGTATAGCAGGTGTCATTAATTACAGCTGCAGTCACACCAGCCTAGTTTCCCAGATAACACATATCACGATCATCTGCAGGAGATACTGAGACTTTGAAATAGTGACTAAATGTTCATCATTCACCCTACAGAAGCGTTTTTGTAGTGGCCAGGCACTGCGTAGAAAGTCCAGCTATAACACTTGGAGCCATCTCGCCTGTCTGCACTCTCTTTGTTCTGCCTGGCCTTGGTGGTGGGGGGAACCGTCCCCTTCCCACTGTGAGTGATCACAGGATGGCTGTCCCCACTGCAGCACGGGAGGTCGCCCCTGAAGACTGTGGCAAGCTTTAAAGAGTTGGAAATGAATCCTTGTTGCTACCATTTATTTTTGTTGATATAATTTTTTCCCTATGTGGCAGGGTAACAGACACTAAGCCAAACTGTTTTTCCCACGTTATTGCCCAACTGTAATTGTACGAGGCCCAGATGCCATTGGCCAGGAGCTGTGACAGGAAAACACATCTAGTGCCTGTGTGCAGTTATGTGAGGAGACCCTTCTGATGCCGATTAACCTTCTTATCCTCTGTAAAGTTGACAAATCTTTTTAGTATTTGGTGACTGTTTGCATAGGAAGCGTATATATTACGTTATAGCAATTAATAAAAGATGGCCCTGATGCACCTTGCAGTGCATCTTAAGATCTGTGTATGACACTTTAGTGAATCCTGTTTCCAGTTGACCTATATTTAGTCCATCCACTTTCTCTGGAGAAATGGGGAGGTTTTTGAGGAAAAATGGCCATGAAATATAAGGTACAGTTTATTGTTCCTGCCCAGAAATGAAGCGTGATAGGAAAGTATAAAGTGAAGGGGGATTTGCTGATCCGTGATGTTCTCACGTTTTGGAAATGTGCCACACTCCACAGGTTCACTTGCAAGGCACTTGGGGCTCCCATTTTCCTATGGATATAATGATCCACATGTCTTCAGGTTCCTGGGAAAGTCGATTAAAAACTCATTTATTTTACACTAATAAGATGTATGTATATAATGAAAAAGTATAAAACCATAGTAACAAATGATTTCTTAATAAAAAGTAATTTAAATAAGAAGAAATAAGAAACTTCTTGAGTTTCTCAATGCATCATTGAGTACCATGAAGGGATCCCCTGCATGGTGGCACTGGCTTGGCTGGCTTTTTCACCAAAAATGGATGGCTTCTCATTTCCTTAATAGCCATTTAACCAGTATAACTTGTTTGCTTTTCAGACATGATTTAGGGCTTTAGGTTTCAAGAAAGAGAGAAAGAATAAAGTTTCCTGAAACAATTGAGCAAAGGTGTGAAGGAGGGGGAAGAATGTTAAAGAGGATATAGATGGCTGTGTAAAAAATAAAATGCTATACAGCAAGATAACCGAGTTGTGACTAGCCTAGGTGTAGACTGCGGGAAGTGGAGAAAGGACTAGGCCAGAGAGTGGGCTGCCCTTTGGGTCCAAGGCTGTAAACCCCACCAGGGTTACCTCCTTTCCTGCAGCAGCTTGGGCCTGTCCAGGATGACCAAGCTGGTGGCAAAGGGAACGGTGGGCCGCAGCCTTGGTGTTCATGGTTCAGTTTGTGAAGGTCCTTTAATTTTAAGAAAAAAACATTTACCAATACATATGTTTCTGAAAAATTAAAATTCACTAACTAAAAGTAAGTTGAAAATCCTTTAAAACTCATAATGGGAGGGGATTATTTGACGCTGAAGTGGTAACCCTTTTGTAAAACATGGCTCATTAAGTCAAGGCATGTCTGTAACACAGCTCTTCCCAAAGTGCTTTCTGCAGAATACAGACTGTGAAATATTCTTCAGGAAAGAGGCTCTGAAGTGGTGTTAGTTTAGGAATGTTACATATTGTGTACTGGGGAACTCTAATAAGGAGACACTTAGTAGGATCAAAGCTCTGTGAAGTCCTTAAGAAACATGTTGTTTTAACACTCTGCTGCTCAAACCGAGTGGGCTGTAGAACACTTCCTACTCCAAACCCCTTTTAATGTCCCATGAAACCAGTGCTTGGGGAGGACCATAGTACAGAATATTGAAAACTCTATATATTGTCATTGTAGGCATTACTCGCCTTAGATAAATACATTTTCTCAAAAGAGAGGTTAATAAAGTCCTAGTTTTACGACTGATATCAGCCCCAATACCCTAAGCATTTATTGAAGTTTTACAAAAGCTCCCCTCATCCCAGTCTTTAAGGAAAGGAAAGTATGCAACTCTAAACACTGCACTAGGTTTTAGCATTGTGTAGAAACTTCATTTATGTTTTAGAACCAGTTTTACAGTAAACAATTGAGTATTTTCAAAGTATTTCTTTAAATTGAAGGAGTTACATGGCCACAGATGAAATATATACCAAAATATATATATATATATATATATGTAAAATGAAGGGATAAGTAGTAAAGTTTAAAATGTGAGAGAAAACCAGGTAATTCTAATCCTTGTAACGTATGTGTACACAGGGTTCATTTGCCTTGTGAAGGAAGCTCCTGGCGTATTTGGAGAATCTCCAGTTCATTTTAAAGGACTTCAGTAACCTACTCGGTTCTTAAAGCCTGGAACAGCAGCCCCAGAAGTGTGCTGCTTCATTATGTGAAGATTCCAGACTCTTAGCAGAAGTCCTGGGGACGGAGTATCACAGAATTCTTACTTAGTTCAGATGTGTCTAGATCCTCTTTGTGACCTTGCAGAGAATATTTAAAACTCTTGCATGTAGTGCTGTCTTTTAAAAATTAAGATAGTGACCCTTCTCGCAGTGAGGTGTCGTGAAATAACTACAACTATGTAAAGTGCTTATTTTAAAAAAGCTACAAACTGATGCTAAAATATATTTGCATGCTGTTTTAAGACTTTCCTTGACAGCAGGAGTTAATTCAGTAATTAATTCAGCAGTCGAAATTGCTGTTATAGAGGTGTCTTTAATGTATATTTTCCTCCCATATGAATAATTACCATTGTATATCTGGTATGCTCCAAGTGTACCAATTAAGAAAATTAATTTTTTAGAAAAGGATTCAACATATTATTGTCTCTATGTTGGCTTTAATTAGATTACCTCTTTGTAATGGTATAATTACTATAATATATGATGGGCCTTTAATTTGAATAGTAAAAATATATGCTGTCTGAGTTATAAGAACTTTCAGGTCATCACTCCTGGGTGTGGACTTCCCCAGAGTCCTTTTTCATATGTTCCATCTTGAGATGATTTTCTTTGTATGTTGAATGGCATTTACATGATGTACAATCTATATAGTATATTGTATTGTATTCACAAAGTAATAGCAAGAGTCTATAACAGAAGTATGTCACTTGGAACTTGAGATACATAGCGTAAACCTCTTAGTTAATGATAAGTGGATTACATTTTTATTTGTTTGATTTGATTTTGTATATGCCAGTGGCCAAAAAATTGAGGAGAGAATTTAAGAAATTGATTTTCTGTGATTTCTTTAACAAACACAGATTTTAAGTCAGTTACTTTACTATTACCATACTAGTATCTAAGATAATTACTATTAGTTACTATTTATGTTGTGTACCAAAATACAATAGACTTTTTCTATATCACCTCCCCATGAAATGTTACTTGTTTACACTTCCTAAAATTGGAATTTCCACATGATTAATAGAACCAAAACAGATTTCAGAAGGATACTAAAAATCATAGTGCTCATACTCTCAGAAGGGTTTAGTTTAAGCATTTCTTTTCTGCAACCTGAGCATCTGGTATTTTCAAATTAGGCACCTTCTAAATTTGACTCATACATTATGGAAATCTGATGACACGAGGGGTGGATAGGCTTGCTTTGATTTTATGAAATATTAATCATAGCTGTGATTAATGATTCAGCATTTCACATCTGGGTTATTCCTGTCATATTTGAAAATTACACTGTTAAATACAGTATATAAACTTAGTGTAGGTGAGTCATACTAATTCTCTAGTGTCCCTTAAAAATTAAGTGGAAACTTAACAATATACCAGAAGCTACCAGTGGTAATCTGTGATGTTGACAGTTCTTGGCATATTTTATACCCTTAAGGATTTTTTTGATGTAAATTAGCACACATCTCTTCAGGGAGTTGAAGCTATAGAATCTACTTTCCAGAGAACTGTTGTCTCTAACTAACCAAGGTAGAATCTTAAGAGTGGTTTTATTATGCAAAAGAGAAAGAATAAATGGAAATGATGCACCAGTAAAATTGTTTGACTCTTGAAAGCCATACCTCACCCCCGCTATCATTCTTGACCATTACTATAGGTCAGGCACTGTGCTAAGTACGTACTTTACATATATTTTCCTATTTAAAGAAGTGTATGGAGTGGCTTAATGGGCATTATGTGATTTGATGGGTTACAATCATCAAATTGTAAGCATTTGCCACAAATGAATCGAATTCATCGTGTTTGAAATCTGACATGTCTTTTTCATGGGTTGTTTTCTCCTCTTCCACATTTTTTTCTGATAGTTTTACTTGTACCATTTATAAATTATTATAGATCTCAGTACAACAGGAGGAAATGGCATCATAGAAGAATACTTTAAGAAAAATAAGGACTGAGAGTAAAAATTGCTCAAAAGTCATTGGGAAATGACAGCCTATACTTTGACTTAAAACTTACGTACAAGATAGGTTGATTGTTGTTATTTTAGTTGCCTTAATTATTTCAGAAAATTAAGTAAACCCTTGTAAGCGGAGGAGGGTAGTAAATTACTCAGCAATTTACTACTATTGCTGGCATTCTTTTAAGTTCATATATTCTTCGCTAGTTTGAAAGATAGACTTGCACTCTCTGAACCTCAGGACTCTGGACGCGGCAGCTGAGAGCTGTTTTTTAATTGTCAGATACATTCCTCTGCTGCTGCAGGTGATGGATATGTAGTTGGAATGTAGTTTCCTTACCAGAGCACCCCAATGGAGCCACAGTCTGCCTGTGGTCCAGCCTGCTGACAGGCTGTGCTGGGTGCGCAGTGGCATGCTGTTTGCCTGCGTCTGTCCATTTCGTATAAGTGGGGAGCATCCATTTTTTTTGGTGGGGGGAGTTCTTTATTCAGGTCATTTGAGAATTGCTTCTAGAAACAGAGGTGTATTGAAATTTTTCTGATATACTATCCATTTGAAGTCCCAACTCAGTATTGTAGCCTTTAAAAGTGAGTTAAAGGTACCCTAACCACAGTCAGCAAGGCTTACCAATTCTTGGGAGATAAATTGTAAACTTTTACTTTCAGTAGAGTAACAGGGATATATATATGTGGATATATACCCCTGTTTTTCTATATGTGGATGGTTTGTGGTTTTGCTTTAGGGTGGACAGTTGGCTTTTGTTTGTCTTCTAATTGTCAGATACATTCCTCTGCTGCTGCAGGTGATGGATATGTACTTGGGATGTAGTTGTAGGGACATTTCCACTTAATATGAATACTAGGATGAAATTAACTTCATTTGTCCCTCTGCTATTGTGTTGAACTAGATTCTCTGTAGTTCTTAGAGTGTACATTTCTAGCCAGTCTAGGCTTGGATGCTGCTGCTGCTGATGATGATCTAGGGACTGCACTTTTAGAATTGCTGAGCTAGAGTGATGGATTTACTTTCAGTTTTGAGATATTCATGTCTACTGGTAATGTCTAGCTCACCACCAATTTTGTAGCTTCTAGTGCTGTTTCTTCTTTTCTCTCTGCTTCTTTTTTCTTTTCTCTTCTAAACTCTCAATTCTACTACGCTTAATGAAAAACAAAGCAAAAAACACTTACATGAATCTCCCCAGCCAAAAGGAATGAACTTTTACATCCTTATTCACTGAGGAGTCCTACCTGTTGAGTATTATATCGGCTTTTCTCATCTATGTTACAAAAATTCAAAGGCTCAGTCTGTACTTCGTCCCTCCCTCCCTCCCTCCTGCCTTTTTTCCTTCCTTCCTTCCTTCCTTCCTTCCTTCCTTTGATTCCTCAAAACAGGTTGCAGAGTGAAGACCATGCTAAAATGCAAGCACTAGTAAATGTGATGACAGTGGCAAAGGGACATTTCTCCTACACTTAGATAAAACTTTATCAGCAACATTATGTGGTAATATGGCAGTCTAATCAGAGCCCACAAGAAGTTGCCCCTGAAAACTTGAAATTATTAAGACTGTTTGAGATATGGATTGACACATCTCTATCAGTAACAAGGTGTATCTTCTGAGATTTGCTGATACTAGGAGGTATCATGATTAGCAAAAAAAAAAAAAAAAGTAAATTTATGTCATCTCTGGCTCATTCTTTTAAAATGCCTATCTGCTCATTGGGTATTAGTATGGTAGGTTATGTGTAAATTATAAATGAATAAATACAAATGTATTGAGTGTTAGTCTCAAAAAGTTAAGTTTGCTCAGGCAAAAGCTGTACTATTTTGCTTGTTGTAAACTCATTGCCTAGAAAATATATTTCATTGATGATCCTTATTGCTGGATTATTGCTTTTTGCAAGTTTTAACAAAATGGCAAACTTCTACTTCCATTGTAATTTAACAAGTGACATGCATTCACAGATTTTGTTAGGAAGTAAATTAATAGGAGGAAATCAAATAAAAAATATAATAGCTCTTTTTAAGATAAAAACTATATGATAAGGACTTCAATATTATTTAAATATTAAATAAGTAGTAAGTCGTATTAAATAATACGTAAGTATCTATAAATACCATATATTTTACTGGATAATTCTCTAAGTTTAAAGTGCACATTGCCATATAAATTACGATTTTTTCTGAAAGAAAAGGAAAATAGTTAAAGGTTTTTGGTTTTTTTTAACCAACCTCACTGAAGTAGAGTTGTAAAATTTTTATAGAGTTATTTTAAAATCAGCTAAAGTTAAGTGTGCTGTGATGTATGACACTAAATTCTCATTGAAATTACTCTATCATCCTTTAGTTTAAATGAGAAATAGTATTATTAAAAGCATTTTCAGTTTTATTTACTCTGCAGCTTGATTCTCTGAGGAGGAGGACACCTTAGGAAGTACTTACAGGAGAAAACTATAAAATATATCAGAAGTTATAATGTACCATTGCTCTTATTTTTAGCATGTACTGTATATTTTGTTTGCCATAGGATGTATATGGAATGTTACTCAATTTAGAAAAACATCAAAGTCACTTGCAAGCCAAAAGTCTGCTCCCAGAAAAAACTGTAACCAGGTAAGCTCTTTTCTTGCATTAAAATATAAGTAAAATTTGAACTAAAAACATGCCACTCATTGGTATTTTTTTAGACATACCTGAAGCCTAAAATTTGTTCAGTATTTCAGCATTAAGCATTAAGGTTAGGGTTCAAAATAATAGATAGTTTTTGTTTAGGAGGAAGCATGAATTGAAGTTATTTTTATGTTATTTTATCCCAGATTTATATGTGATAGAATATTTAATTACTATACCTGGATATGATGTCCTCAGAATTTTTATGTATATAGCTGCACATTTATTTAGCATTTGCATGCTTTAATTTTTTACATTTTATTTTTATATTTTGGTATTTCAAGGTTTCTGCTTCCATTTGGCAGACAGCGATAAGATCAGATCCATCAAACTGATCAGCCAGTGTTAAATTTTGGCCTATCTATTCAAGATTTCTTCCATAAAGGAAGAACACCTTGTTTAAGTTAAGTTAAATGCACTCCTGTCCCTTTAGTTGACCTTGCTACCACATTAGTCTATTGACAGGTTAACGTTGTATCTATAACATCTTCTTTGAAGTAAGTTATACAGGCACAATTTTAATCTTTAAGAAATCTGGTGGGCTTTTAATACCAAGTGAGTTCCATAGTGGCATATTTAACTCTTAAAACATTTGCTAGAGTAGATACCTTTTCTAGAGTAGATTGAGGAAATGGAATGTATGTCAAAAATAGCTTAGTTGGGTAAAATTACTGCTATATAATATAAAAACTGATTTTCAAATCATAAAATTGCTACTATATGTGGGATCTTTTGTGATATAACTCTAATTGCATGGCTAATTAAAAAGAGAATATATGTGATATTTTAACAGAGACGTGATTGGCAGCAGATGGCTGATTAAGGAGGAACTAGAAGAAATGTTAGTGGAAAAACTGTCAGATCTAGATGTGAGTAATTAATCTTTTTAATTTAAGGGGACCTATGCAATAAGAATACAGACAATTGCTGTATTTAGGATCCTAATAGTAATGTTCCTCAGAGGCAGGTGTTCCTACGATGACTTTTCTTTCTTTCTTTAAAAACAAAACAAAACAAAACAAAAAAACAAAACACATTCATCATTGATTTCTGCCTTGGGAGGACCTTATTTGTGGTCAGGGAGGTGACTTGTCGAGTCTCCAAGTCCTCCTCTTGTAAGTGCCCTCATATCCTGTGCCAGTTGTTTTAGGGAAGCACGGCAGATGTTGTTTCATCTCCTTACGTAAGGCCAGTAGCTAATTTTACAAGCTGATGATAAGTGTAAGGAGTCATTATAGGTTAAGTAGAAAAGGGATGCAGCACATGGTTACCTTCATGCAGTTTACTGCTTACCTTGTGTGCCATATCTGTAAGGTCAGTGGTTTTTATCTTGGGATCTGCAAACCACCTCTGTCGGAATCCCTTGAAATGCTGGTTACAAACTACAGTGTCCTAAGCCTCACCCTAGATCTAGCTCAGAATCTCTAGGGAGTTACCGAGGAATCTTTTTAACCAACTTTCCAGGCGAATCTTATACCCTATAAAGTTTGTGACCCCCTGCTTTAGGTCTTAATTGCATTCTTATTTTGTTAAATGTTCTAATATATCAACATTTTCACAGGACAGTTGATGTCTTAAACATTTTGATGTTCCAAATTTATTACTTTCTGGAAGATTGGGGTGTAGATAAATTTCACAAATTTTTCCAAGATGGAGATTTTCTTTGATGGCGGTGGCTAACATTGTTAGTACTTTGCCACCATATATAGATTTTAAGTCATGTACTTGAATTGTTCTTTTTCTCATTTAATGTATTATAGAAATTAATGATTTGGAAAAGTTGCAGTTTGCTTAAACAAAGTGTCAGACAATTGGTTAGTGGTAGATCCAGAGTTAATTTCTAATATCCTAACTGCCAAGTACTGCTCTACTTGAATCTAACTGAAAAATCTCTTTGCTTCTTCACTGAACAAGTAATTTCATTATTTCCTCTGTTTCTGGCTGCTTTGATTTTTTTTTAATAATTCAGGTATTTTTTCTGCTTTGTAATATCCCACGGACTTTAATACAGGTGTACAGCTATGAAAACAAAAGAAACAAGTTATATATGATACTTTGTACTTTGGGGTACTGGATATCAGAAGAAATCCTAATGTTTATGGCTGGTATCAAGATGAGGGATGTGGAGGTGGTCAGTGACTTCTTGACCTAGTTCAGAAGCAAGGCTGAGTTCCACCCATAGTGCCCCTTTGTAGGTGCAGAAGTCATTGAGAGTCTGTGAGATGCAATCAAGAGAGTAGCTGAGCACAGAACGCCCAGGCCAGTGACTGGAGAGGAGCATGGAGCTCTGCCCACCCAATATCCTAGGTAGCTGAGTATTTCACCCTTACTAGAAGAGTGCCTTCTCTTTCATTACATCATAGGAAGCTGTAGTCAAAGTAGTTCTTTTAATATTAATCTTACTGGTGAGATTTTTAAAAATTTCAAACTATTAATGGCAGATTTTTACAATAAAGGCAGTAGTGACAAAGATGAGTGTGATGTTTAACGCCGACAAAAAACATAAATAAGGTTATAAAAAACTGAGTTTCACAATCCATATTAACTAAGAATCTCAAGCATTAGTTGTTTCCTTCTCCATAAACACTTTAGAGTGATTATTCTGGCTTCTAATTTTAAGGGGTTAATTCCAAGTTGTTTACTTTCTAATCACATGTTCAAGAACTATTAAAAAAAATGCACAGAGGAGCAAGGATAATTTATTTCAAGAGGTTGCCCTTTAAGTCAAGTATCTCTTGAATTTTTAAATAGCTTGATTGTTCGGTTTTAAAGGAAATCATAAACATTAAAGTAACACAGCTTGAACAGCCAAAGATATATTTGCCAAATGTATTATGAAATATAATTTAAGAGGTACATTTTCTCAAAATCAAACTCTTTCCATATTACTATACATAACTTACTTGAAATTATTTATAAAGCTCCCCTTGATACAGTTCTAATAAAAGAGAGCAAATTACACTTGAAGATCATCTAAATACTTTTTGAAAGTGAATTTAAATCTCAATTTCATAAACATAATACAGAGAAATTGATTTTTCTTTGAATGATAAATCTCTTTGTTTCTTGAAAGAAAAGATTTGGCACTAAAGATACGCAGGAAAAGTGATGCATCTGCATGCTGTTTTAAAAGCAGCGTGAAGATGCAGAAGTGTCATCCTGTCAAAATTCATCAGGAAAAGCAACATTGGAAAGATCAAGTATGCAAAAAATAGAAAAAATTTAGCAAATGCAATTACACTTGCACCTTCTAATGAATTTTTATTGTCTGCAGTATATGCAGTTCATTCGGCTGCTAGAAAAGTTATTGACATCGCAGTGTGGTGCTGCTGAGGAAGAATTTGTGCAGAGGTTTCGAAGAAGTGTAACTCTTGAATCAAAAAAACAGCTGATTGAACCTGTACAGTATGATGAGCAAGGAATGGCCTTTAGCAAAAGTGAAGGTAATGACATTCTGTGGAGAGAAAATAAATTCAGTGAAGGTTGAAAAACTACAATTATTTTTATTTGCTATTGCTTTCTGGTATCCATTAGATTTTTTATTTGTTTATTTTTGCTACCGTTACTTTGGATTTCCTAATTTTTAAGATTCTGTTGAAGTTTTTCAAAACTGAACTGTATAATATCCTAAGAAAAAAATGTGGATGCATACCTATACAGTCATATTAACACTTTTTCTTTTCACACATTTATATTGTTGAATCTTTTAATTTTCACATTTTAAGCTGCTAGAATCGGTAAAATATTTATAATAAAGTTTTCTTTGCAAAAAATGAAAATGCTCAATGAATCTGCATATCAAATGCCAAAACTATGTAATGTGAAAACTTCACGTCCTTAACTCACATTTTTCTTGTTCAGAGCCATTAGACGTAGTCCAACTTTTACGACTTGAACTATTAAAATATTTACAACTCTTAAAAGATTTCACGTCATTGTCATTTTTAACTACTGTGGTGTTTTCAAAGAAATGTGACCTTTCCTGAGTATTTTTTTATTTCTACTAGTTATATTTCATCATACTATTTATATATTTCTAAAACTTATGTTGTTAGATATATTCTTACTGTTTATAAAAGAAGAATGCTATGTAAATTGGTTGTGGATTCTCGTAAGGGAAATGAATATAAATTACTTTGTTGGTTGTTCAAACTAATTTAAAATCATTGTAGTGTTTCTAAAATGGAATTGAAGAACAAAATTACCCCACAATGAGCTTTATTGCATCTGTTGTGCTGTAGTTTACCTGCTTTATTTTTGTTTGACTTGAAATAATAGTTATAGGACTTGCTTATGTACAGTGTTGTGTATTATTTTGGGGAAACAAATTTTAATGTAGTTTTACCTGTCTCAAAGCGCAGGTCTTCAAGATATTTACTAATAGGAATTTTATATTTTTGAAGGTAAAAGAAAGACTGCAAAAGCAGAAGCAATTGTTTATAAACATGGAAGTGGAAGAATAAAAGTAAATGGAATTGATTACCAGCTTTACTTCCCGATCACACAGGACAGGTTCGTTTTGGGTTCTGATTTTTTGTTTTTAAAGGAAACATACTTTATAATACATCATGATCATTTAAGAAGGCTTGTGATCTTCTAATTCTGTTTATCTGAATGATTATTTCTCTTTACCAATGTAACATATCAAACTAGCTAATTGAAGCTATTTTTTAAAGCAGCTTCCAGATTTTTTAAAAAGCATCTCTAGAATTCCTCATTAATTGACTCTTCTTCCCCTTTTCATCAGATCCTACTGCAGTTTGAGTAGTCTTAGATGTAGCTTATGTTCTGAAGTGCAGACTGTGCCAAAATGTAAAAAATTTTGATTTAGATTTCCACCTTCTAGTTTGGGGATGGGCGTGCACAAAACAAAACCACCACCACAACAACCAGCCTTGGCACTTAAAACTGACCTAACTCACAAGGCAAAGAAAAGTGCAAGTAATTTCTTGTGGCTTGTGTATGTTTTTCTGATCATAAATATTAGAAAAATTCTGCTTTATCATTTTGGATTTTTTCCTATTCAGAGGAATGTGATTATATATATTGAGCAAGCAAAGAAACCTAGCATTTATGGGTTAAAATAAGAACTCATCAGGCTTTGCTTAGTTCTGGGTGCTAAATATGGCAGTTTTAATTTTTAAACTTTGTATCCTATGGAGAAATAGACATTAATCATAAATAGATACTACAGCTCTTCTAATCTAAATATACTCATCTCAGAACTCTCTCTGACTTGCTATATAAAGGCCTCTTCTTGATATGGTTATTATTTTCCCAGTACTTACTGTCATTATCCACGAGTAACAGAAGTTTGGTATGATTAGTTCCTCCTTTCCTAATCCTTCTCCTGTTTCCTGCATGTGTTACGGTATTTAAGGTCAAAAGGGCTAAAACTCTTTTGATACCAATGCTGATATAGGCAAAAGAGGACCCTCCTAATACAGTGTAAGCTTCTGGACACAATAATTATTTTAGGAAATGTGTGTTTATTTTATTTGTGTGTGCCTGTGTCAACAAGCAGTGCATTCTTAACTCCATTTAAGATGAATTAGTTCTGCTATTATCCTCACAGGACAGGGGATGGAAGAAGCTTTTATTTCCCTTAGGAAAAGCCAGAGAGAAACCCATACCCCAGGGTTTGATAACTTCAACATTGGGAACTATAGGAGGACTGTTCTTTAACCAATAACCTGTCTGTTGATTTGTATTCAGACATAACTCCTGATGATTTAACAGCAAGTCTCAATTCTGGCTTGATCTCATAATGAAATTACATCTTTAGATCTTATTCTTTGGTTTGAATTCAGCAGCTTTTTACTAAGGACATCTATGTCTCCAGTCTTGTTCTGGGCATTGTGAAGATATCAGAGATATTTAAGATATGATTCCTATTGTCAAGAAACTTCCTACATGGTTGGGAAGCCTAAGCCTAGTCTTGGTGGGAATGGGCACCTACAACTATTTTAAAGTAGTTGTAAGGATTTAGGGCAGTCACTTCAGGAACTTACAAATCAGCAGTGAGGTGACCATTGACTAATAGGAAGACTAACCAACCCAGAATCAGGGATCTTGATCGGAATTCTGTCATCACCTAACACACAGTGAAGTGGGTTAGCCACGTAAGTGAAGTTACAAGGGAGGCTTCTGGACAGCCATTTGTTTGGGAGCTTAAACACTTTCCTGGCTTAATTTTTAAAATTTTATGATTCTTTAACAAATGCTTATATAAATAAAAAGAGACTTCAATTAAAATCTAGAAAAATAGATTTCATAATGTAATTACTGGATATATAACTGAGTCATGGAGCCAGATGGTCGAGGTAAATGCAATAGTGGAATTAGATTTTCAGTCTGTACATTTTTTTTTTCTTTTTTTTTTTTTTTTGAGATGGAGTTTCGCTCTTGTTGCCCAGGCTGGAGTACAGTGGTGCAATCTTGGCTCACCACAACCTCCGCCTCCTGGGTTCAAGCAATTCTCCTGCCTCAGCCTCCTGAGTAGCTGGGATTACAGGCATGCACCACCATGCCTGGCTAGTTTTGTATTTTTAGTAGAGACGGCGTTTCTCCATGTTGGTCAGACTGGTCTCAAACTCCCGACCTCAGGTGATCTGCCCGCCTCGGCCTCCCAAAGTGCTGGGATTACAGGCATGAGCCACTGCGCCCAGCCTAAATTTTCTTTTATATTTACTTTTTTTTTTTAAGAGACAAGGTCTCTTTATGTCACCCAGGCTGGACTCAAACTTCTGGACCCAGACTGGACTCAAGCTGCTGGGCTCAAGCAGTCCTCCCACCTCAGCCTCCTGAGTAGCTTGTACTTTAGGTGCTCAGCTTAAATTTTCTTTAGTTATCATAGTATATTAATAGATACTACTTATAATACTGTTTTTATAACTTATGGCTACTTTTCATTTGGTTTCTTGGAAGCATTTGTTCAAAAAGACAGTATAGATTTATGAGTTTTTTGTTGTTGTAGGAGTTATGTCATCCCTACATCGTATTGTTATAAATTCCGATTTGCTATGGCTTTTGAAAGTCATCTTTTGCCCATCTGCTTGTGATTATTTTACTAGTGTGGTATGAAGAATAGCACTTGAATGTCCTGTCCATACCTGTCTCTCAGCTTAACTGTGTTATATAAACTTGATTTTGGGTCTAGAAGCTACAGCATCAAAGAAAGCAAACGCAATATAAGTGAGCTTTTCTGCATAAAAGTGTAGCAAGATATTAAGGCAAAATAGCAAAATCAAAGTGCTTGACAGAGGTAATGGTGAACATCTTACCTGGCGTGAAAATGATATTCAACAAATACTTGTTCAGTTGAGCAGGAGAAAGTCCAGGGCCGTGTTTTGTCTGTGGTGCCTGCCCCAGGATCTTGTAGGCCCTGACCGACCCTGAAAGAGCAGGCCTGACAGGGGTTGTGTAGAATGTCACCTGGCCCCAGGAAGGTAGCAGGACCCTATGATTTAGAGAACTTTAAGAATATTGGGAATAGGTGTTTGGTGTCAGGGAAGTGCAAGGTCGAAAATAGTTTTAGAAACTTTAAAAACTAACCATATCAAGATGAGCATTATACATTATACAGATACACTTATAGTAGACTTTATTTAGTGAATCCAAATGACATGTGATAATTGTTTGGAAAGGCCTATTGATTTTATATCTGATCATTCAATCCAGAGACATTAAATTCAGTTGATTAATGGAGTTCCCCAACTGTAAGACTTCTTTACGAGATTATTTTCAAGCTTTGAAAAGATCTTCTGAGATAAAGGGGATCAGCAAACAGTAAGAGTGTGTTGCTATACCCAAGCAAAAGAAATAAATCTTAATCTCTCAGCAAATCATTCAAAATGTCAGAAATGTTAGTGTTTCTATATCTTGGTAAAATGGATTGATTGAGAAGTATGAAAAGTATAACAGTGGCATGCAGAATATTGTTTTTATGAATATTCAGAATTTCAGTTGTTTACATAATTATGTATCTTTATAGTAAACGTAACCACATTTACTTGTGCTGTGCTTTAGAGAACAGCTGATGTTCCCTTTCCACTTTGTTGACCGGCTGGGAAAGCACGACGTGACCTGCACAGTCTCAGGGGGCGGGAGGTCAGCGCAGGCTGGAGCAATACGACTGGCAATGGCAAAAGCCTTGTGCAGCTTTGTCACCGAGGACGAGGTCGAGTGGATGAGACAAGGTATGAGTCTAGGTGGGACGGGCATGGTGGCCCAATACTGGCTATACATGTTCATCTGCTTCTTGTCCTAGTGCCTGAAGTTCGTAAGAAAATATATAGTTACATATGTAATATTTCACTTCGCTGTCTTCTTTCTTGCTACAGAACCATAACAGTATTTCTCAGATTTGATTTCTACAAGGTGAGCTTGAATTAGAAAAAGGGGAGAACTCCCCACACTGATTATTTGAGCCCTGCTAAAATGTTCAGTTCCAAGGTCAGGGAAAAGTTAATTTTGGCCTTAATGCATAACCTTTTATCCAGCTTAACAAAGTGCTTAGCTTAGTTATATTTAAGAGACAAATTGCTTGTTTTTGTTTTATCATAGAAATGTGTGGGTTTTTTGTTTTTGTTTTTTAAACAGTCTCTCTCTGTCAGCCAGGCTGGAGTGCAGTGGTATTATCATAGCTAGCTGCAGCCTTAAACTTCTGGGCTCGAGCAATCCTCCTGCCTCGGCCTCCCAGGTAGTTAGGACTATGACATACACTCCCAAACCTGGATAATTTTTGTATATTTTGTAGAGACTGCATTTTGCTATGTTGCCCAGGCTGTTCTCGAACTCCTGGCCTCAAACAATCCTGCCTTGGCCTCCCAAAGCACTGACATTACGTAGCATGAGCTACCACACCTGGCCTGTCATAGAAATTTGTAATAATTATTTGGTTAGTGATAAAGTTCTTTGGGTATTTTGTTTTTGTAAGTTATTGGAGGTTTCCATTTTTTCCCATTGTGGTGTTTGAATTTTCTTTTACCCTACTCTGTGTAACCCTGTTACCTGGGCATGAATACAAGAGTCCCTGTGTAATGTGAAAAAGGATGGGCAGTTGATTCTTACCTTAGACTACTGCTTTAGAAGTTGGAATAAATTGGGGAAGTTTGAGCTGAAGACCATCTTCGCACTGTTGATGAGAAGAGGAAAGCACCATGTGTGCTATTGGCGGCTGCATGGTCGTGGGCAAGTCACTTAGCACCTAAGTCTATAAGCTCCTCCTCTGGGCAAGTAGGTTGGTCTCTGTGCACCAGACCTTCTAGTACAAGCCGCTGAGGTTCAATAAAAACACTACCTATGGCTTAGGCTACTTAATTGCTTAAGGCTCTTAAAAATCCATTTGCTTATAAGCAATTTGTCATCATATGGGATTCATATCTAGTCATTGAAGTAATTTGCTAGAATCTTAACAATTTGATGAGTTTGAGCTACTGTGCATATCTGAAAGTAATAAAGCATTCTTACTTACAGTTGAAGCTAGAACTTAGGTCTTTTCTGTATTTTGTCAAATACTGCTGTTTTATTCCATGCATGTCCTTTAAGTACAAGCAAGTGTAAATGTTATGGGTATATCATAAACAAGGTTTTCCTTTGCTCTATGTACATTAAATGGTCCTTAATAAAATACCCAAGCCTTGTATACAGTAGGAGGAGTGCTAACGTTGGAAGAGTGAAAAAGACAAGGAAAAAGTATGGTCCATTTACATATTTATAAAAGCAATGTAAGAGCTTTCCCATCAGTGGTATTCTTGGAATCTATGGTCTTTACTAACTTACTATAGCTCCAGCCACTGCTGGGGCTCTTCCTTATGGGCCATAGCTAAGAGTAACCCCAGCAGTTGCCTAGAAACATAATCACTCCTGATGATTGGGAGAATGAAAGTTTCCCGTTTAAACTGACTTTATTCTTCTAGAAGAAACTGCCTGTGCTGAGAATACAACTCTAAAACTTATTTTTTAGATTCTAAAACAAAAAAACAGGGAATATTATTATGGCATAAATTAAAATAATGAAAGTTTCCTTTTTTAAATGTTTGACAAGTCATATTTGTGTGTATATGCATATTCATGTAAACTGTTAATAGATGGTATCTAAGTACTTTCTCATACTTCACCTTTACAGTAAGTTTTTCTTCTCTGCCTCTTGTCTCCATTAAAACTCTGTCCTCTGCAATAGTAAGTGTGCAGGTTAAGTTCCCTTACAGTGAATAGTGACCGCCCACACAAGAGGAGCTTTATCTCACTTAGGTTGAGCAAGCTTAAAAACCAAAAGGGAGCCATGATTCTTATAATTTAAGGGAAGCAGGTTTAAATAATGTAACTTGTGTTTGTCTCAGAGGTTGGAAAAATATCCTGAAAGAGTGGAAGCAAACTGCCATCATGAGGTTGATACTGGGCTGGTAAATTATTACTGGTCTGGTTGCTTTCCTCTAGTTTTTTTTCTCAGACAACAGTACCTATAAATTTATGAACCTGCTTTTCTTCTGGGCAGCATGCATATTAATGGTTCCTAAAGGCTTCTCTTTTTATGCTGCAGCTGGACTACTTACTACTGATCCACGTGTGAGGGAACGGAAGAAGCCAGGCCAAGAGGGAGCCCGCAGAAAGTTTACGTGGAAGAAACGCTAAGGGTTTGCTCCCAGGAAAGGAGAGGAAGAGCTATATATATGTGCCGACATGTGGCAGACACACAGTAAATAATGGCTGACCAGCATGAGGGCAGTACTGTCAGAAATTTCTTTGAGCTGTGAGATGGATTTATTTTTAAATGCTACTTTGTAAAGGTGACCTTTAAAAAATAAAAGGAAAATAAAGAATGTTAGTTTCATTCTGCCGCTTTATTTTTTTAACTTTTTCAGAATATAGTTTTAAGAAGCATAATTCATAGAATCTGGCATATTAGACCTGAAAGGAATATTCAGCAAAATATAGTCAAGTTACCTCATTTTGCAGACAAGAAGGCTTAGCCCCCCAGATTAAGCAACCAACCAGAGCCATACTGTTGGTACTTTCAATGCTAGAGCTAGACTCATTTCCCCTGATTCTGTTGCTTCCCCACTTGGCAATTGTCACCACGTATTTTTCAAAATGAGAAGTGAGAGTGCTTGCTCAGAAGAATGAAGTAACTTGAGTCGGTCAGGAGCTCAGCAGAGCCAGGGAGCTGAGCTGCCAGGTGTGGGAGGTGCTGGTATACACAACAGCCAAGTGAAAGGCACAGTCAAGCCTGTCTGTGCTCACTCGCTGCAGGAATACGAGCAAGGCTGCGGCAAAGAAGGCACCCCTGCCCCCTATTTTGGATCAGTTTTGTTTTGGGGGTATTTAAAAATCTTTTTATTGTGTATTTTTAAGGTATGCATCAGGATGTTTTGATATACATTTACAGAGTGAAGTGATTACTGCAGTCAAGCAAATCAGCGTAGCTCTCATATAGTTTCCCAGGTGTGGGTGTGTGGAAAGAGCATCTAAGGTCTCTTCTCATTTCCAGCATACAATACAGTATGATTCACTGTTGTCCTCATGTTGTACGTTAGGTCTCTAGACTTACTCATCCTATGTAACTGCAGCTTCGTACCTTTTGACCTGCATCTCACGTTCCTCCACCCCCTACCCCCAGTGATTACATTCTACTCTGTGCTTCTATACATTTGACTTTTAAGACCCCACAGCTAAGTGAGATCTTGCACTACTTATCTTTCTGTTCCTGGCTTACTTCATAGTATCCTCTAGGTTCATCCACGTTGTGGCAAATGGCAGGATCTCCTTTTTCAAGGTTGAATAATATTCCATTGTGTTTATATATGCCACAGTTTCTTTATTGAAACAATTGTGGATTCCATTTTGGATCAGCACAGATATGGAGAAAAGTGGCTTCAAGCTTCCCTTCCCCAGGAAGTCTCAGCTGAGGAGCCTGAGGGAGGACTTGCATGAAAGGAACAGATCCCTCTGAATGAAGGCACCCAGCCAGGAGTGCACATAGCTCTGGAAGAGCACGGGCTGCGGGGAGGTGGGCTGAGTCCTTGACTGTGGCCCCCAGGACCTGTCATGCACTGGCTGTGCACAAGTCAGGTGTGGGGAGTGTAGCTTGCCCCCGTGAGGCCCACCAGGCAGTCTTTATGATTGACCATGGTTTGGCATGAAAGATCACACATAGGTGTTTGGCCAGGAGTGAGACTCTTCAGTCATAGCTAAGCGTTCAATTGAGTTTTGCTCTAGGATTTCTAAAGTACCTTAAAATGAAGAAACTTTGGCATTTTAACTCTAATGCAATTGTGCAGTAGGTTTTTGAGGGAGGAAAGGGGCAGTTGGTAACAGGGGTACTTTAAAACCCATTTTAAGCCAGGTGTGGTGGCTCACGCCTGTAATCCCAGCACTTTGGGAGGCTGAGGCAGGTGGATCACTTGAGGCCAGGAGTTTGAGACCAGCCTGGCCAACATGGTGAAACCCCATCTCTACCAAAAAATACAAAAATTAGCCGGGTGTGGTGGCATGCGCCAATAGTGCCAGCTACTCGGGAGGCTGAGGTGGGAGAATCGCTGGAACCCAGGAGGCAGAGGCTGCAGTAAGTCGAGATTGTGCCACTGCACTCCAGCCTGGGTAACAGTCAGATCCTGTCTCAAAAAAAAAAAAAAAAAATCCATTTCAATGCAGTTATTTTAAGTAAAAATATTGCTTCAAGAATTAGACCCTCAATGCTCAATTATCCTTTATATAAAGAGTTGTATGCCACTGATTTCTTCATAAGTGTCTTTTTAAAATAATCTTGAATAAGTTCTGAGACATGTATATACACATCAAATCCTTTATGAGGTAAAATAAAATAACATGGTGATGAACAAGTGAGAGTGAGTACCCAGTACCCTGCGGTACCCAGTGCCCTTTTCATTTCAGATGAAACTGTAGAAAATACTTTCTGGGGTTTTTTCTGTGTGGCGGTCATTCTCTAGTGAAATTGTCTGTGGCAGGTTTTGGTCGGTGGTGTTGATTTAGCCTGTATCTGTTGGAGTATACTTTTTACCATTTTGACAAGAGAGAAGTGACAAGTGGTTACCCCACGTGGCGTGGGTGTGCTGAGATGGGATGGCGGGCAGCCCTGCCGGCACGGATCGCCCGCTTGCTGAGCTCTTGCCATACCTGGTGTCCTGGGGCAGTGCAGAGCTGCCTGAAGTATATGCCATCTGGCCCTGCATCAGCTACTGTTGGTATCGTGGAGGAGACAAAGTCCTCAAGTCTAACGGGAGACCTGGAGTGCTGCTCGTACAGTGCCAGGAGGAGAGCTGAGGAAGGGGGCCCTGAGGACAGTAGCACTCTGAGGAGGAGGTGGTGGGGAAAAAAGAGGCCATGAAAGGAGAGGGTGGGAGTACAGATGGAGAAAATGGCGAGAAAGGAGGAAGGAAAGTTCAGGAAATGTGCAGGGAGTGAAGCCAGGCGGGCCAGGGCATTGCTGGGGAGGGACGAGGTCCCTGCGGAAACCAGCTGGGAAGGAGGCTGAGGTGGATTTGTGGAGGGTCTGAAATTCATGGTGATGTTCCTGCACTGCCAAAGGGGAATCAGCCTTTTTTTCTCCTTTGAGAGAACAGATGAGGGTTGAAATTAGAACTGTGTTTTTAAACTATATTTTAGCAACCTTTAAAATATATGTATATATATATTAAGTAGAGTCATAGTGCATAATATAACAACAAAATCGGAGCCTTAACTCTCACCTTCTTCTGGGCCTCAGGAACCCCGAGCTCATGGGAAAAGTCTTGAGGATCTCCCCATCAGGAAGGTCACGGAGGGACTGCAGGAGCAGGGAGTTGCTAGAAGGAAGAGACCTGCCAGGCAGCTATTGTACATGGAGGGGATGGGACCCAGTGCAGGGAACAGAAAGGAAGTAGGTGTGAGAAACGTTGCCACTCTCACCTGGACCAAGTGCGATAGCTGATTGGCTGCAGGAGAGCTGGGGGCGGGTATTCGGTATGAGATCCACAGGCTGCTGGGAATGCAAAGAGCCAGGAAGACAGGAAGAAAAGTTGATGGGAGGAGGAGGAGACACCAGAGGGGTCGGCTCGGGTTTCAGGTGTTCGGGGCCACCTCATATGAGATGCTTGAAATAATTGGACTGTGACTCAGGCGACGGGTCAGCCTGCTGACAGATTTGGGAGGCTGCTGCGTGGAAGGGGAATTTGAAACGTGGGCTGGATCAGCACGGAGGATTGGGCAGGGAGAAGGCCAAGGCTCAAGTGGAGAAACAGCCATCAAGTTTAAAGTAGGAAGGAGGGAAGAGCCAGCAAAGGGGGTGGTGAGCGGTGATAGGAAGACAGCAAGCCAGGCACAGCGGTCAGGGACGTCAGTGATGACCAAGAAGCGGCCTCCAGGAGAGGCGAATGTTACAGGTGCCTTTCCCCGTGAGGTCTGGAAGAAATACTGGCTTGTAACCTCGCAGGCCACTGTACCCCTTGAGTCTCAATTTCTTTGAGTCAAATTGGGGTCATTTTCTGCCCTACCAGCCCCATCTGCCCTTGTGTGACGATCAAGTAAGATAAGTGTAAAACCACCGGCCATCTGCTCCATTCCAGCTGTAATAGGAACTAGACTGTGGACAGTGTTGATGTGAGGCCTCCAGGGAAGAGGATTAAAGTATATCGGAGCTCTTGTTCCTTTGTTCAGGCTTGACACAGTCTCCTTTGTCACCAGGTTTGTTAACCACAGGAGCACTGAGCTTCTCAGACATCCCACACCTTTGTGGGAAATACCTGTTGGGAAGTATTTTTGACACACACTGTGTGCATACATTGGGAAGAGCTCTCTAGTGGCTATTTTTTTTTAATAGGCATTTGACAAGATTATTGCCTTAAGGCGACAGTGAGAGCTAATGCTTCTGTAGCTCCTATTCTGTTCCAGATACTGTTCTAAATACAAGTAACGCATTCGATCCTCTCAGCCAACCCTATGAGGTAGATATTGAGAAAATTAGTGCTCAGAGAGGTTCAATAACTTGCCCAAAGTCCTAGAGCTAGTGAGTGCCCAAGCCAGGTTGGAACCTAGAATCCCGGCTCCAGAGCCAGTGCTCTGAACCACTGTGGAAGAATACCAGGCGGGCTATGACGGCATGCAAGCCAGGCACACAGCCTGTGCTAAAACCGTCTGTGAAAGGAGAGAAGACTGCATTGGTACAGTCAGAAGACTTGATGGGAGAGGTGGATGTCAGCCAGATCCTAATGGATGGGTGTTGATTAGTAAGCACTATACTATGCTCTCCAACCAAGCTAGAACCCTCATCTTATTCAGGAAGGCGATGTCATAACCACTCCATCAAGCTGGGATCATTATGAGGACAGTCAGTGGGCCATACGATTGGAGGAAAGCATTCCGGGCAATGTGATGGGAAGAGCTATGAGAGCCCAGGGATGAAGTCAAGGTGACTGTGCCACCTGTTTGCCCAGTGTGGCCCCACCATCCCGCCATCCCAGTGTGACTACTAGATAGTTCCCCCTTTTACTCTCAAGTGTCCCAGTTTGAATGACAAATCATGAGTTTGAGGAAGTCTGCCAAACATTGAAATCATTTGCAGAGTGTCACAGATGTGTGCGTTGTTTCTGGGCATAGGTCCCTTGTTCAGAACATGCCCTAAGGGGGCCATCCCCATGGCGTAAGGAGTTTGGTTTTTGTTTTTTGTTTTTTTAAGGAAAATGAGCCTAGCCTTTGTGTGCAGCACAGAATCCAGTGGGGGAAGTGCAGCAGGTGTTGGTAGGAGGCTCCGGAGATAAGGCCTGTACCAGGTGGGAGGGGAAGGCGGGCCCCCAAGACTGCAGAGGTATTGGTGGTGATGTTTATCTGAAGCTGGGAGGTGGTTGCCTTAGTGTCCACTTTATTATACCTTCCAAATACGACTCACATGCTTATTATGCACTACTGTATCGTAAAAGTAGATGAAAAACCACCTGAAGAAGTATGTACATGGTCCAGAACACGGGCTCTGGAGTTCCTGTGTGACTTTGGACGAGTTGATCACCTTAAACCTCTACTGCTCATTTGTGAAGGAGAGAGAATAGCAACACCTGTCCAAGGATTTCGAGGATTTGCAACAATCCACGTGAGCCACTTAGTCTATAGGAAGAGCTCTATAAACATTGGTTATGATTCTCTTCCCCCCTCAGAAAATCCCTTCTTAACTTCTGTCATAGGGTTCAACAAGGGTGCACAGAGACCCAAGAGTGTGGAAGAGGAAGCCATAGAGTGATGGAATAAATAACTGGTTTCCTTGAAAATGAATGGCAAAGTCATCTGGTACATTTTCCCTCCTTTTTTTAGCACTAAGTTCATTGACCTGACTACTCAGAAAAAATTAAAACATGATGATATCAATGTTGGAGTGATTTGATGTTGTAGACCAGATGTTTTTATGCCAGTTAAAATACCTCAGCTAGTCTCCATTCAGGAAACCCCACAGACATTGAGTGTGTTCAGCCTCTCACAGAACCATCAGAACCATATTAGGTAGCTCCTGCTAAGAACTTATAAATATTTATAAGAAAGGATCAGTATATTGTTTTTATAAATATTGAAGTTTAATAGAAAGGCTATAATGCATCCTCCAAAATTAAGAGGCAAGGAGTAATAATAATAATCAGGCAAACAATTATTGCCACCTTTGCTCAATAACTTTGTAGGCTACAGAAGTGTAGCTTAAGGCTTTCTTCTTATTCTAAGTCTTCGGTTAAAACACTTTAAATGCAATAAACCCATTACTAAAAATTGAAAGTAATCTTTGAACACTAAGCTATAAAAATTACTGAAACTCAACTCAAAATCAAAATGAATACAAAAGCAAAATCTTACAATGAATTTTTCTGTCATTTCACAGAAAATACAGATTAATACTGAGGTATGAAATATTAAAATATATTTTAAAAATAATTCAAGTCATGTTACTGCATTACTTTTCCTTCAATACAGGCCATTAGCCTTTTAAACTAAATAATAAGATTAATGTCATAGCCAAGAAAACAATAGAATTAAGAATTATATTAGAATATGTAACAAACCTGCACGTTGTGCACATTACCCTAAAACTTAAAGTATAATAATAATAATAATAATAATAATAATAATAATAATAAAGAATTATATTAGAATTAGAAGAGAATTAAAGATCATGATTTTTATGGAGCAAAAGCCTGTATTTAACCATGTTTTTCTGATGCTTTGACAGAATTTTGGGGCCTTCCTGACCCTGGAGGGACTGCCCCTCCCAGGGCTGGCCAATGTCTAAAAATAGTAAATTTTCTAGAGATAGTGAAGGACTAGCCTGCAAGTACACCTTTCCTATACAAACCAGCCAATCCAGAGCCACACCCAGCCACCTCCTTTATGGGCTGTCACACCCCAGGCAGAAATTCCCCAGCCCTGATCACCCCAGGGCATCGGAGAATTAAGGACAACCCCCACATGCTAGAGCCTGCTGAAATTAATGCAAGCAGTCAATCCCAAACCCACTGAAATTACTCAAAGTAGCCAATCCTAAACCCACTGAATTTAATGCAAAGTGGCCAATTCCAAAACCCACTGAAATTATGCAAAATAGTTAATCCTAAACCTGCTGAAATGATGCATAGTAGCCAATCCTAAACGCACAGAAATTATTCAAAGTAGCCAATCCTAAACGCACTGAAATTATGCAAAGTAGCCAATCCTAAACCCACTGAAATGATTCAAAGTAGCCAATCCTAAACCCACTGGAGTTACTCAAAGTAGCCAATCCTAAACCCACTGAAATTACGCAAAGTAGCTAATCCTAAAACCACTGAAATGATTCAAAGTAGCCAATCCGAAACCTACTGAAATTATTCAAAGTAGCTAATCCAGTAATTCCATTGGAATTACTCAAAGTAGCTAATCATAAACCAAATGAAATGATTCAAAGTAGCCAATCCTAAGTCCACTCAGCTGCCTACCCTGCCTCTTCTTCCAGGAAAAGCCACAGTCAAGGTTCTTGCCCATACGTACCCTCGCTCCTTCTGCCTCCCCACGTGGTCCTGTACAGCGTGGCTGCCCCCTCCTGGGGTCTATGAATAATAAACTGTCTTTTCGATGGTAGTCGTCTCCTGATCTGTTGACCTCCCCATACGAATAATAATAAAACCCATCTTTTTAAACAAGGCCTCTGTGTCGGGCACTGTTACTACAGCAGTAAAACAGATCAGAGTGTAACTTTCTTGTGTTTGTGTCTTTTTGTATTTGATTTTCATTCACTCAACAAATATTTATCTACTAAGGTGATAAACATCAGCCAGCCAAAGTTCCTGCTAGGAAATTTTTTGAAAAGGAAGAAGGAAGACCCCTTTATTAGAGTGGTGAGTTCATATAACTTTTCATTAAATCACTGCTACGGAAGCGTTAACAAAAGTTACAGCCACTGTTGGATCTTCTATGAAAACTGTTCAGGAGAACTTCAAATTTATTCCTTTTTCATTTTCCCAGGACTTGATTGTACTTTCTAAGAAAGATTGAAACCTCTCCAGGGGAGCCAGGCTCACAGTAAGAGGTCTTTCCCTCCATGTCAGGAATGAAAGATTCATCCCGAACTCTCCATAATTGTATCTAACCTCACGGCAAACCTTCTCCACCAAGGATGCCATCATTACTTTTGCAGAGTAAACTGTTCCCTCACAGTGTCCCCCTCTATTAAGTTGAATCTCTTGTTTGTAATTTCAGAATATTGCTTCTTTGAAGTGAGGGAAGGAAGTGGTGGAGGGAAGGTGTTTTTTCATAGTGGTGTTTAATAGCTAAACTAAAGGACGCTGAGGACTGTATTTCAGTCAGGGGTTGTATTCGGTGACATTAGGACACTCTTGGTTGCAGGCTGCACAAGTCCAACTTGTTCTATCTTTTAATTGAAAGGAGGAAGCTCTTTCAGTTTATTGAGACACTCTTGGGATGTCCAGTGTTCTTGAGAGAAGAGTTGAACAGCTGACCTGCAGGCAGGGCAGTAGCATCTGGGTCTCACAGCTGAAATGCCCCCAAAGTGCCCATCGCCACCGTGTCTGCATTCTTCCCTTCTAGGCAGAACCGCTTCTTCCAAAAGATGTCAGGAAATCACCCACTGGCTTATCTTGAGCTGGCTCTAGGGAGCTGGGATCATGTTGGAATGATGGCAGCTCCAGTGAAGTTTGTGGTTGGAGCAGAAGGAATAATTCCTAGAAGACAGCAGGTCCTCTTCCCAGAAGGCAGTGAGTCGCACAGACAAAAGAGCCATCTTGAAGTTGTCATTTCAGTTTGTAGAATGCAGTCTGAAGCCTCTCTCTGCCACAGGTTATTGGGGGCCCCTCACAAAATGTCTTTCTGCCCCATCTTTTCATTCAGGCTTGTTTCCTCTTCACAGTACCCTCCCACCCGCCATCCCAGATGGCTGAGCCCACACCGGCCCCAGCAACTCCCTGCGCCTCTGCCCACGAGGGAGGCCTGGCCCCTTCCCACCTCCACCCTGCGTCTCCTCATGCCCCGCAGCACCTGCCTGGGGCACTGATGAGGGTGCTTATGGGGGCCAGTCGTGCGTGTGTTCTCCTCCCCCCAGACACACAGGGATCCTGTTCCACCCATCCTTGGTCCCCAGGGCCTGGCACACAGAAAGCACAGAAATCAGTATTTGCCTAGTAGCTGGAGGACCTCATGACCAATGCCTCATAACGGTGTTCAGGTAATTTGGAAGGTGGCCATCTGCCCACCCATCTGCCTTGTGCAGTCTGGATTCTTCTGTCAGTCAATCCATATTTACTAATAACGTCTTTGGGTCCAGCAATCAGGGTTACAAGATACAGTCAAGTCAGAGTTTTTGTCCTGAGAGCTTCGAGTCTAATTACCGAAAAACAACAAACAGAGAAAACAATTAGAAGGCAATTAAGTCCTGGCTGTGAGGTGCTGACTGTGAGTGTCAGGGTAATGACTCAATGCTGAGGGCTTGTCCCTACATGGTGGGGGCATGACCTCACCTGTTGGGTCAGGCTGGGAGCAGGTAACAGCCTTGTGGGGTCTTGGGCTCTCGCTGGGAGAGGCCTAGCATGGTGCCCGGCACATCTTAGGTGCTCAGGTGCCACGCCTCTCTTTGCGTCTTTGTGAGCCTCCGTTTTCCTGCCTGAAAATTGTTGACAAAACCGTACCCTCCAGGGCTCTGGGCCATTCGAGGACTTAGGTGCAACACCAGCAGAGTTTCTGACACAGGATAGACCCTAGGTAAACAGGTGTTACCGCATCAACAGCAAAAGCAAGGCTGTCCCAAGGGGAAAGTGAAGGCTGACTCACAGGTAGCGTTTAGAGAGGCAGGCCTTTCTCCCTGAGAAAAGAATTAATGGGAAAATGATACTTACCTGCTATTGTACTGGATCTGGGAGTCCCAGGCCATGGTTATTTCTCCATCTGTGAGTTGGTTTGGCTTGCATTGGCTGGTTTGGAGTTCATGGTGATGTTCTTTCTTCTGGGGGCCCTGCTTGGTCCTCATCTGTCTCCCTGTACCTTGCCTGCTTCAGCACAGTAGTTACAGGGTGAGCAGCTGCAGCCTGACTCAAAGGTTAGGAGGCCTTCTCAGTAGACATCTTTGCAAACAAAGAACATCAAAGCTAGAGGCCATTGTGCACACAGTCAGCACTTTGGCCTTCTTTCAAAATAAGGTGAATTTAAACGACCCCAGAATTCCATTAAGCCACGTTGGGGTAATGGAGTCAGATGAAAGCAAAGGACTCTCACCCTGGCCAGCAGCATGGACAAGCAATGCTGTATGGCAGCGAGGGGCTCACAGTGCCTCTGACACACACCGTGGGCTGGGGTCCACATACCAGCAGCTTCAGAATTCCTGTTCAGTTCATTACTATGATGGGACACATTCAAAATTTTTATTTATTTTGAGATGTGGTCTCACTCTGTTGCCCAGGCTGGAGTGCAATGATACAGTCCTAGCTCACTGCAGCATCAAACTCCTGGGCTCAAGTGATGCCCCCACCTCAGCCTCCCGAGTAGCTGGGGCTATAGGTGTGTGCCACCATGCCCAGCTAATTTTTTTTAATGTTTTTTAGCTATGGGATCTCTCTATGTTGCCCAGGCTGGTCTCAGACTCCTGGCCTCAAGTGATCCCCCTACCTTGGCCTCTCAATTGTAATTGGGATTGCAGACGTGAGCCACTCTGCCCAGCCTTCAAAATTTTGTAGTCAAATTTTATCACCATTTATTTAGTTTCTGATTTTCTTGCTCCTGCCTTTAAAATACTTGTTTAAAAGGCATCATGGATTAATTTTGATTAATTTTGTACATAATTTCCCTAAACATAAGCCCCAGGTATCTTGTGGTGTGTGATGGGTGTTTCTAGCTGCCTGTGGGGCTTCCCCATGTGGGGACTCTCCTTGCTCAGACTGACTCTCGTTCCCTCCCTAACCTCTGCTCCCAGCCCTCCTGCTTTGCATGTGGGATCTGCAGGGAAGAAGGGGGCTGTGCTGGGCGGGGTGCAGCCCATCACCACAGAGCCGCCTGGGTCTCCACTCGCCACTGCTGAGGCTGCCCTGCTTATCGGTAGAAACCTTTGTGGGTTTCTTGGGTTGAGAAAGCAGCAGGAGAATTTGGTGACCTCTAATAAGCCACCCCAAACTCCAATCAGATCTTGAACTTGCAAACTCAGCTCCCCTGACAGAATGGAACCACTCCTGGGTCACTTAGGAGAGCCACAATGTCCTGTTGTCCAGGGAGTGTGCCTCGATGCTTGTGAAGCTGGAAGGATAACAAGACAAGAGGACAAAAGTGGCTCTGAAGGAAGTGTTGGGTATTTCTCATTTCTTTTCTTTCTTTCTTTCTTTCTTTTTTTTGAGACGGTGTCTCACTCACATTGTTGCCCAGACTGGAGCACAGTGGCACAATCTTGGCTCACTGCAACCCCCGCCTCCTGGGTTCAAGCGATTCTCCTGCCTCAGCCTCCTGAGTAGCTGGGATTACAGGCACCCGCCATCACGCCTGGCTAATTTTTGTATTTTTAGTTGAGACTGCATTTCGCCATGTTGGCCAGGCTGGTCTCGAACTCCTGACCTCAAGTGATCCGCCCGCCTCGGCCTCCCAAAGTGCTGGGATTACAGGCATGAGCCATTGTGCCCAGCCTGGTATTTCTCATTTCTAACACACCTAGTATGTGGCTGTGACCCATTTCATTATATTAATAGCTCTCAAGTCTTTTAGAATAATCTTAAGCTATTTGGTTAACTTCTGAGCTCAATAAGCACACAGTAACTCTTAGATCTGAGTCTCCTTCATATTCTATATTTTTAATTTAACCTCAAAATAGATTCCTAGCCTCCCTGTGAAGGTGTTGGGAGCCTCCAGAAGGGAGCATAGCCTGCCCACACCTGCTATTAGCCCAGCGAGGCTGCACCTCAGGTGTCATCAGATCAGACATCGTGCTGGTTTCAGCCACTAAGCCTGTGGTAATCCATCACAGCAGCCATAGAAGCTGCTACAGGTGTTTATAGAGTAAGAGTTGTTACTTTTATCCTAGAGAGAACGGAGACTGGTGGTTTTATGTTTCAGAACAGATAAAAAGAATGATGAGATCAGGCTGGTGTGACAACTCAAGGTGCCTGGGAGATGTTCCAGATACAAACCAAATAATATGTTTCTTTTCCTCTATGTATGACGAAGCCTCTCACTGGCCGAGTCTTGGGCCTTGCCCATGGATGGGTTAACCGGGTGTGGCAGCCTGGAGCCCTGTGCTGGGAGGACTCAGAATCTGAGATTCACTGGATGGGAAAGAGCCCTGCGGGCCTGGAGGTAACCTCGGCGGGGCAGGGGCTGTGAGAGCGTCTCCCAGGGCCCTCCTGGGCAGTCCAAGCACGCACAGGTGGTGAAGCATGATGCAAGCTGGCAAAAGCATGGGAGTGGGGTTGCCCTCAGTCACGGGCCCCCCACATCAGGGCGCACATGCCCCTAATAAGCATCTGTTTCTTTCATTCATCTAGCAAACGCTTATTGATCACTGCCCCCACGCAGCCCTGTGCTAGGCACTGAGGATGTCCCTGGAGCAGATCAAAAGCCCAGCCCTCATGTTCTTCAAGTTCCAGCTGGGGAAATAAACCTTAAACTGAGCCAAGTACCTGATGTTCTCCCTTGTAGGAAGCACCAGGAAGGAGGGAAGGAGGAATGTGGAGGGGTGCTAGTCCAGGGACCCCACTTTGAGAACCACTTCTCTAGTTTATTAAGAGTTCTCAAGATAGAAGAGGTTGCAACTTAAATAGAGTGATCGCGGGGCCTCGACACCGCAGTGGTGTTTGAGCAGAGGTGTGAAGGCAGCGAGAGGGCAAGCAACGTGCACATATGGGATCCAAGGGCTCTCGGCAGGGAGCTCGGCTAATGCAAAGACCCTGTGGTGGGATGAGGAAGAGGCAAATGCATCTCAAGCAGAGAGAACAGGGGAGTAGTAGGAGATGAGGTCAGAGAGGCCAAAGGGCAGCCTATAAGGCCCTGACGTTATTTAAGGCAGCAGTGTTTCCTGGGGTGAGAGGGAAGCCATGGGAGCCTTCTGAGCGGAGCTGACTGCAGGGGGTGGGAATGGAAGCAGGGAGCCCAGGGCGGTGGCTGCTGCGAGTCAGGTGACAGATGGCAGTGGCTTGGCCCTCGGTGCTAGCAGTGGAGCTGGAGGAAAGGAGCCCGACTCTGGATTTATTGTATTGTGATCAGTTGAATCGCAGTAGCCTAATCTGTGTAGAGATAAGATTGTGAAAATTAGTAGTGGGAGGGTGAAAGATACATGTATAAGAAAGGGGTGATCTCATTGATGTTCTGCATCAGTGGTTCTGGAAGTTATGTGTGCATCACAATCACCTGGAGGGCCCAAGACGTGTGGCTGGTCCCACCCCCAGGTCATTCAGGACACCCGAGAGAAGGCCTCAGAATCTGCATTTCTCACTACTTCACAGTTGATGCTGATCCTGCTGGTCCAGGGACCCCACTTTGAGAACCACTTCTCTAGTTTATTAAATGTTCTCAGGACAGGAACAGCATCAACTCAATGTCTCAAGTGGCGGGGAATTTAGGGATCATTTAATCCCACTGTTGTAAGCCATATGCTTCCCCAGGCAGGCAACAAATGCAGGGAGCATTGTAAGACCCTGGGCACCTTGGAAGCCAGAAGGTCTGCGGGGGGGATTTGGGGTCCACTGGTGTGCAATCTCTGACGCCCGCCCCTCATTGGCTTTAACAGATCAGGAGGCCCAGGCCCAAGGAGACTGTGGTTACCCTAACTGCTATGAAAATACGTAGAGTGAGGACTAAAAATAAAACCCTAAGCCCCCAGCAAGCTGAGTGGACTCCCTCTTGGCCAAGGGGGCCCCAGAGAAACCTTAAAGAAAATTCTGGGCCATAACGGGATGGGAGGTCTGTCTCATTATATAATACCTTCTCCCTTTTGCAGTTTAGACAAAACTGCCCGGCATTAATGTTATAATAGAGACCATAAGACTGACAGAACAAACTCATTATGGTACCAAATTATAAACAAGACCTAAGGCCATGGCAGGGAAGGGTTAAGTCATGCACCCAACATTTAAAGAATAAACTAGGTTCTAACTGCCAGAGGTTGTTCTCTCTAGCAGCTAAACCAGCATTGGCCTTGACATAAGCAATGTTGAACTAGTTGCAGCTCATCCACCACCAGACACTGACTAACTCACCCCCTTTCCACCAGCCATAACTACAGCTTTGATTGGACAAGAGACTGATTTCTGTAACTTTCTCCTGATAAGAGATCACAGGCCATGGACTGGTTCTGGCTGGTTTACAGAGGCCGACCACTTGGGTGTGTTGACGCCCTGCTTCACCTTTTGACATATAGGGCCTAATTATAATGCATTTAAATGTTACGTCTCCACCCCAAGGAGACCCTGGGATGTATATAACATGCATGTTTGCTTATCACACATGTGCAAGACCCCCTTTCATGAATATTCATGGCTCCTCCCATATCCTGTTGAATATGTATACCAGTTAAGCTGAAATTCCTGTCTTCTCCTTCCCTCCCTCCAAGTGCCTGCCTTTATGGCTTTGGCTGGAGGCTACACCTCCCAGCATATCGGAATGCCCACCTTATAGTCTGTAACCCTTTATAAGAAATAAAACTCTCCTGTCCAAAGTTATAGATTTCCTGATTTTTCCATTTACAATAGCAACTAAAAAGTTCAACCTGTTAATTTTATCAAATACTGACCAGCCCTGATTCCTGAATTGTGTTAACATAGTGATTCATTTGAAGTGAAAAAAGGCAAATTGTAACTAGTTCTCATATAAAGCAGTATGCATGTTATGTGCCTGTATTTGCCTAAAAATATATGTCTGTGTGGATAAGTCTAGATAACGAGATTATGGATAATGTTTACTTTCTTCATTTATATATGCTTGGAATTTTTTAAAGCTTGTTCATAATTCTTAAATGGCTTGGATTTCTTAAAACCTATGCATAAGTTTTAAGAGGGGAAAATACAGTGATTTTTGGTTGAAAATAAGAGCATCTTGATCTCTGTTAGTACCCTAGTTTAGCCACAAGATGGAGTAGTTTACAACCGAATAAGCAACTAGGCGCACAGAGACCAGGAGGAAGAGGATGCAATTCCTGCCCCACTCCTGGATTTAATCTAGTGATTCATGCGCATTTTAATGCCTCTTGAAAACATCAGGCATATTAATTATCCTTTCTAATCCATCTTTTGCAGATGAATCTCTAAATTCTGATTTTTTCTTATGCTTACATTGAGCCTATAATTATCTCGCCTATTGCATTGATTCCTTTCAATGAAAGAGGTAAATTATTAGAGAAGACTAGAAGCCAGAGCTAGGGTACTAGAAAAAAGCAGCAGCAGCTTTTTTCTTTCTTTCTTTCTTTCTTTGAGATGGGGTCTCATTCTGTCACTCAGACTGGAGTTCAGTGCTGCCATCACAGCTCACTGTAACCTCGGCTGCTGCTCCCAAGCGATCCTCCAACCTCAGCCTCCCAAGTAGCTGGGACCACAGACATGCACCACTACTTTCAGCTAATTTGTATTTTTTGTAGAGATGGGGTTTCGCCATGTTGCCCAGGCTGGTCTCGAACTCCTGAGCTCCAGTGATCCACCTGCCTTGGCCTCCCAAAGCGCTGGAATTACAGGCATGAGCTACTGCTCCCAGCCAACAGCAGCTTCTTCTAATGAAGGGAAATTCTTGCAGATGGGAGGCTGGGATCCACTTCTTCCACCCCATGTTGCTCTGTCCCTAGCATAGAATGGCTACCATTTGACTTTGAGTTGCCATTTCAAAATGCCTATTTGTATCAATGTTTTGAACCATTCATAAACTCTCTAAATGTTAGTGTACCCAAAAAAGATAAAAATAGAGATAATTTAACTCAAAATAGAAGAAAAATATTAAGAGGCTGAGGCTTAGGACTGCAGTCTATCCTAAGACTTGGGCGCGAGGAAGGTAGGGGTTCTATGACAAGCTGCTAGTGGGCTCCTCCAGGGACATGCCCCAGTAGAATGAAAGCTACGTACCCGTGTGCTGGATACAGGACTGGCAAGGACGGCTGTCTCTGCCCTGCCTGCCATTCGCAACCCATCCCGGCATGGCTCCTGGGCTGGGAATGTTGTTGAAGGTTTAGCGAGCATCTTTTCTATTAGAAGCATCCAAGCACACTTTGGACTGCGGGAAGGAGACACCCATTACCATCGACACTCAATCTCAACATCAGAGGTGAGGAGCTTTGAATGGAATGGCCACACCACATAAAATCCATTCTATTAGGCCTCGATACTATCAGGTAGAGAGGAAAAAATCCAGTGATGTTCTGTTTTAAATAGGGTAATAGCTAATAAGATATAAGGCTACTTTTTCTTCTTGTTGTTTTAATGAGAACTGTAGCATTAGGATTCAAAACAAGCTTTCCAAATAGAAAAAGAAAAAAAAAATGTCAGCCATAATCTTACCATTATCTCCAGCCAACAGCTAGTATCAGTTTAGGGATTCTCTTGTAATGTACTTTCATGGGAAAGCATACTTCACATAGTTGCAATTAGAGTATACATACAATTTTAGGACGGATTTTCCATTTACTATCATAACCATGTTTCTGTGTAGCTATAAGCTTCGTAATTATAACTTTAATGACCTCATAATATTCCATCCATTGAGCATATGTTCCATAATTTACTTAACTCGTTTCCATGCCATTAGCCACATGTGCTTTTTAAAAATAATATTGTAAATAATGTGCCGGGAGCATAATTGTACGGATGCTTTTTCTTTCATTTACCCTTTGGGTAAATTTCCAAAACTAACTTTATATCCATTGCCAAATAACTTCCCAAAAGGACTTTGCCATTTCCGATGTGTGTGTCCCAGCCTCGCTGTGTCAAGATCAGCTTTGAGAGATTGCATTTTCCAAAGGCTGTGGCTTCCCCATGGCCCTGTGCAGTGCCTGCCCAGCCACTCTCCTCTCTGGTCTGAGGCAGCCCTCCTCTACTGAAGGGGAATGCTCGTAAACTTGAGCTCCTCCTCTTGTCCTCTGACCTCCCAGGCCTGGTCCCCCTGACCACCTTTCTGCACTGGTTTTTGTCTCTCTAACTGTGAATGAGCTCAAGATCTTCCATTGGCCTCCCGCAGGCCAGGCCTTAGGAACTACTGCCTGTTCCCCTAGTCCCCGGATGCACACTTCTCCTGACGTCTATACTCCATGTACACCCACACTCTCCTTTATGCCTCAGTCCGGGGCAAGATGGCCCCTGCTCCTACCCTTTCCAAAGAATGTCCCTTTGTAAGGTCACCAGCAATGTTGCCTGCAGAAGTCAGTGGGCACTGTTTTGGTCCCATTTAATTTGATCTCTTTGAGGCATTTGATACCATCCTTCCAGAAATATTTCCCCCACCTTGGCTTCCATATCCTTCTACCCTTCTGATGCTTCCCACCAAATGCCTGCTGTCCCCTCTTTGTTGAACCAGTCCCTAACCATTGGTTTTCCCCCAGAAGGGAGCACAGTGCAGGTTAATGCACGTGTGGCAATGCAGTGGGGCCTCACCCACTCTCTGCTGTCATGTCAGTTCTGAAATTTATAAGCCCTAGTGTGTTCTCACTGCCCCAGCTTTTCAACTCCCCATTCCTGGGTTTCAATTTCCACCTCTTCTTTTCAGTTCCACACACATGATCCATGGACAAGCTCATCTACTTCCAAGATTCCAACTCTCCCCTATGCTAATGACTTCTCAATCTGTGTCTCCAACAAGATCTTTCTGTTGAATTTGATTCATACCATATGAGTTGGGCACCTGTATCCAAATGTCCTGTGGAATCTCAGATTCAGCAGGTACTGGATAGAATCATTCTTTTCCCCTTCCACTACACCTGCCAATTTACCCATGTTCTCTTAGTCAATGGCACCACTCTCCACCTAGGTGATCAAGTTCAAAAGCTGTCTGTCATCCTAGACCCCTCCCCTTCCTCATACCCACAGTCACTCCGGGGAGCTTGTCCATCTCGCTCCCTAAGAATCTCAAGTCTCTGGCCACATGCCTATTCTTTATTGCTTCCTGAGCTCAGTTCACAGCTCTTGTCAGCTCCTGCCTGTATTATTCCCATGGCCCAGCAACAGCCTCCATGCATTATCTCACCCCTCCCAGTCTGCCAGGAGAGGCCATGTGGTACAGTGTGAGTGCCGAGGCTCTGCAAGCTGACTGTCCAGATGCAGTTCCTGGCTCCGTCTTCTGCTGTCTGCAAACCTGGGTAGGTTCCACTGGCTCCTAAGTAAGATGGAGATAATAACAACATCAACCTCAAAAAAGTAGGTGTGAGGATGCGGCGGTTGTGAGGATTAAATGAGTTGATGCACGTCAAGTACTTTGCGCAGCACCTAGCACACATTCAGTATTAGTTGTATTATCATCATCATCATCATCTTCTGCACCAGCAGGGAGCTCTTTCTAAAGGGTTTTTCCAACCACTATCCTGCTCAAAACCCATCCATTTGAACAGATATTTGTACCCGTGTTCTTAGCAGCATTATTCACAACAGCCAAAAGTGAAAACAACCCAATGAGCATCGAGGGATGAGTGGATAAGCAAGACGTGGTGTATCACACAATGGAATGTCATCCAGCCTTTAAAGGGAAGGAGATCTGACACATGCTGCGGCGTGGACAGACCTGGAGGATGCTGTGCTGCGGGAGACAGGCCAGTCACAGAAAGACAAATACTGTGTGATCCTACTCACAGGAAATACCTAGAGTGGACAGTCCATAGAGACAGAAAGTAGAATTGTGATTGCCAGAGGCTGGGGAGAGGGGAGTAGGGAGTTATTGTAGAATGGTTACGTTTAGTTGAATTACAATGGTTGAATTTAGTTGAGGAAGATGGAAAACTTCTGGAGATGGATGGTGGTGATGGTAGTGTGACAATGTGAATGTACTTAATGCCACTGAACTTGTGCTTAAAATGGATAAAAGGGTAAATTTTATGTTATATACATATATATATTTGTGTTATGTATTTATACATATTTATAAATTTATATATATATACATTTATGTTATGTATATTTATATGTTTATGTTTTTATAACATAAAAATATACATTGTATATATTTTTAATACATATAAAATATACAAATTATATATAATTTAAATTATATATAAAATATTGTATATTTTATATTAAATATTTTGTATATAAAATATTTGCATAACAAAATAAAATATGTTATATATAAAACAAAATGTATATATAATGTATGGTATTATATATTAAATATGCATACATATATAGTTTATGTGCATATGTACATATTTTTAAAACCACAATAAGAAAAATTCAATTGAAAAAAATACCCTTCAGTGTCTCCTCTCTGCCTACAGACGCAGCTGAGAGGCCAGGGCATGGGCGGAGCCCTGGGGGATCTGTCTCAGTTCACCTTTCAGGCCTTGTCGCCTGCTCTTCCTGGCTGCAGCGACACAACGCTATTGTGGTCTCTGGGGCCGTGACCTTGGCCAACACCCTGCCTCTGCCCGGCTCTCCCGTGGTCCCCGGCCTGGCCCTCCGCGTCCGTGGGACTGGATCCACAGCGCCGCCTTCAGGAAGCGAGGCCTCCATGCAGCCCCAGGAGGGCCCTGAGCACGCGCACTCACCGCACATGCCCACCCCAATGCGTGGGCATCCACTGCGCGTCTCCCTTACGTGACTCAGTTGTCGTCTCTGCCTCAGCCCAGTCTGTGATGGAGAGTAAAACATCAACTCACATTTGCCAAATGAGGAAATGAAGAAATGAATCTTCTCAAGACAAAGGCTATAGCAAGGCGGTCATATTCCTTGGTTTCATTATGTCCCTTGGCTGTGGAATAAATGGCAGTTTTTAATTTCTCTAAATGCTAATCATAGTAATTATCCTCTAGTCCATCTACTTAAACTTCCTTCTCACCCTAACAACTGCTGACAGTGTTTCACTGTGGAAATGTTTTTGACGAGAGTGTGCTTGCAGGACCATCCTGGCTGCCTCCTCGTCAGGAAGACTGGTTTAGATGAAGCTGACTTGAGAGAAAATTGGGCAAACGTTGCAAGTGCAAGATAATCTGATGCCCCCTCCCCATACCTTGTCTCTCCAGCACTAGTGTATATTTGAAACAATTATAGGCATTACCGTAAATTCAGCAGTAAGCAGAGAAACTGAAGAGCTGTTCACCAGGGAATGCCCCATGTCACTTGTGAAGTGGGCAGCATGTCCTGTGCTATGCCCGAGCTCTCAGACAACCTCAACACAGCTCAGTTCCTACTAATGGGAAGAACCAGGGGCTCGGGATGAATGCAGAGAATTTACACGTCTTCATGCCCTGTTAACTGAAAAAAAGAGCTAACTTCTCTCTCTTTCCAACTTGATTCACCCATAGAGATAAGAAGCAAGACTTTTATAACAGAAATGGCAGAGTCAAAGTGGATGGACTTCAGGGAAAAGCCATTTGTATTTGAAGATCTATGGAGATGTTTGCAGCAGGATTACTGGAGTCCTGTCCCCAATCTCTGAAACCCACACAGATGATGAACACTTCTGTGAGGACACTTGGTTTCATAGAATGAATGGAGCTATCTGACTGTAAATTCCTCTTTTGTAAAATGAATTAGGTTTTCTCTGGGGCATTATTCAACTTTTGAAAGTGTATTTTCACACTCCCTGTAATTCCTACTTTGTGCAGAGCTTTGCTTCAGCTCTGAACGCAGGGCTATCTAACTAAGCATTCACTTCTACCCTTCACTCATTAAACTCAACAGTCAACACAAGTTGACTCCCAAGTTGTGAGGTGAATATACATGTCTACAATGCATAGACTGTAACCTGCCCATATAAAACCTGTTCCTGGAGACCACGTAGAGACCTGAGGCCCCGTGCTTTCCTATATGGGGATGAGGATGGTCTCCAAAATCAGTCTCAAAATCAGAGCTGGACTTGATTTCTAGCCTTGCCAATAGACTTTCACTTGGACAAGCCAGCATATGGCATTGTGGAATGTTAGAAATGATTCTTGTTGAACTCTCATTTAGGGAAGGGGAAATAAGTCATTGAGTCCCCTGAGAACACACAGCAAGTTGGTTGGTGCTGCCAAAACAAGAAGGCAGGTTTCCCACCTCCCAACTCTGAGCTCCTGATACTACGTTTCAGCAACCATAATATTCATGGAAAAGCGAGTCCTGGCCAGGAACAAGGTCAGAGGTCCCAGATAGGCCCCAGGCACCACGGAGTTCCTGGGCTTGTGGGATCCTCCCCACACCTTAGGGCCATGGACAAACTTGTTTATTTGTTGACTCAATCATTCACACATTCTCCAGCCATTTACTCTTTCATTCAACTGGGAGGTAGCACAGCCTGAGTCCAGATCTGAACCGCTTGGCCTGAATCCCGGCTCTGCTACCTACTTGTGTGATCTTGGGCATGTTATTTGCCTCCCCTTGCATCACTTTTCTTAACTGTAAAATGAGAATTACAGTATTATTGACTTCATGAAGTGGTTATAAGAAATAAATTAATTAGCATATATAAACTGCTTAGAACGGTGCCTGGCACATAGCAAGTTGTAGAGAAGTCTCTAATCCAGCACTAAGTTGTAGGAGAAATACCTCCAAGTTCTAGAAGGAATGCATAGGCTGGTCTGTTTGAGGGCGCTCTCTCAGCATCTTTGGCACTGCCAGCAGCAGTGATGATGAAAGCACCTACCTGTCAGTCAGAGAGGCCTAGGTTTCACAGAGCAGATGAATTTAGGGGTCACAGAAGGTTTTGGTTTATCTCAGTCCTCACGTATCTCTGAGCTTGAAATGAACCAAGATAAATGAATATAAGATTTCAAACAATATTTTGATATTATGCACATAAGATAGAAAGGTTTTGTTTAAAAACATTAGCATAAGTAGAATATAAGGTTTATGGGTTTTTCTAATGAGAGAGGCAAGAAATGAAGCCGAGTGCTAATTTCTGCCGATTCATCGAAATGATAAGAGGCGTTAAAATGTTGTTAGGAGGAAGTGTGCTGCTCTCCGCCGGGGTCTGGCAGAGTCTCTGCATTTAAACAGAGAAATTTCTCTCTACTTCTGTTCTCAAAAGGCATTTCGGATGTGAGAGAATCTTCTTGAAAAATTAATAAATTAAATAGAAAACTGCTTATCATAACAAGAACTTTTCCTGATTATCCACTGATTCGCATTATCTACAAAGCAGGAAATAATTTCATAAAAGGCTTTTATTTTTAATTTTGTTAAGTGGGGGGGGCAGTTATTTTTGCAAGTACTGATGAATATGGCTTTTTAAAATTTTTTCTTTAACTTAAAATATTTTTTATTTCAATTTGGGAATGACTAAAGCTGCTATGAGCATCCATGTACCTGTCTGGGAGTGAGCATAGGTCTTCATTTCTCTGGAATAAATGCCCAAGACCACAATTGTGTGGTAATTGCATGTTTAGTTTTGTAAGAAACTACCAAACTGTTCCCCAGTTGGCTGTGCCATTTTATGTTCCCACCAGCAATGTATGAGTGGACCAGTTTCACAGCATCCTCACTAGCCTTTGGTGTCATCACTATTTTTTATTTTAGTCATTCTTCCAGGTCTATATTGATATCTAATTATGGCTTAATTTGCATTTCCCTAGTGGTCAGTGATGTTGAGCATCTTTCCACTTGCCTGTTGGCCATCTGTATCCTCTTCAGTGAAGATGTGTTATGTCTCTGTCCATATCTTTTGCCCATTTTCTAATTGGATTGTTTTTGTTTTTGTTTTGTTGTTGAGTGTTGAGAATTCTATATTCCAGATACTAGTCTTTTATCAGAAGTGGGATTTGCAAATATTTCCTCCCACTCTGTAGCTCATCTTTTCATCCTCTTGCCAGGATCTCTCGCAGAGCAAAAGTTGTTCATTTTGATTAGGTCTATTTTTTCATTTATGGATTGTGTTTTTGGAATCAAGTCTGAGTTCCAACTCCTAGTCTAAGTCCAGAAAATGTTCTATATTTTTCTAAAAGTTTTATAGTTTGACATTTTGCGTTTTTAAAAGCCTGTGATTCATTTTCAGTTGATTTTAGTTGTATAAGTTGCGATGTTTAAGTCAAAATTCATTTTTCTGCCTATGGGTACCAGTAAAAATGAGCACACCAAGCCCCCAATCCCAATTTCTAAAGATTCATATTTATTTTAAAGAAATCCTGACTCCTTGGAGAAGTGGCAGGAGTGTCTAGGTCAGTGACTGTGCAAAGCGAGCATGGTTGTCTTGTGCTAATGTCTTGTAAAGTTAACCACACACTTGCCATATGACCCAGCAATCCCACACCTGTGACAACTATAATATGTCCACACGAACACTGGAAATTTCATAGAAGCTTCATTCTCACAAACCCCAAACTGGAAACAGCCCAAATGTCTATCAACAGGTGAATTAATAAACAAATTTGATATATGTTACAGTGCAGGGCTACTGAGAAAAAACAAGGACTCAACCACAAATATGCACAAAAGTGTAGATAAATCTCAAAAACATTATGCCAATGAAAAAATAACAGACACAAAAGAACACGTACTGTATGATTTAATTGATACGAAAACTGAGAAAGACAAAATGAATCAGTGGTGATGAAAGTAGATTGTGGTGCCAAAACTCACCCAAAAGGGGTACAAGAAAACTGATAGGATGATGGAAATTCTGTGTCTTAATAGTGGTGGGATCATAGAGGTGTTTACCTTTGTCAAAGACTTCTGAACTCCACAGAAGTTAGAATGATTGCATTTTATTTTCTACAAGTAATATTGCACTTAAATTGACGCTTAAAGAAAAGATTAAACTGGGAAGTCAAAAGGACACAGAAGCCACCTTGAAGGGCTTCCTCTGGTCAAATCAGGACAATCTGAGCATTCAAAAAAAAATCATCACTTTAAAATAAGGAAGAGGGGGCTGGGCGTGGTGGCTCAACACTTTGGGAGCCAAGGTGTTCACCTGGGATCATTTGACACAGGAGTTCAAGACCAGCCTGGGCAACACAGTGAGGCCCAGTCTCTCCACACACACACACACACACACACACACACACACACACACACACACACACACGTAATTAGCCAGGTGTGGTGACATGTGCCTGTCGTCCCTGCTACTTGAAGGCTGAGGCAGGAGGACTGTTTGAGCCCAGGAGTTTGAGGCTGCAGTCACCAGTGATCAGGCCACAGCACTCCAGCCTGGGCAACAGAGCAAGACCTTGTCTCTAAAAATGAAAAATAAAAACAAAATAAGGAATAAACAAAAATCTAGGGGACCATAATGAGTGAATGAAGAGAGAAGTGCAGGCAGAGAGAAGCTTGTCTTTAGGGATCCATATCTAGGAAGTAAACATGTAAGAAGAAGGAAGGAGATGGTCGCCAGCAAAGTCAGGGTTGTGGGTGAGGGAGCGAGCACAGGGTGTGATTTTGGGGTGCTGGCAATGCTCTAGTTCTTGATCTAGGTAGTGGATATATCTAGTGTTCCCTTCAGAATTATTAAACTGTGCATGTCTATATGCACGTTGTATTCCACAGTAAAAAGTGCATTCTCTGCATTCAGAGAAGGAAAAATCTAAGTAGCCCCTTTAAAAATATGATTTCAAGCCGTGGATTCCATTTCTCTAATCCAAGCACCTATTAAATTTGACAAGGGGAGATCTGTGTGTAATTAAAAATAGAACTAATTCTTGCATAAATGTTATCAAGAAAGCCTTTTTTACAACTACAGATAGGCCTTCTTGGAGAACCCAAGACGAGAAATATCAAGTTGTCAGAAGAGAAATAGCTTTATAGTAAATTATCTCTCTTCAATGTAGAAGCATTTAAAAATTCCTCAAGCTATAAAATGTCTACTTTTTTCTAAAAATGGAAAGAGGAAACAGAATGGAGAATCTCCTTAATTTGAATGAACATCGAGCCTACTGAGGGTCTTAGGTGGGCTGTTTTCTCAAGCTCCCTCTGAAAATATTAATTAAGTTTATCAAACGAAATTTGATTTTCATAAAAAAAAGAATTTGATTAGGACCTTGAGGAGAACTGATTGGAATCTAATGCGTTCAGAGGTTTGTATCGGGGGCTCCAGCAGCGCCTGCTTGGGGCTAATCGACGAGCACTGTGTGTTCATTTTTGCTTCCTTTCTTCCCCTCCACAATGGCTCCACTCCCCTATCATTACCTTGATAATAAAAAGCTGGATGATAAAAATTGAAAATAACAGGCAGATTCCATCTCTCTGAGCTCAATCTTGGGTGAAAACCTTTTCATCTCCAGAGGTTTCATCTTCTTCTTCTTCTTCTTCATTTTAACACATTTGTTCTGCTTTGCCCAGAAAATTATTTTGGTTTGAGACTACTTTTATTTATTCATTCTTGTGAATGAAAGCAGAGGCCTGGATAATGCAAAATGATACAAATCCAGGAATCTTTTCTATTTGACTTTCAAATGTGGGCTTGTACTTATGTTTCATTATGTGTACGTTTGATATTCTGGGGGCATTCAGTTCAGACAAAATCACATAGTTGCAGTATAAGCATCTACCTGGGAAAATTCTAAGAGGCCACCCTGGGTTCTGAACCTTACTCCTTCACCAGCATCTAGGCTCAGAGGACAGGCAGCCTTACCCCTCAACAGAGGGCAGATTAAAGCCCACCCCCACCCCCAAGCCTACCAACTTTTCACCCTCTTCCCTGAAGCAAGGAAATTCTTCCCAGGGCATCCGGGTTCTCTGTGCACCTAGGCACTGCTCATCATCGTAGATGCAAACACGGCACGTGCTGCTAATATCTGGGAAGGGAGCTTTGCCTTCAAGGAGATGGCTTCTTGAATGTCCAAATATCGCCTTTTCTAGTCTTTCCTTCCAGGCCAATCTTGAGGTTAGTTGTTGGGTGGGTCCCCCTACACTCAAGGGGAGGAGATTAACATGAGGAGGAGGCAGGATCACGGGAGCCCCCTACAGTCCTTCCAATTCAACTGCTGCATTTATAGCCATCTGTCCACCAGAAAAGGCTAATCAGGTGACACAGGCATACAAGCAAGCAAGCGCTCAAGCCGTTTGTAGCAGCCTGCTCAAAGCTAGCATCTCTGGGTCCTCCCTCCTGACCATGTTATACCCCTGCCTCAGGACTGGTTAATTTAGAAAGAGGAAGGAGGAAAAGAGAAAGGAAGGAAGAAAGGGAGGGAAGGAAGGAGAGATGGAGGGAGGAAAGAAGGAAACAAGGGAGGAAGGGAGGGAGGGAGGAGGGAGGGAGGGAGGGAAGGAGAGAAGGAGGGAGGGAGGGAGGGAGGAAGGGAGGGTATTCTGTAGTTGATGGCCTCTGCCCAAAGGATAGAGATGAAATCCTCCCTGTCCTGAGATTTCCTCCAAAGCTGTCTAGAAGTTTCAGGTGGGCATGGACATGGGTGTAGGTGTGGGCGGGTCAACCCCAGGCAGAACCAGCGTCCTCCCCTCCACATCCTGGCCCGCCTTCTCTCCTGTAGTTCCTCCTCCCAACTCCAGAGGGGCTCCCTTTAGTCCCCTCAGTGGGGAATCTCCTTGTACTGCTACTCTGTGTCCTCAGCAAACTGTGCTCAGGACTCCACTTGACTCCTGATGTGCAAAGGAATGCTTTTGAAACATAGAAGGAAATAAAACCAAATGAACCTTTTTCTCACTCCAGCCAGGTTTACAAGAGTACACTCCTGCTATGGATTGAAAATACCTGATTTGTCATCAAACCTGAGCAGGGATCCCTTTTTCTAGGCATTTGCAGTCTTCCTCCCAAGCTCTGACTGCCACGGATTCCATGCAAGGGGAGTCTACATCATCTACCAGAAAGGAAAACACAGCAGCTTAATAGCACAAAAACATTATGCCCGCAGAGTTCTTCAGAAAGATCACTCAGGCTGCAGTACAGGACATGAATTAAACATGCACAAGACAGGAGACAGTGAGGCCATTGAGGATGCTGTTGCAAAAACCCAGGCAAGGCATCGTGGTGAATTTAAATAAGGCGGGGAGGTGGAATCGCAAAGAGGCAAATTAAACAAATATTAATATTTAGGCTGCTCTGCCAATGGAGTAGCCATTAGTTGTTCCTTTACTTTCTTAATAAACTTACTTCCAAAAAATAAAATAAGATAAAGAAATACTTAGTATTGATATTAAGATGTTAAGGCTTCTTCCTCAGTTGTTTGCTCCAGGAGGAGACAGCGTTTATGCTGACTGAAGGAGCAGTGCAGGAGTGTAGATGGGTGCATGATAAGGGTTGTGGACCAGAAGGGAGGACATAGAAGAATAGATCAGGCTAGGTCTGTTAACATCAGGAATCAGTACTTTGCCCGTTGGTTTGGAGTCCCTGGCTGGGTTTTCTAGAAGCAGATGCTGAGATGGAGCTTGGATGCAAGATGTTCATTGGAGATTTAAATGGACAGAATTATGTCTTCCCATTATTCACATGTTGAAGCCCTAACCCCTCGTACCTCAGAATGTGACTGTATTTGCAGATAGGTCTTTAAAGAGATGATTAAGTTAAAACGAGGCCCTTAGGGTGGCCCTTATCCAATAGGACTAGTGTCCTTCCAAGAGGAAAAGGAGATTAGGACACAGACACACTCAGAAGAGAGACCATGTGAGGACACGGCAGGAAGGCGGCCATCTGCAAGCCAAGGAGAGAGGCCTCAGAAGAAACCAACCCTGCTGACACCTTGACGTTGGACTTTCAGCCTCCAGAATTGTTAGAAAATAAATTTACGTTGTTTAAGGCCACAGGCCTGTGGTACTTTGCTGTGCAGTACAAGATGACTAACACAGAGATCAGAACCTGTGAAGGAAAAGGGCAGAGGAAAGAGTGGGCAGCGAGGGAAACTGTACTGTGACATGCACCCCCACAAAGCTGTAGCCAATGTGGCAGGAGGCTTTAGAGCAAGAATGGCTCCCCAGAATCACAAGACACCTGTGCCTTCCTCTTTTTCCTCACTTAGTCTGCGGATGTGAGTGGCCCTTATGTGAGTGTGACTTCAGGCAAGGCAGCTCTCTGCAGCTCGAAGGACCAGAAGGCGCTGGTGAGTGGAGGTGCCTGTGCCTGTGGCCTGTGCTTCCTGCACTGGGCAGGGCAGCGCTGCCTCACAGAAAGTGGCACATCTCCGTGTCTATCCCAGCCCACCCCTCGCCCTGTTCACGTAACTGCATCTTCTGGATCCCAGTAGACCTCCGTCTCTGAGAGAAAACGCGTCTGTAATACAATCAGTGTGTCCACAGTCAGGAACTCGCCGCACACCTCCTTTGCTGTCATTGTAAATTGGTCCTCTAGTCTGAGGCTGTGAGGGGCCCGTTATTTACAATGCAGATTTTGTTATTATGTAGGTATGGTGAGACCAGCAGATCAGGAGATGATTGCCTTTGAAAAGATAGTCTGTTCCTCACAGTTCCCAGGACGAGGCGGGCAGCCACACCATGCAGAGACACATGAGGAAACACCAGGGTCAGTCAGAAGGCAGAGGGATGGATGCTGGCTAGCATGGGCAAGAACATTCTTTGTGGCTTTCACAGGAAGGAATGAGTGAGGCATGGTTTGCAGATTTAGGATTGGCTCGTTTGAATAATTTCAGCAGGCTCTGGGGTGCAGGGGCTTCCCTAGTTATTTGGTACCTGGCCCTGGGGTATGAAGGGCAGGGAAATACTAGCCCAGAGTGTGAGACCTTCATAGAGGAAGTGGTCAGTATGTGGGCTCTGGATTGGTGCATATGAAAAGTACACTCACAGGTTAAGTCATCTACTGTCCCCAGGAATTGGAAAGCCCTAAAAAGGGCAGCTTTGCCAGATGCGGTGGCTCACGCCTGTAATCCCAGCACTTTGGGAGGCTGAGGCAGGCGGATCACCTGAGGTCAGGAGTTCAACACCAGCCTGACCAACCTGGAGAAACCCTGTCTCTACTAAAAATACAAAAAATTAGATGAGCATGGTGGTGGATGCCTATAATCACAGCTACTCAGGAGGCTGAGGCAGGAGAAACTTGAACCTGGGAAGCAGAGGTTGCAGTGAGCCAAGATTGCGCCATTGCACTCCAGCCTGGGCAACAAGAGCGAAACTCTGTCTCAAAAAAAAAAAAAAAAAAAAGAAGGGCAGCTTCCCTATGGTCAACAAGGACCCACATGACAAAGCATCAGAATAAAAAGATATGCATGATACGGGCTCACATGCCAGTGACTCAAACACCATGTAAGCCTATGATGGTGGTGCCAAGGCCGCATGAACGGGAAAGGCAAACTTCGATCCAGAATGTGTATCTTTCCTGTGAAAATGAACCATTGACCCTTCCAGAAAGAAAGACGTCCAGTGTAATCATCTTGCCAACTGACCAACTGGACTCTGAGGAGTGGTACCATATTAGGGCCTATTGTCCGTGTGTGTTGCTGGCAGGTCAGATACCTGGCAGAGATTGTGGCAAGAACAGCCTTGGTAAGTAGGAATCTATGCTATTCTACCCATGTGTACCCTCCATTTCTGCTGCCTTGGCCATTTAATTCATGTGCTCACCATGCCAGCAGTGGAGTGGCTAGTGATAGAGACTGGCTGGCCATCAAATATTTGACTCATTTTGTCTATTTGGTTGTTTAGCACAATGATTCTCAACTGAGACGATTTTGCCCACCCTTCTTTTGAGGGCATTTAGTAATGCCTAAGACATTTTTGGTTGTCACAAGTGGGAGGGTGCTAGTGGTGTCTAGTTGATACAGACCAAAGATGCTGCTAAACATCCTACAATGCACAGGACAGTCCCCACAACAAAGAATTATATGGCCCAAAATATCAGTAATGTTGACAAGTTAGTGTCTCTTCCAAGGTGGATGCACTCTTATGGAAGACAACATGTTTTACAATTATCTTCATTCTTCATGATGCCTCCCACACATCCATCCACATGACTTTACCCTAGACTTCTTTGTACGTGATATTCCAATCTTCTTCCTTTTGGGCTCCTAACCAGTCAACCAGGCCATTCACCATTGCCCAGGAGTCAATATATATTCTAACTCATGCTACTTCCCTTCTCATACAATGTCATTGATAAAGTATACTGCTCAAAGCTCTGGCCTTTGCAAATATTTTCCCTTGCCATTGTCTTTCAAGGTCACCCTTGAAAGTAGTAGTTGTTGCAGCATAGGCTGTAGTGTACTTGATATCCATTTGCAGCTTCCACCCACATACCAAGCCAACCCATTTGCAGCCCCAGCTCAGGCTTTCTCTTCCTCTTTCTTGTGGTTGTAAAGGACCCACACACACACACAGGGCCATAGATGTGAATTGAGATTAGGGGAACTGGTACAACAGAGGTAGATGTCATCGAGGTTTGGAACGTTTGCGCATGCATTCCCTTGAGTCTGGAATGCCTGAATGCATCTAACATCTTACAGAGGATTGCTTATGAGTCCACCCAACCTTATGACTTGGGGAGTCTGCCAGGAACCAGCTCGTGATAGGTAATTCTTCCTGCCTGGTCACTGGTCACTTGCTGTTTTGTGGTCAGGAGACGTGACTCTACCAGGATGTAGTGGCATAGCAGAAGATGCTTGTCAAAAGACAGCATGGCCTCATTACAGAACCTCAGGGTCTTGTGACAAGATTCTTCCATTGGACCCTGTCACAAACTCCACACATCATCTTTTCCTACATTGATATTTCCAATACCGTAAGGTCCAAGTGGCATAAATTTTTGCCCTGAAGCCTAGACCCACTGCAGAGCCATTTCTCATTCTGGGCCCCACTCAAAGCTGGGAGAAATTTATGTTACTAGTACATGGGCAGAAGTGGTATAGAAGATGCCATGACACAGGCCCCCTCCAAAAACTAGAGAGGTCCACCATGCATTATACTTCCTTCTTCACCATGAGAGGTGCAAGATGGAATAATTTGTCTTTCATTTTGAAGGGATGTTCCAGCATGTTTCTGTCCATAGAACCCCTAAAAATGTTACCAATGTGGCCAGTCCTCAAATCTCTGTAGGGGTTTTTCTCCCACCTTCTGGAGCACATGTGCCTTACCAAGGCCTCCAATGTCCTAGCCACCTCCTGCTTATCTAGCCCAGTCAACATGATGTCAGCTATGTAATGGATCAATGCAGATGGTCCAGATAGTGCAGATATCTTCAGACAACATTACAACAGAGAGTGAGTTAACATAACCTCAGGGGAAACTGTATATGTATATTGTTGTCTGTTCCATGTGAAAGTGAACTATTTCTGATCCTCTTTTTCTAATTGTGATAGAAAATAACACATTTGCTGGATCAATGGCTGCATAGCATGTGCCTCATTTTGAATCGCTGCTGTATTCTGGATATTTATGTCTACCCAAAATTCATATGTTGAAACGCTAACACCCAAAGCGATGGCATTAGGAGGTACAGCCATTGGGAGGGGATTAGGTCATGAAGGCAGAGCCCTCATGAATGAGATTAGTTAGTGCCCTAATAAAAGAAGCTTGAGAGAGACTCCTTGCCTCTTCCACAATGTACAGACACAGTGAGAAGCACCATCTATGAACCAGAAAGTGAATCGATACCAAATCTGCCAATGCTTTGATCTCGGACTACTCAGCCTCCAGAACTGTGAGAAATAAATTTCTGTTCTTGCAAGCTACCCAGTTTAAAGTATTTTGTTAAAGCAGCTCAAAGAGACTAAGGCCATCACCCTGCTTTAGCAAAGCCACCTCACCTAATGCAGCAGCTGCAATCAGGGCATGACTTGGTTGAACCTGTGGTATATCTATAGTCTTCCTCCAGGATCCAACCAGTTTAACTGGTGATCAAAAGGAGATATGATAGGGCTTACAATCTCTGTATCCTTTACACTCTTAAAAGTGTCCCTAATATCTGCATTGCCACCACCTCATGCAATATTATTTATGACCAACTATCTTGTCTGGGTGGAAAGGTGGGCAGTTTCAGAGGTTTCCACTTGGCCATTCTCGCAGTACCTCTTACCCCACAGGCCAAGGACCCAAAGTGAGGGCTGCATCAACTGCTAAATATGTTGATCTAATTATATATTTTGGAAATAAAAGTCATCCAAATTGCAAAGGAAGAAGTAAAACTGTCTCTATTTTCAGATAACATAATCCTACATATAGAAAATTCCAAAGAATCTACATGGAAGCTACTAGAGCTAATAAATACATTCAGCAAAGCTTCAGGGTACAAGATCAACACATAAAAATCAGTTTTGTTTCTAAACACTTGCAATGAACAATCCAAAAAGAAAATTAAGAAGATGGTTTCACTTATAATGACCTAAAAGGAATAATATACCAGAGAATAAAATTAACCAAGGAAGTGAAAGACTTGCACACTGAAAACTAAAAAACATGTTGAAAGAAGGGAGATCTAAATAGATGAAAAGACATCCCGTGTTCTAGATGGAAAGACTTAATATTGTTAAGATAATAACACTACCCAAAGCAATCTAGAGATTTAACACCATCCTTGTTCAAATTCCAACAGTGTTCTTTGCAGAACTGGGAAAGCCAACCCTCAAATTTATATGTAATTGCAAGGGACCCCAAATAGCCACACAATCTTGGAAAAAATGAACAAAGGTGGAAGACCCACATCTCCTGATTTCAAAACTTACTATAAAGCTAAAGTAATCAAAGCAATATGGTACTGGCATAAAGATAGACACACTGACCAATGGAATAGAATTGAGAGTCCAGAAATTAATCATACATGTGTGGCCAATTGATTTTTGATAAGGTGCCAACTCTGTCAATGGGGAAAGAATAGTCTCTCCAACAAATGGTGCTGGGACAACTGGATTTCCACATTCAAAAGAATGAAGTTAGACCCCCTACCTCACATATAAATAAAACTTAGCTCAAAAAAGATCAATGATCTAAATATAAGAAAGAAACCTATAAAAATCTTAGAAGAGGCCGGGCGCGGTGGCTCACGCCTGTAATCCCAGCACTTTGGGAGGCCGAGGTGGGCGAATCACGAGGTCAGGAGATCGAGACCATCCTGGCTAACACGGTGAAACCCCGTCTCTACTAAAAATACAAAAAAATTAGCCAGGCATGGTAGCGGGCGCCTGTAGTCCCAGCTACTTGGGAGGCTGAGGCAGGAGAATGGCGTGAACCTGGGAGGCGGAGCTTGCAGTGAGCCAAGATCTCACCACTGCACTCCAGCCTTGGCGACAGCGAGACTCCGTCTCAAAAAAAAAAAAAAAAAAAATCTTAGAAGAAAACATAGGGGTGAGTCTTCATAACCTTGGATTGGGCACTGGGCTTTTAGGGGAGAATCCATTCCTTGTATTCTTCAGCTTCTAGGGGCATCTGCTTTCCTCTGCTCATGACCCTTTCCCAGGAGTGGTATTACTCCAACCTCCACTTCTGTCATCACAGCTCCTTCTCTGACTGACCAAAAGCATAAGTGACAAATGAAAAAATAAATTGGACTTCATCAAACTGTACAACTTTTTCCATCTAAGGATGATTGTTAAGAGGGTAAAAAAACAGCCTATGGAATAGAAGAAAATATTTGGAAATTATTTATCTGATGAGGATTAATATCCTGAATATATAAAGAACTCTTAACACTCAACAATAAAAAGACAAACAACACAATTAAAAAACAGCAAAGGACTTGAATAGACATTTCTCCAAAGAAATATATATATGGCCAATAAGCACATGAAAATATACCTAATATCTTAAGTCATTAGGGAAACACAAATCAAAGCCACAATGAGATACCACTTCATGCCTACAAGGATGACTATAATAACAATAATCAGAATGTAACAAGTGTTGGCAAGGATGTGGAGATATTAGAATTGTTAGTGGTATGGAAAATAGTTTGACACTTCCTTAAAATGCTGAACATATAATCATCATACGACTCAGCAATTTCACTCCTAGGTTTATACCCAAAATAATTCAGAACAAGACTCAAACAGATACTGGTACAGCAATATTCACAGCAGCATTATTTACAATAGCCAAAAGGTGGAAGCAATTCAAGTGTTCATCAATGAATGAATGGATACACAAAATGTGGCATATACACATAGTGGAATGTTATCTGGCCAGAATAAGGAAAGAAGTTCTCACACATGCTACAGTGTGGCTGAACTTTGAAGACACTGTGTTGAATGAAACAAGCCAGACACAAAAGGACAAATATTGTATAATTCCACTTATATGATCTATCTAGATTAGGCAAGCAGAATGTACATTAGAGGTTACCAGCAGCTGCAGGGAGGGGAAGATGGGGAGTTATTGCTTAATGGTTCCAGAATTTTGGTTTAGGATCATGAAAAAGTTCTGGAAATAGGTAGTGATGATGGTTGCAAAACATTGTGAATGGAATTAATGCCACTGAATTTTCTACTTATAAATGGTTAACATACCAAATTTTATGTTTGATTATTTTACCAGAGGTAGATGGCACTGCAGTCACAGTCAGGGACATTGGTGAAAGGAAATCTTCCCAAAACTTCAGGTCATACATCAGCATGTCCACTTGTGTGGATGAAGAGGTCTGGATCTACACTGATTCACAAGCGGTGACTTATGGGATGAAAGAACAAAATTAGAGAGCTGGTGGCAAGGAGCTCTTGGAGAAAGGAATGTGAATAAAGCTCTTGGAATGTGAAGTAATTCACAATCCAAGGGAATCCTCCCAAGAGACCAGAATCAAGGCCCTCATACAATAATCAGGTTCACAAGATGGCATGTCCTGTAGCTGTCAGTCAGCCCGTTTCCCTACCACACTGTACAATTACAAAGTGGCCCTGGGGGCAGGATGAGAGTTGTGCAGGACTGAAAAACGGGGCCTTCTCCCTACTAATATGGATCTGGGTACTTCCAATAGTACGCAGCTGAGTCCCTGATATGGCACCATTCTCCTGGGGAGCTGGAACATACAGTGGGCAACGTGCTACCTCTTGAGGGGTTTATCACGCTGGCCTCTGTCATCATAGAGGAGATAGCAATCTGTCTTCAAAAGGATAAACTCATAATCTAGGTATGAATTTGCCTCTCCTGTCCTCAGGGTTCTGCCAGACCCTCAGAGTGTGGGCTTCAAGAATTCCTGATTCATAGCCAAATAGCCAGGAGACACCATGTATGATGATGAAAGTTCATGAAATGCACTGGTCTTACCCCAAGCCCCAACATCACCTGGAAGCAGCATTCACAGAATGGTAGGATGGTCTGCTGGAGGCTCAGTTATGGTAGCAGATGGGAGGTGGCACCCTCAGAGTTGCTGGAGGCTGTCTAACAACAATCAGCAAATACCTCAAACCAATGGCCAATATTTGGTTGATCTCTCCAGGAGCCAGATACATGGGTCTAAGAATCAAAGGGTTGAGGTGGCTGTGTTTCTGAGCCTGTAATACCTAAAAACTCACTGGAGGAATTTTTGCTTCTCATTCTGTTGTCTTGGAATGGATGATTTTGGAAGTCCCAGAAGGAACACAACCACGGCACTGTGTTAAGTTAGAAGCTGAGATGACCCCTGGCCATTTGGGGTTCCTCAGCTGCTGAACCAAAGGGCCTGGAAAGGGTCACTTAACTGAGATCTTAGTTACCAGGAAAAAAAAAGCTGCATTATTGCTACCCCATGGGGACAGGGAGGATTGCATAGGTAGCCCAGGGATTCTCAGGAGCCGCAGCCTTCTGGTACTTTCTTGCCCAGCAGTCCTCACCCACAGAAAACTGCAGTGAACTGAGGACTCAAACCTGTTTGGATTGGAGGTTTAGGTCAACACCCTACAACAGAGACCTTCGCCCAGCTAAGGGCTGCAGAGAGTAGGAGGAACATGTTATAAAATCAGCTGCAGTTCCCGGGGGGGGCCTCAGAACCAGCTACAGAAGAGGAGACGGCAGCAGATACGTTTGTGTTCATTGTTTTCATTCTTCCTTTTTTCTCATCACCCCTGCTACATTGCATGAAGAGCACTGTTAGGGCTAAAATGTCAAGTTTCACAGGGGCCTATGGCTGAACTGACATCACGTGCCATGATGCAATATCTAGCGAGATTTTGCATGTCCCTCTTTAGAGACCATGAGTATTTTTTAGCTGAACAGAAGACAAGAGGAGAGAGACTCTACAGGATATTTTGTATCAGCCCATCCAGATCCACTTTTCATCCTTCTCCTGCTTCGTGGCTGGGAGGCAGGTTCTCTGGGTGGCATCCACTGGGTTCCTTGCACTCTGGTTTCTGGCTGGGACCAGCCAATGGTGGCACCATTAGGAACCTGAGGTCACCACCCCCACAGTGGGTTTCTCTACTGACAGCTCCTGCCTGCCTGGAGCTGCTCCTCTAGGTTCTGCTAGCAATCCTCTCCCTTGGCCTCTGCAGGGCCATGAGGGGTCACCGCCTACCACCATTGCTAGTCACAGGATTCTGCGCTAGTCTTTGTTTCCTTCCCTAACCCCTGGCCACAGCTTGTCAATATCCCTTCTTTAAACTCTTCTCAATTCCAGTTGGACAGCCTGATTTACTTCCTGCTGGATCTCAGACTTGTCTGAAAACAACAAAATAAAATAAAAGATAAAAAATCCATTGAAACTCTTTTTAAAATTGTGAAATATAATTGACACGAAGAAAAGCGTATATAACATGGATCTAATGTTGAACAGGTCGTTATAAATGGAACACCCATGCTACCACCATCCGAAAATGAAAACTGGACTGTGGTCAGTATTTCCGAAGCCCACACTGACTGTGTATTCCTTTCTCCATTCAGAGACGTGTCCTATGGCTGCTGTCACAATTTACCACAAACTTAGTGGCTTAAAACAACACAAACTTATTATCTTACAGTTCTGGTCATCAAAAGTCTACAAATAAGTTTTGCAGGCTAAAATCCAGGTGTCGGCAGGGCTGTGTTCCTTCCAGGAGCTCTGGGGGAGAATCAGGCTCTTGTCTATTCTGGCCTCTAGAGGTACCTGCATTCCTCTGTTCCTGGCCTTTCCCAACAATGGCACCTCCTCTGACCCTCCTGCTACCCTTTTAGAAGGACCGTTGTGATTACTCTGTGCTCCCCGGGAACCTGTGAATATGTTACCTTACAAGGCAAACAGGGCTTTGACCCTTTCCACCTCAGGATCCTTAACTTACTCACATCTGTAAAGCCCTTTTAACATATAACGTAACATATTCACAAGTTCCGGGGATTAGGTTGTGGACATCTTTGGGGCCATTATTCTGACTGCCATACCGACTGTCTGGATGTTTATGGTAATCATTTCTTTGAATAAAGTTTTTTTTAAATATGAATTGACTAGGCCCATTTATCACTGCTGACTTTCTGTTCAGGCCACTGCCTGGTCACTGGTCAGCCTGTAGTGGGCTGCTTTTCACTCAGCCATCAGCCCTGGCCTCTTCCATTTTAGGAAGACAGAATGCCATGGTACAAGGCAGGCATTCCTCATATGAACAAGGAATGGCTTCTGGCCACTTTTTGTTCATGAGCTTTTCTCTAGTACTATGACCTTGAGAGGTATAATATTATCCCCACCTTACAAATAAGGAGACTGAGGCTTACGGAGCTAAAGTAACGGCTTCCCATTGCTCAGCTAATACATGGCAGAGCTGCAATTCAATGCCAAATTTGGTGGGACTTCAAAACCACTCTACCCCATCACACTGCTACCCTTGAAGAGAAAGCAATTCTCTTCATCTGAGGCCACAGCATTAAGGTGGCCTTAATTAATGTGACACCCCCATGCAAATACACTCTTGACACAGCAGCCTGAGAACAGAAAAAAGTGTTTTGAACTATGAGCCCTGAAAAATCAGGAGCAGCTGTAATTTACATTTCTGTAAAATTTCCACTTTATGTAGCAAAAAAACCCAAACAAACAAACAAACAAACAAAAAACCTGTCCACGAGTTGCCTTAGCAGATACGTGGCTTCTTTCATGTGAGCAGAATGGCGTGTTGGTTAATGGCTCTCATAACAAAATATGTCCTGGGGTCATTATTTATAATAGGCAGCAACAACAAGCAGTAACAAAGCTGGCATGCAGCAATAGGCAGTGTAAAATTTTAATGGGAGGCATTTTCTGGATTTTGATTCTAAATGCCTTGTTGTTACAAAATGAAAACAGCTTTCAAGAAGGATAGGCATCATGTCGGAGGTGAGGAGGTAGAACTCCTCAAGTAAGTTTGCTTAAGACACCAGAGGAAAGAAGCCTGGCCAACTCGCTTCTCCCTGACACTTAAATTACATCATGATCAATAATAACACCAAATTACACACCATCTGAGAACAGCTAACTGCTTAGCACACACATAACATGAACAGGAAAATATAGGTTAGTATTCCCATGCCAAGATCAACTCAGAAGAACCTGTCTGACACCTACTATGTACTGGGTGTGGTACTAGGGACTGTGGAAACAGTAGGAATGCATCTGATATAGCAACCATGACATCAAACAGCTTGACATCCGGCATTACTGCGTGGGACAGACCCACAACTCTGCCAGAACTCAGAACTGTCAGTTGTGCTGGGGAGGCAACAGACTGGCGGTCATGGAGGGGCAGGACTTACAGAAAGTGAAGAAGAGTCAGGCAAACAAGGGCAAAAGCAACACAAAGTTTAGGGCAAGGAATCTGTGTTCATCAGGGTTCTACAGGGAAACAGGACCCATAGACTGTAGAGAGATTTATACAAAGAGAATGCGTATATGGTATTGGCTTACACGATTATGGAGGCTGAGAAGTCCCATGATCTGCCATCTTCGAGCTGGAGGCCCAGGAAAGCTGGTGGTTTGGTTCTAGCCCAAGCCCGAAGGCCTCAGAGTGAGGGTAGCCAATGGTGTAAGTACCAGTCCTAGTCTAAAGGCCCAAGAACCTGGAGCTCTTATGTCCAGGGCTAGGAGAAGATGGATGTCCCAGTTCAAGAAGAGACAGCAAAACTGCCCTTCTCTCTGCTCTTTGTTCTATTTGGGCCCTCATGGGATGGGACAATGCCCACCCATGCTGGTGAGCATGATCTTCTGACTCAATCCACTGATTCAAATGCTCATCTCTTCCAGAAATGCCTCACAGACACACACAGAAACAATGTTTTGCCAGTTATCTGGGCGACTTCTAGCCCAGTCAAGTTGACACATGAGATGGACCATCACAGAAACCATATAAAAATTATTATTTATTGCGTGGGTTTCAAATTGCAGGTTTTGACTCGTTCATGTATTGTGAAATCGATTCAGTGGAGTTTGAAAAGTGCAATGGGACAAGATAGAAAATAGAGTATGTTGCACATAGTAACGTCAAGTATTATAAAAATTTTAATATAGTTTTATATAGGCAGATACATATGTGCATGGTTCACAATGTGAAATGTATTTCTTACTGCAGGTGACAGTCCAGAAAAGATGATAAAACCCTGATTGAAGAGAAGTTGTTGTGAACTCATTATAAAACCCTGGGGCCTGTTAATCAAACCCATTACGTGAATCTACTTTTCTTGAAACACAAATCACCCAGTGATATGGTCAGGGTTCAGCAGCCGTTTCTCCTGCGAGTGCCACAGAATAAGTGTGCCTGGAGCATAATAGTATTAACAATGGGCTGGCACTTATGGAGTACCACCATGTCCCAAGTTCTTCACGTGTATTCTTTCTTCACAAGCCCCCATGCAGGAGGTACTATTATTATGCTTATTTTACAGATGGGGACACTGGGCACAAGAACCAACACCTTCCCAGGGCTGTGCAGCTAGGAAGGGCAGAAAACAGCCTGGAATTCAGCATGATCCCTTCATGTTTAGCTTATTTCACACTGACTCCTGCTAAGACTGTAAGCTTTTTGAAGGCAAAATCTGTCTCATTCCACCTGACATATGTTTGTTTATTGTTTGGTATTCGTGTTATCTCTTGCTGCATAACAACTACCCATACCTAATGGCATTGAACAACCATATTTTATTATGCTCCTGGATTCCCTTGGTCAGGAATTTGGATGGGATACGGAGGGGATGAGTAATCTCTTCTCTACAATGCTGGGGTCACAGCTAGAAAGATTCAAACAGCTGGAGGTAACTTGAAGGCCAGACATTGGAATCACCACATTTATTCATACATCTGGTGCCTGGGCTGAGATGCCTCAAAGGCTGAGACGGTTGACCTGAGCAACTTTCTCTGACCTCTCCCTGTGGCTTGGACCTCTCCCAGGCTGAGTTCCGAGTGGGTGTCTCCCAGGAGGGAATATTGGAAGGTAAGCATTCCAAGTGAGCCAGAGGGTGCATGCCTGTTATGATCTAGTCCCAGGAGACCACGTATTAGCTCTTCCAGCATTCCCCATTGGCAAGTCCATCCAGGGGTCCACAGGGAGGGGACGTGGACCCCACCTCCTGATATTTTAGAACCACCCTATATGACATTCTCAACTTTTTTTTTAGTTTCCAACTAGGATATGAAATTTCCTTGTGAGGACAACTGGATTTCCTCTGATGTGGGAGAGTGAGTGGCTCAAATTCCTTGTGATGCATAGGGCCCTTTGCGGTTAATAATCTGCTGTTGATTAGAATGATCTGTTGTCTCTATAATAGTAAATGGGCTGCAGCCACAGATATATTTACTGCCTTAATTTAGTTGCTAGCACTAGGCTTATTTTAAAGTATTTTCTCTCCATTTGGTCTAAATGTCTTTTATCTAAGCTTATCTTCAGTGTCAATAAGCTTAGCATTCCTCAACAGCTGGAAGCCCAGATATTATACATCTCCCCTTCTATTAATCTTCTGTAAGTTGATCTTTATAGCCATCTAATCCATTCATCACCGCAAGCTGTCCTTTCCACACTTGTATGGTCTTCCATTTAGCTAAACCAAACTCTATTGCTTTATCAAGACTGAAGTTCTTTGTCATTGTCATAGTTTATAGGGTTCTCTCTTAGAGCTGGTTTGAAGTGTCAGATTGTCCACAAAGAACAAATGGGTCCTCATAAAGTTCTTCACTGTGTTTCATCTGAACACATTACTAGACACTTTTGGTAAAAATTATTTCCCAAAAGAATCAGAAGATCTGAGTATCCCCCAAATATTTCATTCTTCAAGAAGACCTACAATTTGACAGTTCTCCCATGTGCAGAACCAGACCCTACATTTCACTTGTTCATCTCATTCCACGAAAGCCTTAGACTCAATTTTACATTATGGCTACATTATGTCTAATTGATACAAAGTACACCAAAAAGTTTCTTTAAAAATCACTATAATCCATATTACAAGAGAGGGAAGGAAAAGAGAGTTGCAAGTGAGGGAATGAAAGTGGTAGACCAAACACTGCATATTCTCACTCATAGGTGGGAATTGAACAATGAGATCACATGGACACAGGAAGGGGAATATCACACTCTGGGGACTGTGGTGGGGTAGGGGGAGGGGGGAGGGATAGCATTGGGAGATATACCTAATGCTAGATGATGAGTTAGTGGGTGCAGTGCACCAGCATGGCACATGTATACATATGTAACTAACCTGCACAATGTGCACATGTACCCTAAAACTTAAAGTATAATAAAAAAAAACAAACAAACAAACAAAAAAAAGAAAGTGGTAGAAAGGTACAAGGAAAAGAGAAAGGTTTATTCTCTTCAGAACAAGGTCACTGAAATCCAGGACCACGCCAGGGCAAGTAACTGCGCTTCCCCTTTTGGGGATGAGAATATACAGCAACCAGGAAGTGAAGATACAAAATCAGAGACTCATCATCGGGGCACTCTAATGTCCCTCACAGAGGCAGGTCTCTTCCTCTCCAGGCCCTGCCCACCCCAGGGAGGTGCTGGCAGGTGAGCAGGTTTGAGTCACCTGGGCTAGTTGCTGGGCTGGCTACAGGACATGGAAATCCTGGCCTGGGCCGAACTCCTTGGGAGGACAGTCTATTATCTGTGTGTATGTTATGTGAAGTATTGTTTGTACCAGTACCAGGTGGGGCAATGGACAGGATGTTATGGGGAACACTGAGACTTGATAACAGTTCCAACTCTCAGCACGTGCACAGTCTAGAGAGGCTGATACAACGCACACAGCAACCAACAGCTCTCATCACAACCAACAGCTCTAATCATGAATGCAGCGCAGGCCCAGGGTCTCAGACTGAAGAGACCTTCCTCAGCCTGAGGTTGTCAGGGACAGATTCACAAGAGGAGGTAAGGCGTGGGGAGGCAGGAGAGGGAACATTATGTTCCATTAACTGAGACCAGTTTGACTGGGGTGAGGGGACAGAGAATAAACCCTTCCCTTCAGCATCCCAAGGATCATTTCCTGGATCCGTGGTAGTAGGGAAACCCACAGTGTCTAGGAATCCCACTGAGGCCGGCAGTAGGCATCCGCACCCACTCTCTGGCCTTTGGCGAGGAGAGAAGAGCCATTTTCTCTTCTGCACATTCTGCTTCTACTGCAGCAGAAAGCAGGCATGGGCCCTGTTTGTCTGCTTAAAGTAAAGCTGTGACTCCTCTGGCAGTCATCCCTCTGGGATTCAGTCACTGTGGTCTCCCATGTAGGGGATAGCAGCAGTGTGAATGCTCCAAGCACCTTGCCAGCCATTTTGTGCCAGACACTGTACACCTATAAATGCCCCTGGCAGCCCCAATACACAGGTTCGATCCACAACCCCAATTTTTCCTGATGAAGTAACTGAGGCACAGAGATGCCAAGTAATTCAGCCAAGGTCACACGGCTAGCAATAGGTGTGGGATTGAAAGCCAAGTGGTCTGAGTCCAGAGCCTGCCTCTTGGCCACTCTGCCCTGCCACCTCTTAACACTGCCCTTCAAGCCACTTACGGACAGCCAGCCTTGGCTCTGCCACTAGGGGAGTTCAGGGAAGCTGACTGTCCAGGTGCCCTTGCCATGGCCTGAGCCGAGCCTCTTCATCTTCTTCAGATGGTCGTCTAAGGTACAGCCAAGCATCCACTTCCAACCCACACCTGCACAGGTCTTAAATACAGAATAAAGCTGGCACACTAACTTCCCTCTCTTGCTGTGCTCCAGCCTCAGGACACCAGGGAAACCAGTGGCAAATGCAGCTCTCCTGCTGGGGGCCAGACCCTGCAGAGCCTTCAGGAGCCCACTCATGGGACTCCAAGGGGCTGCAGGGGACACTTCAGCCCACCTCTGTAGTTTGTAACCTGCACTAGGGTTCAGACAGTTTGTGTGAATTGAATGGAAACTTTTATCATTCAAATCAAAGTTCTATGCATGCATTTTTCTAGAAGGATAGGCTTCAATCAAAATTTTCAAGAAGGCAGGGACGGGGTAATGAGTGTTTGGCCCTTGACTGATCATGTTCTCTAGTTCATGGTCTCTCAGTGACTGCAGGCCAGCAACAGATTTGCAGGACTCTTGTCCACCAGCAGCTTTGGACAAAATTCGGGTCCAACCAAAGCTGAGCAGCACAGTCAAAGTGCTAAACACAGACCTGGAAAATAACTGTTCAATGAATAACTATCAGCTGTTCGGTGATAGTCGGAGGGCATTGGGAATTCTTCTTAATTTTGTAAAGTGGCATAATAATATTGTAATTATGTTTTTTAAAAGTCCTTAGCCTCGTTGATGGGGAAGGGAAGGAGTAGATGAAAGAATGGAAAATCTTGACAATCTTTGAAGCTGAGCACTTGTGGGTTCATTAATACTATTCTACTTTAAATTTTTTAGATTTCGCAATAAAAAGTTTTTTAAATAAAAATAAATCAAAGCTACTCTTTATACCAAGATGCAAACGTCTGAGTCAAGCAAATGACTGAGAATCTTACTTCTCCCAGAAAGGAAGCCTAGGAGTCTCCTCGCAGGCCCAGGCAGGATGGCACATACTTGTCCCACTCCCAGCCTGGACCCATCCCCACGGGTGCTGGGCATCGGGCCCAGGACAGAACAGGTAGCATCTGGGTCCGCCTCTTAAAGGGCTCAGATCCGGCATTCTCCTCTCAGCCTGCCACTCAGTATCCCTGCGTCCTCGGGCATTTCAACTCCCAGGTCTCAGTTTTGCTGCTCATAAAATGGTTGGACCATCCGAAAGCGAGGTGTGCGGGCGGGTGGAAGGAGGAAGGTGAGGGTTCTTCCTAGAGGTGACCAGGTGAGGCCGGGAGTCGAGCATTTTCATAAGATTGCTCGCGGACGCGGGGGTGGGTGGAGAGCATCACGATTAAGAAGGAACACACGCACGCACACACACACCTCCTTCCTCCTTCCCCTCCTCTTCCTCTCACCCCGCCCCCCGGGGGGCGGTACCCTAGTCTCCCGGGGGAGGTTTTGGGGCGGAGGACCGCGGAGGACTGCGCCCAGGAGGGTGGCCGGCCGCGGGAGGAGGACTTGGGGTCGGGCTGCTGCAGCTGGGTGGCCAGCGCCGCGGCGGCCCCTCCCCCGCTCTCCCTGGCCGCCGCCCCCTCCTCCTCCCGTCCTCCTCCTCCTCTCCCTCCTCCCGGTCCCCCATCCTCCTCCCGGCCCCCGGCAGCTGCGGCTCGGGGAGCAGCCGGCGGCGCCGCGGCCGCGCAGCCTTTGTCTCGGGCCGCCGGGCGCGCGGGGCCCAGCGCAGGCGTAAGTGACCGGTGGCCGGGCCGCGGGGGGTCGGCGGGGAGCGGGCTGGGGGTCGCGGGCGCTCCCTGCAGTGGGGAGGCCGGGCCGGCCAGATCCTCCCGCCACGCGTGTCCCGGGATGCTCGGGCGGTGCCGGCGCGCGGGGGCGCGAGGAGAGCCGAGCGGGGCCACCGCCCGGGAGGGCGCGGGACGCAGAGAGGGGCTCGGGGCCCGCCGGGCCGCGGGGTCGGGGGAGGGGGTGCAGGCTCGCGGGGCGCCGCAGCTTGGCGCCCACAGACGTGCGGCTTGGGTGCAAATCCTGTTTCTCTGGGCAGAGGCCACGCGGGGACGGAGGAGGCAGAGAGGACGGGCTGTGATGGAGAAACGGGAGAGGAGCCGGCCAGGCGCCACCGTCACCACCATCACCAACCACCACCACCATCACCATCACTGACTGTCGCCCATCCCAGCTCCCCTGCCTCACCTCCCATCTCATATCCCTGTGCAGTGCCAACTTTATCAGATCATCTCTTTTTCACTGGGTACTACTTTGGAAAAGCGACAGAGTGCGCCAAGTCAGGAATAAGTACATCCGCTGTGGGACATTTATCTTCCCCTTTCTATTTAGCTACCTCAATTTTCTCATCAGGAAAGGGGGCACAATGGCATTTCATTCCTCTAAATCACACTGAGATGGCTGGGTTGCTTCCAGTTTTTCCAGTCCTGGCACTGGACGGTTATACATGCTTGGTGATGATGATGATAAAGTAATGTCTTCATTAAATTGGACAGTTGGGAGTTTTCAGACTTACTCTTCTTTGACTTCTGAGTGTCAGTATACCAGTAGCAAATAGAAACATAAGGAAAGTGAAACTTTGGCTAACATAATACCAAGAATAGATGCAAAACAGGCACTTTTGTAGGGACATCACCCAAGAGACCTGCAGGCAATGGTATTCATCTGCAGTGTAGAAAGCACCCCATCAGTGCCAAGTGGCTGTGGGAGCTCCTCAATCTGGATGCACAGTTTCCCGTGGGGTTTTCACCCTACCTAAAGAATGCTTTAATTGCTGTTTTTCAAAATTGTCTTTCACCAGGCCCCAGGGACGGCTGACCATTCAGAACAAACACAGGGACAGAGCCCCAGGGCTGTTGGGAAGCCCAGCACCAGAGGGCATGAACCTTCTTAGGAGAAGTAAAACTTACAAAAAACAAGCTCTTAAACCCTCCGCCTTTTCCCCTATTGGTTAGAAAGTGAATCTTAAACTGTGTTTTATGTTCTAGTCTAATAAAAGACAGCTAGACAAGCCTACGTTTCTTGACATGCTTGGAAAATCATCTTCCCGAAAAGTCATGCAGCAGGGCTTTTTTTTTTTTTTTTTCGACTGAGTCTCACTCTGCCTCTCAGGCTGGAGTGGAGTGGCATGATCTCAGCTCAGTGCAACCTCTGCCTCCCGGGTTCAAGTGATTCTCCTGCCTCAGCCTCCCGAGTAGCTGGGATTACAGGCGTGGGCCACCATGCTTGGCTAATTTTTGTATTTTTAGTAGAGACAGGGTTTTACCATGTTGGCCAGGCTGGTCTCGAACTCCTAACCTCAGGTGATCCGCCCGCCTCGGCCTCCCGAAGAGTTGGGATTACAGGCGTAAGCCACCACGCCCAGCCAGGGCTCCTTTTTAATAGGGCTATGGAGTCCCCCACCTGGTGGTTTTTTTGCCCTGTGCCCTGTTTTTACAATTCAAGAAGGAAAGTGATCATATTAAAAATAATGTGAACCCAGCTGAGCTGCATTTGTCGTTACCATAGTTTAAGATTTCTCAAATGTTGAAGTATAATTATATGTCATTAACTCAAACCTCTCTAATTTGTGAAGTAGGGTTTTAAATAGGGTATGTAATTCTGTGGAGAATGACTCCGAAATCATTCTGAGGACCTGAAGTTTAAGTAAGGCATAGTCAGTCTAAAACAATGACATTGTCAGAACGAAGACTTAAAGAATTATTTAGCTATGTTTTTAATTCTGGATCTTTAGGAAATAATTAGCATCTCAAGGAAGCTTCATGCCAATGATAGTGTCTTAGTCTTTTGGGTCTGCTATCACAAAATGCCTTAGACTGGGTGATTCTGAACAAGAGAAAGGTATTGCTCACAGTTCTTGAGTCTGGCAAGTCGTGGATCCAGGTGCTGTGGATTCAGTGTCTGGTGAGGGCTAGCTCTCTGCTTCATAGATGGCACCTTCTATGTGTCCTCACATGGTACATGGGGCACACAGGCTCCCTTGGGCCTCTTTTATAAGGGCACTAATCCCATTCATGACATGGGGCGTTCAGAAGCTAATCTCCTAAAGTCCCACCTCTTGATACTGTTGCCTTGGGGATTAGGTTTCAACGTATGAATCTGTGGGGACACCAACATTCAGACTGTGACAGGTTGGCATTGAGTACCAAGTTATATCCAACACGCATTGTTTTAGCCCATACAAATTGTTATAGCCTATACTAATTCTATGTTAATTTAGGAACAATTCATTTGCTTTTGTTGAGATATGATTTACATACATAAAATGCACAACTCTTCAGTGGACAGCTTGATGAATTTTTGCCTATGTGCCCCCTGCAATAAGATACAGCCTATTTCCACAGGCCTAAGGGATCCCCTGATGCCCTTTCTAGTCAGTACCCCCCCAACAGAGCCACTATCCCTTCAATGGAGCCACTATTGGACTTCTATCAACATAGAAAAATAATTTCTTTTAAAATAATTTCTAAGTAATTTATTTTGCACTTCACTCCATTAAATGCAATTGGCCTATTCCTTAAATGCATTTGGCCTATTCCATTTATGACCAAATCTGGGGGCCCTGAGCCCAGTGCTGTGTAGACATGAGACTGTGTAGACCTGAGACATGGTATTATTAATACATAAGGCAAAAACTTCCACAAGCAGAAGCAATACCCTGTATGCAGATACAGAGGGTTAGGGGAACCCACAAGAGTCTGGGTCTAACCCAGTTTTGTTTTGTTTGTGGGGGGAAAGGGAAGGCTTTTTGGAGGATGTGAATTTTAAGTTGAAAATGGAAAACTGAGTAGAAGTGATCCAGCTAAAACGTGGTAGGAGGAAAATGAAAGCCTATTCTAGGTGGAAGGAACATCTTGAATTCCAGCCTCAGAAATAAGACAGCATGGAGTGTTTGAAGAGCAAAGCTAAGCTGAAGATGCTTGGAGTATAGGGCTGTGGGAGAAAAGTGGGAAATAATGCTGGAAAGGCCATAGGGACCCTTTCAGTTTGACACAAAGGCCCTGCTGAGGGGTGGGGCTTGGCTGTAAGAGCTAGGAGAGCTCTAGGACAGGCTTGCGTGGTGGGCATGGCAGGAGGAGACTTGAGGACTCAGCAGGCGGCCTTAGGGTCGGGAGATTACAGGAGGCGCAGGTGGGGGGCCAAGTGGTCATTCAGGTAAGAGACAGTGGTGACCTGGACTATGCAGTGGCAACAGGAATGGGGAGAAATGAATGAAATGGAAAGAGAATTACAAGGTAAAATGAACACAAATTGATGTTTGCTAGGTGAGAATTCAAGGATAGCCCTTAGGTTTCTTGGATCTTACAAAATGGATGGATAATGGTACTCTTGGAGAGATGAGAGAAGAATCTTGTATATATTATATGCTCCTTTGGTATGTTTCTTTCTGTGTGGACTTAGTTTCGGTTGCAAGTTAGTGTGATGCATTCAGGTAGAAATATCTACTGGGGAGTTGTAACTCATACTGACTGAGCACACTCCATATGCCAGGCATGCTCCGTCACTTAGGATGCAGTTGTGAACAAGACGATGAAAACCCTGCCTTTGTGAAACACAGGTGGGAGCTGCAGCCTGGGGACCCACAAGGTTTAAGTGGTGACAGAAGGCTTCAGAGTGAATGAGATGGCTCAGTCAGATTTCAGTGAAAGAGCAGCAGCCCAGGATAAAATCTCAAGAACGCTAAGAGACTAAGAAGGAACAAAGGAGAGATGGCAAGGAAAGCAAGAGAAGTTGGGCTTCACAGGCCTAGGGAGTGATCCCTAGTGTCATACACAACTGTGAAGTTAAGGGAGATGAGGACTAGAGATGATCTACTGCAGTGCTTCTCAAAGTGGGGTCCCCAGACCAGCAGCAGCAGCACCAGGAGCTTGTTGCAATTGCAGTTTCTTGAGATCTACTCCAGACCTGGTGACTCTGGGAGCTCTGAGGGAAGGGCCTAGCAATCTATGTTTTAACAAGGTTTCCCAGTGATCCTGATGCATGCTAATGTTTGAGCACCACAGCTCTATTGTGTTAATTGATAAGTCACTGGTGATGCAGCAACTTGGTGAAAATAACTTCATAAAATTTACACCCTGTTTGGGCAAATTTTAAAAATGTTTCGTGGGACTGTTAAAGTTTTATTCTATTTGTTTAGAAATTTCAAATGTTTTATTTTCTTTTGCAATAAAAATGTTGTTATTTTCTTTTGTACAGTTTGGGTTTTTTTCCCCTCTTTGATTATTCATTGACAGTTGATCCATATTTTTTTCCCATCTGTTCAGATTTTTGAAGTTTCATTCCTATCTCCTTTGAAACACATCACTTTACAGGGTCTCAACATGTTAGGGCACCTGCATCATTGATATTGGTTCATTGCCCAAAACAGAGTGCAATCATAAAGATAAGTGAGTCTCAACTCTGAATGGCAGCCTGAGAAAACACCTAGATGGTTAATTCAGCTCTTCCAAAAAGTTCCAAGACCCTATTAGGGATATATTTCTAATTATTTGAGCTTGTTACTCATGAGAAGTAATTGGAAGTGTGCCCTTTTCATCTCAAGTGATCCAATAACATAACCATAATTATTGTACTTCTGAAGCACTTATAAAGGAAAGAACTCTTACTAACTAGGTCTTTTTCTGGTGCTTTTGTTGCCAGCCTCTCAGGTACTTTATTGCATTTCACGGGAAGAATTAGAGCACAATATTTTGTTTTGCTATCATCAGGGAAAACCTATGGTAAATGAGAAGAAACTGATGCAGATACTACTCTTATAGTTATCCCTGTTTACTGAAAACTTTGCCTTTTATAAGAACAAAAACTGGTAAGTTGTTCCTGTACTCTGTATAGTAACAAGCACAAAGGAGGACCACAAATGTTGAGTGAATGGATGGACAGATGGATGGATGGATGGGTGGGTGGGTAGATGAATGAATCAGTGGGTGGGTAGGAAGATGATAAATGGATAGATATAGATACACATGTAGAGGGCAGACAAAAGAATGGATATGTGGATGGATGGGTGGGTGGATCAATAAACGGATGGATGGATGGATGGATGGATGGATGGATGGATGGATGGATGCATGGATGGATGCATGGATGGACAGATGAGTAGATGGATTAATCATTGGATAGATGGATGGGGTAGATGGATGGGTAAATAAATGGGGAGCTGAAAGAGTGAATGGATAAAAGATGGTGTGAGAGACTTCTACCTAAAGAGGCAAAAACAGTATTTTAAAAAAATATTATTCCACCTGAGGAAGGTACAGTACAATGAGCTGAACTGGGCTGAAGACTTGGATGGCTTAGTGACATTGTCCCTTATTTCTAATGTGATCTTGTTCAAATTCTCTAACATCTCTGAGCTCCTGATGTGAAAGGATAGTATCACCCACCCCACCTGCTGCCAAGTTTGTGGTCAGAACCAAATTATATAATGGCCGTGAATGTGTTGTTAAAATTGTAAAGCGCTAGAGAAGTGTAAATAATCCACGTTCTATGTGATTAGATAATGGATTGTCATTTGGGGTTGCTTTTAAATGTTAGGACTGCAGTTTTACTCTGTTTTGGGGACGTCTCATTCATTTGTGCACACACATTTGTCGTTGGTAAGCTTAATGTATCCAAGCATGGGGTGCATACCTGCCTGACCAACATGGAGAACTAAACTAACATCTCAACTAAAAATACAAAATTAGCCAGGTGTGGTGGCACATGCCTGTAATCCCAGCTACTCGGGAGGCTGAGGCAGGAGAATCGCTTGAACCCGGGAGGCGGAGGTTGCGGTGAGCCGAGATCACGCCATTGCACTCCAGCCTGGGCAACAAGAGTGAAACTCTGTCTAAAAAAAAAAAATAATCTGAAGTTACTTGCTATTGAGAATATATCATGAGTGATTTATATTCCAAGTCAACGGCAAGCCAGTGGCACACAATGAGCTCCTCGTCCTGCCCCTCTGCTGGTGCTAATGATCCTTAGAAATAGGCCAGCTTATCTCTCCATCATTTGCAAGGTGCTCTCACAAACATTTTCAGTGCACACAGATCCTGTTAAGTAGGTGTTGCCACTTTACAGATAAGGAAGAAGGAGAAACATTCCCCAGTGAGACCACTGAGCCAAGACTCCAACTCAAGTGCTCTGGCAAGTCCAGTTCTCTTTTCACCTGAGAACTTCTTAGTCATGAAACTCCCAGCAAAACATGTGTCGTACTTCAGAGGTGTCAGCCTATTGATCTCATCTGAGTGTTGATTCTTTTGAAGACTCATCAGGTGGGTGGAAATGGGATCAGAATTGGCAAGTCGCCAGTAAAGAGCACATAATGTGCACACCACCCAAAGGAAGGTGACTGCCTGCATGTGCTTTTGATCCTGACATAAGCATGGGGGCTTCCTACTCAAGCTCAAGCTCAAGTTGATTGTCTGCAAAGCAGAAGTGAGCTCTGATGGAGCTAGCATACCCCCTGAGCCTCTGGGCTGCATTCAGGGGGTATATCCTTGCATCGGGTACATAAAAAATATAAAGGCAATGGGACTTATAGGAAAGCATTATTGGATGTTCTTAAGGATGCGGGTTATAAGCAGTCTCCATAAAACTGGTCTTTGAACCAATTCACATGAAGAAAATAGATGCATTCTTTCACCATCAGTTTATTCATACATCTTACAAGCATTTATGGAATGCTTACTGTATACAAGAAGCCACGGAAATAAGGAATGTTTTTTTCCAGTTATCTTTTTTCCATCCCTTAACCTTTTACGAAAAAAGGACTGAGATGGAAATTAGGCAATAAAGAAAAAGGAGTTGTGAAATTGTAAGAATATTGATGAGAACATCCTTTTGACTTTCATATTATTACTGGCCTCAAACACTCAACCTGTTTCAAAATTGCTTCACAGCTCTAGGGTCTTTTGTGAGAGCTTCTTTCTTTATGTCATAGAAGTCTTCATAAAGCCTGGTGCTTGAAATTTTATTTGGAAGATGACAAATCATTGTGTATTTTTGGAGACAAAAGACTGTGATCGCTCTTCAAACAAGGTCACAACATGGTATGTAGAAGACTGTCTCTAGTCAGGAGGAATGGGTCAAGGGAAGTGCATGGAAATTGTAAACAGACCAGAAGCTCCCAGAAAAATCATGTTTTTGAGTGCAAAGAGTGCCAATCTGCATTGAAGGCCTGAAGAGGCCTCTTAACATGCTGGTTGACTCCTAGTTCGCCATTTTCCTCTCTGTGCCTCAGTGTCCTATCCGTAAAATGGAGCTTATAATAGACACTTGTAGGGATATTGTAGGGATCAGCTAACACTTGCATTGAAGGCCTCCTGTGCACCATGTGACACATTTCTCCTGCATTATATTATTTAATCCTTATAACAACCTATGAGAGAGGTACCATTATTAGTCCCATTTTACAGATGGGGAAACTAAGTAGGTACAACACTATAGAGTATCTGGAGCATAGTAGATCCTCAGAAAATTTAGCATCTATACGTGCTAAATTAGGTTTCCTCCAGTCAATGAAGACAATAGTACTTGCCCTGCCGGAACATTCAAACAAAAATTTGACTATGAAAGTACTGTGATGGGAACGTGCTCTAGAGACACATACACTCCCAGATGTCAGGTCAGTGGGGCCACTGACTGAACCCATTACTACACTGGACTGGGCACCCAGGGGGGCCCCACTGATAGCCCCAACAGGAAGGCAGAGGCACCCAGGAAAAGGGGTCTTCCACGCGCATGTCCCTGTCCTCAGCTCTGCTTCCCATGCCTGCGTCCCTCGCCACCTCAACATCCTCCTACTCCCATCTTGAAATCTGACTTGGCGTGACTCTGTGAAGTCTGACTTTGACCCCTGACTGCCTTTCAGGGGAGGAGGAAGGTCAAAGTCCAGGAAAGAAAGACTGTTATCTTTGAGGAGCAATTTGCTTCTTAGTGGTGTCTTTATTTCTCTTGGATGTAATGGCGTACACCTTGCTTCTTTAGAGAAGACTTCCAACTGCATTGCTACTTCCTGCAAGTACCCACCTGGTCTGGTGCCTGGCCTTATGACCCCTATTGCTCTTTCCAAAGTGTTGCATGTTCTCATCATAGGCAGAATAGGATTTACACATCCACCTCCTTCAGGTTAGCCTCAGCTCCTAGTGGTGTCAGGGGCATTTTATTGGACAGTTATTGGACAGTGTAGGAAGGAGGAAGAACCTTGACCCCATCCCCTAGGTCTGGCTTTCTGGGATCGAGAAGTAGATGACAGTCAGCAGGGATTAGTGGAAGACATGAGCTCACCCTTTCTCCAGTGACATCAGCCTCTCCCTTTCTACAGGAAGGAGAAGAGAAGAGAGGGCGTGTATAGATGACTTTGACTGTGACTGTGTTTATGTCCAACACACTGTGAAAAATATGGGTAAAACATCTACAAGCTGGAATCTGGTTCCAAGTTGTACCATGAGGACTTTTGGCTTATTTTTTTTTAGGAAGTCCATGTGCCTTCATTACGAAAAGTGTTGACTCTGCCTAAGTTTCTTCCATGTAGTACAGGACTATGAAATGTATGACAGGCACGGTAGCTTACGCCTGTAATCCCAGCACTTTGGGAGACAGAGGTTCTTGGATCACTTGAGGTCAGGAGTTCAAGACCAGCCTGGCCAACATGGTGAAATCTACTCTCTACTAAAAATACAAAAATTAGCCAGGTATGATGACGTGTACCTGTAATCCCAGCTACTCCGGAGGCTGAGGCAGGAGAATCGTTTGAACCTGGGAGGCAGAGGCTGCAGTGAGCCAAGATTGTGCCACTGCACTCCAGCCTGGGTGACAGAGTGAGACTCTGTCTCAAGGGAAAAAAAAGAAAGGACTATGAAATGTAAATATTCATATGAGAAGTTTTATTACTTATTAGATGCTCTTATTGTAATATGAATAAAATCTAACAACATTAAAATTAATTAAAATTAAAATAATCTCAGCAGTTAAACATAATCTTAATTTGCGCATTTGCTAATCTCTCTTCTCTTCTACATCAAATGAACAAAATGGATACAATGAAAAATATTTACTGCTGACAGCTGTTGACATCCAGTGCCATGACATGCAATGAAAAGACAGACAACAGCTTAATCTCACAGAAACATTGTCTCTACTTAGCAAATTTTGTCTAACACAGTTTACTTGCCATGCAGAAAACTTTCTAGTTTTCTAGAAACTGCCTTATGCAGTTTCCCAGAGACAACATCGTGGGTGGGAAAGAATATTGGACATGAGAGAGGAAACATTGCTTTTGTTTTGACTCCACTTCTATCTAAGCATCTGACATTTGCAGGTCATTTAATCTCTCTGAATCTCACTTTCCTCTTTTGTAGAATGGGTATGTAAGGTGCATGACTGCCAGGGTCCCACCCAGCTCTGCAGTGCTATGATTCTATGACTTTATTCATTTGTGTGCTGTTTCTCATCTCTTTTCTCTTACATTCTGAACTCAGCATCCATTAACTATATTCTGTTACCATAATTACCCAATCACTGAACACTGCATGATAGAGACTAAAGTCACTACTGTTTATGTTAAATTGTTTTATTATTTTGGAGGGAGGGCGGGAGAGAGCTCTATGCATGAAGCTCTAATTATAGTAATATAGTGCATTAGATTATAGCTCTCTTTAGCCCTATTTTATTCATGATCATAGCCCAGGAAATCCAAGCCAAGATTTTTCTTTCCATGCTGACATTGACCACATTTCACACATCCAACAAGAGGCAAGTGCTCCCGAATGAAAAAGATGGACTGAGACTGTGAGCCTCAGTTTATGGAAGGTCAGGGAATGGGAGGGCAGGGGCTGCGCCCACCCCACATGACAGTCATGAGTGAGACACGCTTTCTGGTGCTGGCCTGATGGCTGGTCCTGTGCATCTTTGGCTCAAGGCCTGTGGGGATTGTGCACCTCCAATGTATGAATGTGCCACTGAGACTCCACTTGGTGCCAGAGATTCATCAGAGAGGCGTCTTTCTAGAATATAATTTTTTCTTAGATATTTTTCCAGAAGAAATATTAGTCAGATATTAAAACAAACTCAACTTTATCTTGGAGTGGAATGCAAAATTGCACAAGTATTTAACATGTAACAAGAGCCTTAAAAGAAATTTCATGCATATGGAAACTGATTTGAGGCGTTCCTCCAGATCATCCCTAGTATTCCTTTACTGTTCAGGGCCCTTTGATGGAAAATATTGCAAATGGTAATTGCTAACATTTATTGAGTACCATGAACTGTTCTAAGCATTTTTATGTGATTCTTTTTAGGTACTCTAATTATCCACATTTTGCAGATGAGTTACATAAGTTAAGTAATTTGTCCAGAGTTTGCACAGCTGGTAAGATGTAAACCCTAGCAACCCCTCTCTTCCCTCACTCCTCATGATGCCACCCACTCCCTTTACAGAGAAAGCACCTTCAGCTACAGAGGGTGTACTGTCCATATTGCAGACTTGTCATAAATCTAGGAAGGCCAGGGAGCTTTGCTTTAGAGCATCTCCACAGTTGCTTCCAAGACATACATGGTGGACTTATGTCTAAAGCCTCCTTTTCTGGACCTTCAGAGAATCCCAGGGCAGAATAGAATCTCCTGGAACTGGTGGAACTGGTGCACCTTCTAGAAGTAAACAGATGTTTCCACACTATACCTCCTACTCACAAGCAGCCAGCCCAGCCTTGTAGCCATTGATAGGTCTGCTTCTCTCCTAATCCAAGAAGGCCTGATTCTATGCAAGAGGAGAGACCCTGTCAGAACTGTATATTGTGTCTTGTAACTATGACATGGATTATAAGACAGATGTAAGCAAAAGTCTATGGTTGTGGATGGGGAGGAAGCACCAGTTTTGAGTTAGGTAATCAAGGAAGGTTTCCTTGAGACCGACAAGAGCATGAGTGAAGGCCTGGGATGGAAATGCACAGTGTGTGTCCAAGATCTGGAAGTGGATCACTTTGTGTGGGAGCAGAGGAAGATAAGGCTGTAAACAGGGAGGTGAACCATTATGTTAATGGCTTTGAACCCCAAGTAGGAGTTCGAATTTTACTAAGTAGCCAGTAATGAGCTGGTAAAAGTTACAAAGGTCATGTTGTATACCTTGAATATACACAATAAAATTTATTTTAAAAACAAAACTTATGGAGGAAGGAAAGCAAGGGATAAGATTTGTGCTTAAGGAAATAAACCTGGTCATAATCTATAGAACAGGAGAGACTAGAAAAAAGGGAGAGGTTGTCCATTTAGAGACTAGTTAGGAAACCATTGAAATGATCTAAGTGAGAAATAACAAGTTTCCAAAAAGGGCAAAAGCATAGAACATAGAAAGAAGCATACTTTTAGCTTGGGGAGTATTGAGGATGTGAAATCTTTAAATATTGTTCTAATATTGGAAAAGGAAGAAGATATGACTCCTAAAGCAAGGAGAAAGATAGTTCAACTAAAGGAAATATGGATTTTTTTCCTCCAGAAAGATGAAGTAAACATGGGTGTCCTTGTTTTTCCTGCTAAGTCAAACTAAAATCTCTGGACATTGTGTGTAAGATGAACTTAAGAAGACTCTGAAAAGGGGAAGGAAGAAGGCAGACAGACCCACTAGGGATCTCAGGACTTGAAGCATGACATGAAAGTGAGTTCCCTGGGTTTTTTCCTACCTTTTGAACCACAGAATTTCATAATATGTTGAGCAGGAAGATCCAGCTACTAATCCCAAGTGAGGATTTCCACCACATGGAGGACAGCAAGAAGCACAGCAATGCCAATAACCAGAAGAAGGAGCCTACAGACCTTGGCCACTGCATCTGCTGCGATTTCAGAGTTGCCAAGGGGGACTTACACTCAAGGCACTGATTGGGACAATGCTGTACTTACAGAAAGAAGAAAAGATGCAGCAAGATAGCATCTGTAGCGTGTGCTGGTCTCCCATGGCCAGCAGGTGTGGGGCAATGGGTGAAACACACAACCCTCTCTTGCTGCAGGCAAAGACCCTGTTCTTTCCTGGTGGGGACAGATATAATCTTTGGGCTGGCCAAGTGCCATATGATACATGTGTAAGCAGTACAAGGAAGCTTACTGTGTAATCAGAGCAGGAAAATATTTTCTTCTAATAAGTGAGAAGAATCTTCAGCTACACAACAGCTCAGTACCCAGCTTTCATATGGGGGGAAGCTCCAGGCCCAGGGCAGTGATTAGACAATCTCAGGGCAGGTGACAGGTTGCATGATAGCTTCTTCTCCAACATAACCTAATCCCCCAAATGTCCAGACCTCAATAGAAACCACTCATTATACAAAGAATTGGGAAAAATCTCAACTTGAATGAAAAAAATCTAGCAACGGATGTCAACACCAAGATGGTATATTAGAATTATCTGACAAGGATTTTAAAACAGCGATTACATACCCTGAGCATCACAAACACACATGAAACAAATGAAAAAATAGAAAATCTCAGTGTAAAAATAGACAATATAAAGAACTAAGTGGAAATTTTAGGACTGCAAAATACAGTAAGTAAAATAAAAATCTCAGTGGATGAACTTGACAGCAGAGTGGAAGGTAGAGAAGAAAAAAATCAGTGAACTTGAAAATAGAAAAATAGAAACTACCCAATCTGAATAATAGAGAGAAAGTAGACTGAAAAAAAGAAAAAGAAAAGAACAAAAGCTCATGGGCTTGGGGACTATAAAAAAGAAGAAAAAAAAAAAGTGCTAACATTTATGTCACTGGAGTCCAGAAAGAAGAGGATTAAAAGTGCAGGGCTGAAAAAGTACTCAAATAAATAATGGCTGGAAATTTGCCACATTTGACCGAAGAGATAAACCTTTTGTCAAGAAACTGAGCAAACCCCAAACAAGAGAAACCCAAAGAAATACATACCAAGACACATCATCATTAAATTTCTGAAAACTAAATGCAAAGAAAAACTCCAGAACACCACCAGAGAAAAGTGATGCCTTACTTATCAGCAGCAGGGTGGGGGGCTACAATTTGAGTGACAGCAGACTTCTCATCAGAAACCATGAAGCCAAAAAGAAAATGACAAAATATGTTTCAAGTCTTGACACAAAAGAGCTGTCGATCTAAAATTGTATATCCAGTGAAAATATCTCAGTAATAAAGGGAAAATCAAGACCTTTTCAGGCGAAGGAAAAATCACATAATTTGCAGATGTACTGTAAAATAACAGAATATAGAACTATCCTAGAGAATGGCTAAAGGAATTTCTCTAAACAGAAAGAGAAATAAAAAAAAGAAGGAATCATAGAACAATGTGAAAGAAGGAAAAATGTAGTAAGCAAAAATATAGGGAAAAAGAATATGTTTATTTTCTTCCTTTGAGTTTTCTAAATTATATTTGATGATGGAAATAAAAATTATAACATGATATAATGTAGTTCTCAAAGTATGTAGAAGAAATATTGAAGACATTACAAATGAGAAAGAGTAAAGGACCATACAGGGAGGTAAGTTTCTACATTCACTAAAATTGGTACAATGTCAACACCAGTTGAATATGATATGTTGTATATCTATAATGTAATATCTTCAGCAATGACTAAAGAAGTATACAAAGAGATACACTTAAAAACACTATAGAAAAATAAAAATGGAATACTAAAAATGTTCAACTAGCCCACAAGAAGGGAAACAAAAACAGGAATAGAAAAGCAAACAACAGAGAACAAACAGAAAGGAAAAAGCAAAATGGCAGACTTAATCCCTAACATTTTAATAATTACATTAAATATAAATGGTCTAAATATGCCAAATAAAAGACAGATTCCACAAAGAGGATTAATAAACATGATTCTCCTATATGCTGCCTATAAGAAACCCACTTCAAATATAACCATATAAGTAGATTGAAAATAAATTGATGGGAAAAGTTATACCATGGTAATATTTTAAAAAGCAGAAACTGCTATACTAGTATCAGAAAAAGTGGAATGCAGAGCAAAGACTATTCCTAGGGACAGAGGGACATTACATTATGATAAAAGAGTTAATACTCCAAGAATATATAGCAATCCTAAATGTGCATACACCAAACAACAGAGTGTATAAATGTAAAGCAAATACTGATAGAGCTGAACAAAAACTGATAGAGAAATAGACAAATTCACAATCATAGTTGGAGCTTTCAACACTCTCTTAACAACAGATAAAACAATTAGAAAGAAAATCAGTAAGAATACTGAGCTTAATAACACCACCAATCATGGGCCCTAATCAACATTTATAAAACAATCCATCCAACAGCAGCAGAATACACATTATTTTCAAGCACTCATGGAACATGTACCAAGATAAACTATACCTGGGTCATAAAACAAGCCTCAACAAATTTAAAGGAATTAAAATCATACAATGTGATATTCTCTGACCACGTGAAATCAAACTAGAAATCAATAACAGAAAGATAAGAGGAAAATCTTTAAGTACTTGGAAACAAAACAAAACAGTACACTTCTAAGTAATTCATGTGTCAAAAAGGAAGCTTCGAGGGAAATAAAAATACATTAAATTGAATCAAAGTGAAGATACAGCATATCAAAATTTGTGGGACACAGTTAAACCAATACTTAGAGGGAAATTTGTAGCATTAAATGCTTACATTAGAAAATTTGGAAAAATCTCAAATCAATGATCTGAGTCCCCACCTCAAGGAACTAAAAAAAAAAAAAAGCAAAATAAACTCAAAGCAAGCAGAAGGAAGAGAATTATAAAAACACAATCAATCAGAAATCTGTGAATTAGAGCCGGGCACAGTGACTCATGATTGTACTCCCAGCATTTTGGGAAGCTGAGGCAGGAGGATTGCTTGAGCCCAGGAGTGGAAGGCTGCATTGAGCTAGGATCCTGCCACTGCACTCCAGCCTGGACAACAGAGAGAGACATCATCTTAAAAATAATAATAATAAATAATTTAAAAATAAAGAAACCTGTGAATTAGGAAACAAAAGAAGAGAGCGAATTAATGAAACTAGAAGGTGGTTCTTCAAAAAGATTAAAAGAAATTGAGAAACCTTTAGCAAGACTGACAAAGAGAAGACACAATTTCTATTACAAGGAATGAATAGCATATCACTACAGATCACACAGATATCAAAAGGATATAAAAGAATGTTATGAACAACCCTATACACATAAATCTAACAACTTAGATGAAATGAACCAATTACTTAAAAAGCACGAAGTACCACAACTGCCCCAATATGAAACTGATAATTTGAATAGCCCTACAATTTCTAAGAAAATTGAATTCCTAATTTAAAATCTCTTGAAAAAGAAATCTTCAGGTCAAGATGGTTTCACTGTAGAATTCTACTAAAAGTTTACAAAGGAATTGACACCAGTTCTACCCAATGCCTTCCAGAAAAAAGAAGAGGACAGAACACTTCCCAATCCTTCTTATGAAGCCATTATTATCCTATACCCAAACCAGACAATACCAACGAATACAAAAAAAGAAACACTATGAATATAGTTTCAAATTCCTTTATAAAATATTAGCAAATAGAATTCAGCAAGATATAAAAGGAATGACACATTGTAACTTAGTGGGGTTTATTCCAGGTATGCAAAGCTGGTTAAATATATGAAAACTAATCAATGTAATCCACTATAATAACAGGCTAAAAAAGAAAAATCACACAATCATATCAATTGATGCGGAAAAAGCATTTGACAAAATCCAGTGCCATTCATAATTAAAACTATCAGAAAACAAGAAATAGACGAAAGTTTCCTCAACTTGACAAAGAAATCTACAAAAATCCTAGAGCTGACATGACACTTAAATGGTGAAAGACTGGATGCTTTCTAAGATCAGAAACAAGGATGTCCACTCTCACCATTCCCCTTTCAGCATAGTACTGGGAGTTCAAGCCAGTGTAATAAGGTAAGCAAGGGAGATACAAAGCACTCAGATGGAGAATTACATGATTGTCTATGTAGAAAATCCCAAAGAATCTCTAAAAACTCTCCTAGAAATATGTGACATTATAGTATAAAAGATTAATTAACCAAAATAAATTTGTATTTCTGTAAAATAGCCATAAATACTTGGAAACTAAAATACAACACTATTTGTAGTAATTAAAAAATTGAAATAGGTGTAAAAATTTTTTAAACATGTATAAAAATGCTGAAAATTGTAAAACATTGATGAAATAAATCAAAGAAAATCTAAATAAATGGAGAAACATGCAATGTTCATGGATTGGAATACTCAACATAATGAAGATGGCAATTCTATTCAAATTGATGTGCATGTTTAATGCAATTTCTATCAAAATCCCAGGAAGATTTTTTTGTCTATATAAACAGGATTGTCCTAAAATTTATTTTAAAAGGTAAAGGAACTAGAAAAGCTAAAGTAATTTTGTTTTTTAAAAAAGATAAAATGGAATTAATTAATCTACACAATTTCAAGTCTTATTATATAGCTGCAGTATTAAAGCCTGCATGGTCTTGGTGGAAGATAAACACTTGGATCAATGGAACGAAACAGAGAACCCATATAGAAACCCACACAAGTTCGGCAACTGATTCCAAAATCAAACACAAAAGCGCAAAAACAATTCAATGGAAGGATCATCTTTCCAACAAATGGTGCTGGAGCAATTGGACATCCACAGGGAAAAAAATCAAGGTTTAAATAACCTTTCACTTTATACAAATGTTAATATGAATCATAAATTACAATATAAAGCATAACACTGTAAAACTTTTAGAAGAAAACATAGTAGGGCTTGGTGTAGAGTTCTCAGAGATGACACTTGGAAGCACAATCCATAAAAGAAAAAACTCAAAAATTAGACTTCATCAAAATTTAAACTATTTGTTCTGTAAAAGACTTTGTTAAAAAGACTAACAGACAAGCGATAGGCTGGGAGAAAATACTTGCAACCTACATGTCTGACAAAGGATTCTTATCTAGAATATATCAAGAACTCTCCAACGTCAACAGTAAAAAAAAAAAATCTAATATTAAAATGGGCTACATACATGAAGAGCCATGTCAGTGAAAAGGATATATGGAGGGCAAATAAGCAGATGAAAAGATAGCATCATCAACCATCAGGGAAATGCAAATTGAGACCACAGTGAAATGCCACCATACACCTATCAAAGCACATAAATAAAATGTACTGACAATAGCAAATACTGGCAGGGATGTGAAGAAACATCTCATACATTGCCGGTGGGAATCTAAAATGTTACAGTCATTTTTGGAAAATCATCTGGCAGTTTCTCCAAAAAAAGAAAAGAAAAGAAACTAAACATATGCTTGCATTGCCACCCAACTACCTCACGCCTGGGCATTTGTCCCAGAGTAATGAAAACATATGTGCACACAAATACCTTACATACACCATTGTTCATAGCAGCTTTGCAACAGCCAAAAACTGGAAACATCTTTTAACAGATAAATGGTTAAACAAACTGTGGTATATCCATAACATGAAATACGGGATTTCGGATGAACATTGAATAATTGTTTAGTACAGATACGTCCTAATTATTTCATGAGACATACTAAAAAATTACATGTCGCTTATCTTAAATTCAAATTTAACTGGACTCCCTGTAGTTTTATGTGTTAACTCTAGTAACTCTAGTTTTTGTTCATTTGGACTGATATAGTTCCCCTTCTCTAAACCATGGGCAACTGGTTCACATCTCCCAGGTAGCTGATGCAGCTAAAATGAGTGGACAGAGGCCGGGCGCGGTGGCTCACACCTGTAATCCCAGCACTTTGGGAGGCAGAGGTGGGCGGATCACGAGGTCAGGAGATCGAGACCATCCTGGCTAACACGGTGAAACCCCGTCTCTACTAAAAGTACAAAAAAAAAAAAAAGTAGCCGGGCGTAGTGGCTGCTCCTGTAGTCCCAGCTACTCGGGAGGCTGAGGCAGGAGACTGGCCTGGACGCGGGAGGCGGAGCTTGCAGTGAGCCGAGATCGCGCCACTGCACTCCAGCCTGGGTGACAGAGCAAGACTCCGTCTCAAAAAAAAAAAAAAAAAAAAAAAAAAAATGAGTGGACAGGAGTATGCTCTGCAGTGGCATGGAGCTGAAACTCCTGGGAACAAATCATTCCAACTCCAGCTTACCAGATGTGACCAGGGCAAATCATTTAACACCTCTAGTCCTCAGTTTTCTCATCTGTTAAATGGGGAGAAGAAGGGAGGTTAAATGAGTCCCTCTACATGAAAATCCACTGGAACTGGAGAGTGCAATACATGTGATAGCATGTCCTTCTATAAGATTAGCTTGCTGCTGTGGGCCCAGTAGAAAAAGGGCATTGGCACCTGCTGTAGCCTGAAATAGGCCTGAGATGCAAGGATTGGCTTCAGGCTTTTCTTGATCTCGATGCAAGTGTCTGTTGCCATATTATTATCAATCAGCAATTGTCACAATAGTGCTGTGTAACAAATAAGCCTAGACCACAGTGGCTGACAACAGCAAACATTATTCTCATGCTCATGGATTTGCAGGTCCACTGTGGTTCAGCTGACCTAGGATGGGCTCAGATGTGGGACTTTTCTTTATGCTGTGGATCAGCAGGGCTTGGCTTCTGACTTCAGATTGGGTTTGGATCTGCCACACCTCCGTTTATCTGGGGGCCAGACTGAGGGCTGCAGCTACCCAGGGCACATGTTCTCAAGGCAGATCTCTGCAGCATGTTTCAGCTTGCTTGTGTCTGCTAACATTCCCTTGCAGTGCAAGCAACAAGTAATATGTAGGGTAGGGAAATCTGTCCCAACCACAGGAGATGATGGTGAGAAGTGAATATGTGCTCAACAAGAATCCAGTCTTGATGTGGTTTGGGCTTTAGTTTAGGTCAAACTTTGGTTCAAGATGCTTGGAACAGTCTAATCTCACCCACTCAGATTGATGGTAAAATTGTCTTGGCCTCCTCATCAAATCTCAGGCTGCAGTGAGCTAAGCCTGATTCCCCGGGATGGCTCAAAGCTGGAAAAATGTTCAGATTCCCCTTGCATTGGCACTGCCTACTTCCTAGAAGACGGCCTTGCCTTGAGTCGGCTTCCTGGAGTTAGGCTCAGGATGGTCACCTACCTGATGTTTTCTTCATGGGGCGAAACATATTTTATCTGTCTCTCCAAGTCCCCATCCTCATTCCCACCTCCCACCATTTTGCCACTTCCTACCCTTCTGAGTTATATGGACTTATCTGCTTGGATTTGAAGAATCACTAAAGAACTAGCAGAAAATTGTAGTAGGGAGGAGAGCGAGGTTGAGTATATGTTCCCCACAGGGTAACCTTGGTCTAATTGTGGGGTAGCCTTTAGCTGCCTGTAGGACAGCCTTGGACTGACTGTGGGGTAGCCTTGGACTGACTGTGGGGTAACCTTGGTCTGACCGTGTGGTAGCCTTGAGCTGACTGTGGGATAGGCTTGAGCTGACTGTAGGGTAGCCTTGGACTGACTGTGGGGTAGCCTTGGACTGACTGTAGGGTAACCTTGAGCTGACTATGGGTAGCCTTGGATTAACAGAGGGGTATCCTTGGACTGACTATCGGGTAGCCTTGGGCTGACTGTGGGGTAGCCTTGGACTGACTGTGGGGTAGCTTTGGGCCACCTGTAGGGTAGCTTTGAGCTGATTGTGGGGTAGCCTTGGGCTGACTGTGTCCCTCCACCAAAGTCACTGCTCCTCTCATGACAGCCTTTCTTACCATTTTATCTTCCCAAGTTCCAGCATCTACTTCCTTCCTTTAGCCATACAACCTGTGGTGGTAGCAGCTCCACTGTTAGTAGTGTGGGTTTCTGAAGTACTCCCTGTGTGGTTTCCCTACAGCCAGTCCACATCTTCATAAAGAGCTCCTTTATTAAGCCCTCCTCAAGACCAGGCACTGTGGCTCACACCTGTCATCCCAGCGCTTTGGAAGGCCAAGAAGGGAAGATCGCTTGAGGTCAGGAGTTTGAGACTAGCCTGGGCAACATAGCAAGACCCTGTCTCTACAAAAAAAAAAAAATTGCTGGGTGTGGTGGCATGCTCTGGAGGCTGAGGCAGGAGGATCACTTGAGCCTGAGACTAAGGTTGCAGTGAGCCATGATTGGACCACTGCACTCCAGCCTGAGCAACAGAGTGAGACCCTGTCTCTATAAAAATAATAAATAAATAAACGAACCCTCCTCAAATTGCTCTAATTTGAGTGTACCATCTATTTTCTGCTGAGACCTTGATTGATACAACCTTAGATTTCAGATTGGTCCATAGAAAATAAAGGAAAGGACCTTGATATATAGGCCCTTTGTAACTATATTCCAGTTATATATTTTATACGTACATATATATAGATGTATGCACACACACATACACACATATATAGTATGTGTGTCTGTATAATTGTTCTTAGTTTCCCCTAGCATGATAACACCATGAAGAAGTCAGAGGAGCATAGATTTCTACCAGTTTCAATTCATATTTATCGCTATAACCCCAGTGCTCAAGCAAGCACTGGCACACAAGGGAAGTTCAACAAATATTTAAATAATTCTTGAATTGATGAAGATAAATGAACACTACTTCTCACACAGAGCTTGTTTGCCTTTGTTTGAGGGAGAAAAGAATACTGTGTTCTTTATTATAGAAAAGGCTAAAATAACTGAAGTAACTAAGGGAGCACTCTCTCTGACTTGGAGATGTTTTTAAATCGTGATAAAATAGACCTAACATAAAATTTGCCATCTTAGCCATTTTTAAGTGTACAGTTTAGTGGTACATTCACACGGTTAGGCAACCATCACCACTGTCCATCTCCAGAACTTTTTCATCTTCCAAAACTAAAACCCTGTCCGCATTAAACACTCACTCTCCATCCCCCCTCCCACCATCCCCTGCACCACTCTTCTCCTTTCTGCTGCTATGAATTTAACTACTCTAGATACTTCATATATATGGAATCATACGGTATGTTTCTCTCTGTGACAGGCTTCTTTCACTCAGCATAATGTCCTCAAAACTTGAACACGTTATAACGTGTGCCAGAATTTCCTTCCTTTTTAAGACTGAATAATATTCTATTGCATGAATATCCCACATTTGGTTTATCCATTTACCAATTGATGGACATTTGGGCTGCTGCCATCTTTCGGCTACTGTGAACAATACGGCTATGAACATGGGTGTATAGGGAGCTGTTTGAAAACATTTCTGCTTTCAGTTCTTTTGGGTATATGCCCACAAGTGGAATTGTTGGATCATACGGTAATTCTGCGTTGAATTTTTGAGGAGCTGCCGCCCTCTTTTCCACAGCAGTGGTACCGTTTTACATTCCTACCAGCAATGCGCAAGGGTTGCAGTTTCTCCACATCCTCACCAAAACTTTTTATTTTCTGTGTTTTCTTAAAGAGTAACCGCCCTAATAGGCCTGAGGGGTGTCTCATTGTGGTTTTGATTTGTGTTCCCCTAATGATTAATGATGTTGAGTATGTTTTTGTGTACTCATTAGCCTCTTGTACATCTTCTTTAGAGAAATGCCTATTCAAGTCCTCTGCCCATTTTAAATTGGGTTGCTTGTTGTTGTTACTGATTGCAGAAGCTCTTCATATATTCCGGGTGGTATCTCATGTTGGATATACGCATTGCAAATATTTTCTATGGTTTGCCTTTTCACTTTATTTATTTATTTACTTATTTATGTTTTTATTTGTTTGTTTTTTGTTTTTTTCTAAATACAGAGTCTTGCTCTGTCTTCCAGGCTGGAATGCAGTGGCACCATCTTGGCTTACTGCAACCTTCACTTCCTGGGCTCAAGTGATTTTCCTGCCTCAGCCTCCCAAGTAGCTGGGATTGGGATTACAGGTGCCCGCCACCACACTCAGCTAATTTTTTTTTTTTTGTATTTTTGGTAGACCATGTTGGCCAGGCTGGTCTCAAACTCCTGACCTCAGGTGATCCACCCGCCAAGCCTCCCAAAGTGCTGGGATTATAGGCATAAGCCACCAGACCTGGCCGCCTTTTCACTTTGTTAATAGTGTTTTTAGATGCATACAAATTTTTAATGTTGATGAAGTCCAATCTATCTTTTCTTTTGTTGCCTTTATCAGACTTGGAGATTCTTTGGGGCATCATTACAGTGCAAAAATACAATATTCTTTCCTCTCAGAGCCCGTACTCCTGGGTGACCCCCACTCAGACCCCTTCACACACCCAGCAGAGCAGGTGAGGCACAGGATCATATAAATTCTGTTTATTACTCTGTTTCCCACCAGACTGGAAGCTCCCAGATGCAGAGAGTCTCACTTTCCTGTCCATCAAGGGTCCTGGCGAGAGGCTGGCACAGCACAGAGTGGGACTGTGTAAATAGTGAGAAGTAAATGAAGGGGTAACTGAATAAATGGCTTCAGGAAGGAAGAAATTGGCCTCTCAGCAGGGCTGCAAAGCTTCAGCCCTGGTTGTTTGCAGATCTCTTTCTTTCTTTCCTCATTGTCCTGGGAGGTCGCTTCTCAGTGGGACCTGGCTTTTATATAATTGTTTGCAGTGTAACAATACTGCTCTATAGCTCTCAGGCAGTGGCCTAATTTCCCTCCTTTAATAAAAGGTACATGTCTTCTGTGGGAAATCAGTGATTTATTGAGTGACCAAGGACTGTTTCTGTCCATAATAGAAACCAGTACAGACAAGTTAGTTGCTGAAGGTGAGGAAGGAACATGACCAGCTACTCCTGAATAGGAAATTAATTTCATACCCTGGTGTGTCCTCGCTAATTTGGAGCTGGTTTCACCATGATGCTCTCCCTCAGATGGCTGGTCTCAGGGCAGCCAGTCCAGACAGCTTTTTAGTGAACTTTGTGTATATAGCTCCCTCATGAGCCCCTGAGAATCTTGGAACACAAATTCAATATGAAATCAAAATTGGGAGCATTCATTCCACAATAAAAGAACATCTACTGAATAGAGCATGAATGGTTGTTCATTATCCTTTCCTAATTTTTTCATTCCTTTTGGGACTTCTGGTGTCACTATCAGATAAGGGGTGGCAGGCACCACAGCTTAGGAAAAAATAATAGAAGCAAAAACATGAAATTAAGAAAATTCTCTCAGTTAACTTTTGTGCAAATTGGGACGAGGCTATCATTATAAATCATTATTTAATTTCAGCAACAGAACATCCCAATCAAGCTTATAAGCCATTTTTGTCCTGCTGGAGCAAGCTTGAAAAGTCATGACATTCTAGAAAGAGCAGGGCTTTGAACTTAGACAAAGCTGGGTTTCAGTCCTTACAATACTCCTCCACTTCCCTCTTATGATCTTGCACACGTTATATAACCAGCTTCAGCTTCCATTTGCTCATCCGTAAAATAGGGATAATGAACAACGCCTTATAGAGCTGCTGTAAGATTCAATGAAACAGCATTTGTAAAGCATGTCACATACGCTGCGTAAATATCAGCCCCTAACCTCCCCCTTCTGCTGTATGTGGCATTTGTCATGGACACAGCAGTCCAGGGATGAATTATTTGTTAGGTAATTACTAATTATCTACTGATTCCTTCATCAAACATTTGTGAGTCCCTGGAGAAAGGAGCTGTGGTAGTGAAGAATTAAAAACTGGGTTTGTGTCTGGAAGAATGGTCTGGTTTGTAGTTTGCTTTATTTCCATGACTTGTTTCGAAATTGCCCCAGATATTTGGGTTGGTTTGAGTGAGTTGTGATGGCCGCATTGACCAATGTCAGATTTCCCCACGTGGTGTGAACTGCATGGAAGGATGCTTTGGATTTCTTTCATTCATTCATGGCTGCATCTCAGCACCCAGCCCTCCTCCAGGACGGCCCTCAGCACTCATGAGGACCACTCACCTGCATCCAGCAAACAGCTGTTTTTTGGGCCTCATCTAATGCAATATGATTTTCTCATTCCTGAGGCCCACATGAGAAAAGAGACCGAGGCAGGCCATGGGAGAGTTGATGGTTTGGTTTTTATCTATTTCGTTTCATCGGAGCAGGAAGTGAATGGAATGGCTTCCTCCAGGTGCTATTTCTGCCCCCAGGAAAGAGCAAAGGGAAACAGCAATGTGTGAAAAGAAACTTGCAGGGTTAAAGGATTTATAAGAAATTGTAAACAGACTGCACCACGGAGCCCAGAGGCAAGTGAGGAGAATTGGAATCCTGTTCATTAAAGAGATAGGAGGCGCTTCCTTATTTGTTATCACAAATTTCTCCATTTTTGTTCCCTATGGAGAAATCTGTCTCCGCAGATATTTATAGTTCAGACTCCCAGAGGAAGGAAGCCCCCATCCCTGCTGCTCGAAAGTTATCTTCTGCTGACAGAGCACAGTGGAGGCACTGACCCTGTGTCTGCAGGACCACATTCAAGAAGGCAGAGGGTCGCCTGGGGTTTCCAGGAGGAGGAGTGGCTTCCAATTTTTCTTTTGGAAAAACACATTCTCAGCAGAGACATCATCATCTGTTCTCTTCACTTTTAAAGAAGGGTGACAGCCAAGATTGGTATTTTTCTAAAATTGCCCCTAGGTTGGAAAAGTCCCCCCTCTCTGGGCTGACCGCGGGGATCTGCTGACAACCAGGAAGTCCTCCTCCATCTGTGTGATCCCACATCACTTCAGAGTGAGCACATGCTTGCACCTGGTCCACGGCAGAAGCATCGTCACTAGGCTTAGCCTTCTTGTCCTGAAGTCATTCTGTTCACTTATTGAACACTCTCTGTGGCCCAGAACAATGCCCTGCCTCTGGAGACAATATTCAGGGGTCACACTTGCCATCTCCAAGGAGCTCAGGCTCTATAGGGGGATGCAGAAGAAAGCAAATGGATTCAGAACTGTTTGGAGGGTGCCGTCTTCAATGGAGCCCTAAGCACTGTGGGGGTTGATGGGGTTCAAGACCTGCTACCCCAACACCTTGGCGTTTGAGAAAACAGCAGAAGCAGGAAGGTCTCTCTCACCTTCCCCCCAGAGGTAGGTCATGAGACACTCATGTGAGATCTGTCCTTTCTGTACCCAGAGGGAAAGAACATCCTTATCTCTGAAGACACAGGGACACAGAGAAGAATGTGAACAACCAGGCCTTGTTAAGTTCTCCCCATTTTATTGCCATTAGATCAGATGCCCTTTGTCCAAACTTATTTTTATACAACTATCCTCTTCTTCATCAAACCAAGCATAAAAATATATGTGTAACCATTTCTTCAGGTCTTCGTTTCCTCATGAGGGCTCCTGTGTCATGTAAAACTTACATTAAACATATTTGCATGCTTTCCTCTTGTTAATCCGTCTTTTGATATAAGGGTCTCAGCCATGAATTGAGGATGGTTGAGGAAAGACTGCTTTTCCTCCCTGCAGGGTGGGGTGTGAGGCAGGGTCATGGGAAGGCACAGACTTCGGAAGGGCCATGTAGTGAGCAAGGGGGACTGATGGGGAAGGAATGCTGACAGCAGGTGTGAGAAGGTTTGTGAGGCTCAGGGCTGTGAGGAGGCACACATGGCAGCAGCAAAGGGCCTGGCAGAACTGGAGATCCCAATGGGGAGGGAGAGGGACAGGAGTTCAGAGGACAGAGGTCGGGGGTTGAGGGAAGGCCTGAAGTATGTCCTGCCTTACTTGAAGGACTTGGTGCTTGACTCTGAAGGCAGCAGAATTCATCCAGGTTTCCTTGCACACTGGATTTTTGTATTTTTTGGCTTTGAAAGAAATATTTTACCATGGATGAAATGTTAAAATTTCATCCATGAAATGTTAAAATAGACACAGAAGTAGAATAGTTAACACAGAAGTAGAATAGTATAACCAGCCTCTTCATACCTGTTATCCAGGTGCAATAATTATCAGTACATGGCCAATCTTGTTTCATTTCTATTTTCCATTGCTCCACTCCCCCTGATGACTTATTTTAATTAATTCAACCCCCAAGACACTATATTATTTCATTTGTCAGGAGTTCAGGATGTATCTCTAAGACAAAAAGACTATTTTTTAAAACACCATAATCTCATTATTGCACCTTAAAAATGAACAATCATTCTATAATGTCACTAATAATCAGCCAGTTTTCAAGTTTCCCCATTTGGCTCAGAGTGTTTTTGTACAGTGTTGTGTTGGATCCAGACAAGACCCACACATTGCATGTGGCTGGAAAGTCTCTGAATTCTTGTTATATCATAACAATTCCTCCACTCCTCACTACCACCTGCCCCACCTCACAGACCATGCACATTTCTTTGGTTTGGTCATGGAGAGGATTTGAGCAGGTGTGTCATGGGCCGGGGGTGCTGGCTAGAACAATCCCCTGGGGAGGGTATACAGAACAGGGCCAGGTGACCCAGAAACATGGTTGGAAAAGGAAAAGTGTGCAAGGACAAGGCAGTAAAGATGGAAAGGAGGGCACCCACGTCTAAGAAATAGTTAAAGTGAAACTGGAACAATCAGCGACTGATTGGAGGGACAGGGTGAGCAAGAGGAGGAGTCAGCTGGTGGTACCCAGCTTTCTGATTTAAGCAGTAGGAGTACAGGGTGTTATTAGCTAGAAGGAGGGAGTTGGGGTAGGGGGAGGAGCAAAGCATTATTGGGATACAGATTTGGTTGTTTAAACAAAGACCAAAACAAAACATACACACACACGCACACACACACACACAACACACACATGCACAAAGTGACTTAGACAACATTATTTTCTGCCTAAATGTTAAAGCTTAAGCAGCTTACAACCAAGGTGGTGGCTCCATGGTTTTGGGATGCCAGCGCCTTGTACTACTGTATTAGTCCGTTTTGATGCTGCTGATAAAGACATACCTGAGACTGGGAAGAAAAAGAGGTTTAATTGGATTTACAGTTCCACATGGCTGGGGAGGCCTCAGAATCATGGCAGGAGGCGAAAGACACTTCTTACATGGCAGCGGCAAGAGAGAATGAGGAAGAAGCAAAAGTGGAAACCCTTGAAAAACGCATCAGATTTCGCAAGACTTATTCACTATCATGAGAATAGCATGGGAAAGACCAGCCCCCATGACTTAATTATCTCCTGGATCCCTCCCACAACATGTGGGAATTCTGGGAGATACAATTCAAATTGAGATTTGGGTAGGGACACAGTCAAATCATATTAATCCACCCCTGGCCCCTCCAAATCTCATGTCCTCACATTTCAAAATCAATCATGCCTTCCTAACAGTCCCCCAAAGTCTTAATTCATTTCAGCATTATCCCAAAAGTCCACAGTCCAAAGTCTCATCTGAGACAAGGCAAGTCCCTTCTGCCTATGAGCCTGTAAAATCAAAAGCAAGCTAGTTACTTCCTAGATACAATGGGGGTACAGGTATTGGGTAAATACAGCTGTTCCAAATGGGAGAAATTGGCCAAAACAAAGGGGTTACAGGACCCATGCAAGTCCGAAATCCAACAGGGCAGTCAAATTTTTTTTTTTTTTTTGAGATGGAGTCTCACTCTGTTGCCCAGGCTGGAGTGCTGGCATGCAGTGGCACGATCTTGGCTCACTGCAAACTCCACCTCCCAGGTTCATGCCATTCTCCTGCCTCAGCCTCCCAAGTAGCTGGGACTACAGGCACCTGCCACTACGCCCGGCTAATTTTTTGTATTTTTTAGTAGAGACGGGGTTTCACTGTGTTGGCCAGGATGGTCTCGATCTCCTGACCTCAGGATCTGCCTGCTTCAGCCTCCCAGAGTGCTGGAATTACAGGCATGAGCCACTGCACCGGGCCAGCAGTCAAATTTTAAAGCTCCAAAATGATCTCATTTGACTCCAGGTCTCACATCCAGATCACACTAATGTAAGAGTTGGGTTCCCATGGTCTTGGGCAGCTCTGCCCCTGTGGCTTTGCAAGGTGGAGCCCCTCTCCCAGCTGCTTTCATGGGCTTTTGTTGAGTGTCTGCAGCTTCTCCAGGCGCGTGGTAAAAGGTGTCAGTGGATCTACCATTCTGGGGTCTGGAGAATGGTGGCCCTCTTCTCACAGCTCCACTAGGCAGTGCTCCAGTAGGGACTCTGTGTGGGGGCTCCAACCCCACATTTCCCTTGTGTGCTACCCTAGCAGAGGTTCTCCATGAAGGCCCTGCTCCTGCAGCAAACTTTTACCTGAGCATCCAGACGTTTCCATACATTTTCTGAAATCTAGGTGGAAGTTCCCAAACCTCAATTCTTGACTTCTGTGCACCTGCAGGCTCAGCACCATGTGGAAGCTGCCAAGGCTTAGGGATTCTACCCTCTGAAGCCACAGCCCAAGCTGTACATTGGCCCCCTTCAGCCATGGCCCAAGTGGCTGGGACACAGGGCATCAAGTCCCTAGGCTGTACACAGCACAGGGAACTTGGGCCCAGCCTATGAAACCACTTTTTCCTCCTGGGCCTCTGGACCTGTGATGGGAGGGTCTGCTGTGAAGGTCTCGGACGTGGCCTGGAGACATTTTCCCCAGGGTCTTGGGGATTAACATTAGGACTTGCTACTTATGCAAATTTCTGCAGCCAGCTTGAATTTCTCCCCAGAAAATGGGTTTTTCTTTTCTATCACATAGTCAGGCTGCAAATTTTCCAAACTTTTTTGCCCTGCTTCCCTTATAAAACTGAATGCCTTTAGCAGTACCCAAGTCACCTCTTGAATGCTTTGCTGCTTAGAAATTTCTTCCACCAGATATCCTAAATCATCTCTCTCAAGTTCAAAGTTCCATAAATCTCTAGGGCAGGGGCAAAATGCTGCCAGTATCTTTGCTAAAACATAACAAGAGTCACCTTTGCTCCAGTTCCCAACAAGTTCCTCATCTCCATCTCAGACCACCTCAACCTGGATTTCATTGTCAATATCATTATCAGTATTTTTGCCAAAGCCATTCAACAAGTCTCTAGGAAGTTCCAAACTTTCCTATATTTTTCTGTCTTCTTCTGAGCCCTCCAAACTGTTCCAACCTTTGCCTGTTACCCAGGTCCAAAGTCATTTCCACATTTTTGGGTATCTTTTCAGCAATACCCCACTCTATTGGTACCAATTTAATGTATTAGTCCGTTTTCACACTGCTGATACAGACATACCTGAGACTGGGAAGAAAAAGAGGTTTAATTGGACCTACAGTTCCACATGGCTGGGGAGGCCTCAGAATCATAGCAGGAGGTGAAAGGCACTTTGTACATGGTGGTGGCAAGAGAAAAAGAGGAAGAAGCAAAAGCAGAAACCCCTGATAAACTCATCAGATTTCATGAGACGTATTCACTATCACAAGAATATCATGGAAAAGACTGGCCCCCATGATTCAATTATCTCCCCCTGGGTCCTTCCCACAACATATGGGAGTACTAGGTGATACAACTCAAGTGGAAATTTGCGTGGGGACACAGCCAAACCATATCAACTACCTTGTTCCACTATCTACTGGTCCAGCACAGCTCACCACCAGGTACACGTGGCCCAAGTGAAACAGAAGAATAATACGCCTCTCCCCTTGAAAGTTATCACCCACGAGTAGCTCACATCCTTTTGCCTAGAACTTGGTCACACGGCCATGCATAGCTGCAGGGGAAATGGGAAATGGCTTATGCTCAGCTAAGACTGTGGTTCCACAGTAAAGGAAGAAAGGGTGAATAGATGGGGTGGGGAAGTCTTTGCAACAGAAGGTGTGGTACAGTTTGGGACACATTGAGTTTCAGGTGACCACGGTAATTTCCAGTGGAGATATGTGCAACCCAAAAGAGAATTCTTAGGGGGAATGTTGGACTTAGGAATTATGATTGTCATTAGGAAGTCACCAGGGTTTGATCAACGGAGGAACCCAACTGACCTGGAATCTAGGAAGGTGAACGTTGCATGTATGTCTTTTGCAAGATCAGTTGGGAAAAGGCAAGGCTGAAACTGGATCATTTAAGAGCTGCTATCGTGATCTTGAAGACTTTGCAGGGAAATGGCCACAGGACTTAGCAACTGGTTAGATAGGATGGAAGAGGCAGAGGGGGGAGTCCAAGGTGACTCGAGGTGCTCAGCCTGAGCACCTTGGCAGGTGAGATGCAGTTTACAGAAAAAGACAGCCAGAAGGAGGAACAGCTCTCTCACACCATGGTGGATGGGGGCTGGGAGGGAAGGAGGAAGATTAGCCAATTTTTAGATATTTTAACATGAGGTGCCAAGAGCCAGCCAGGTGGCAATGAGATAAAGGCTAGTGCAGAGCTTAGACTCAGTGTCAGAGTTCAAATGCAGGTTCTGCCACTTCTTAGCCATGTGACCTCAGGCAAGTATTTAACACCTCTGCACTTCAGAGTCCTCCTGGGTAAAACAGGAATAATAAGGATTGTGTACATGCGTGTAAAACAGGCATGGAGTAGGTGCTAGATATGTTTGATTTTATGATTACAAGGGATAATAGTAAGTTGTGTCACTGGCAGTTGGAAAAACAAGCCAGTAACTCCAGGCAGGGGTTAGAGGTAAAGATCTGGGAATTTCAGCACGGAGGTGGGAGCGTGTAAGATCCCCAGAGTGGGAGCTGGCAAGTGGCAGCACATGCCTGGGGAACACGCAAGTGTTAGGGGGGCCTCCCCAACACTCCCCCACCAGGCATGGTCTCTGTACCATAGATCTCTCACTTTCACAGCTCCTACCAGCCTCTCCCTCTCCATCATTCAGCTGATTGATGGAAAAGCCCATCTCCCTTAGACGCCATGGGATCAGGCCCCATGCTGAATCCAGCCCAGCCTGCCAAGCCCCACACAGAGTAGGTGCTCAGTAATTTTTTGTTGTTTGAAGGAACCAGGTGCCAGGGGAAGGGGGAGGATTTTCCTGAGGGTTGGGGGAGTCTACAAATATTTGTGTGCCAAACAGAACTTCATGGAGAAGAAAACATTAGGATGATGTTGAGGGGAGAAGGGAGGGTTAATATTGCCAGCACTGCCCACAACTTAACAGCAGCTGTGCTCCACCCTAAGGCTTATTAAGTGTTAAAATGGTTTTGCTGAGGAGGAAATGCGGTCAGCCAAGTGCATCTGATCACATAAGCAAGTGAAAAATATGCAGCCAATGTAGGGAATGGCTGATTAGAAGCCAAAAACACACACACCTGTGGCTTTCCTCGAGGTCTGCTGGTCATCTTCCTGGTGCTTATCCACGAAGCCTCAGGGGGACACCCAATAACTCCGAGCACTTATTTATTTGCAAAGGACTGCCAAGTATTTTACAAACATAATAAATGACTCTGAGGGCAGAGGAATGATCCTGCTTCTCTTCCAAGAAGGAGGAAGGCACAGTTGGGCACTCAGTGTCCTCCTCCAAATAATCCATCCTTGTCAAAGCAAGGGTGGATGCCCCAGCTTCCGGCTCTCCAGCTGTGACTCCACCACTGAGCGAGAGCAGGAAGGGCTCCTAGGCACTGTGGAGGGCTGCAAGTTGGTGCCCCTGAGTTCACAGATTCACATGTTGAAACCTAAGCCCCAGTGTGACGGTGTTACAAGGCAGGGCCAGTGGGAGGGGAACAGGTCACAAGGATGGGGCCCTCAAAAATGGAATTAATGCCTTCATAAAAGAGGCCCCTGGAGAGCTCTTTCTGCCATGTGAGGATACAGTGAGAAGGTGGCTGCCTGCAGCCCCAAAGAGAACCCTGACCAGAATTTGACTATTGCTGACTTCCTGATCTTGGACTTCCAACCTCCAGAGCTGTGAGAAACAGATTTCTGCTGTTTATAAGCTGCCCAGTTTATGGTACTTTGCTATCACACCTCAAATGGACCAAGACAGAGGCCATCCACTCCAACCGCATGCTCTCATCTTAATGATGAGGAAACTGAGGCTGTCAGGGCGATGGGTTGGGCAGAGAGTAAGTTCCACTGAGTACCCACTCTGTGCCTGGCCAGTGCTAGCTGCTCCTTCATATGTCCTGCAGAGAAGCCTCATAAATATTTTCTGTAGCTTGTTGGAAGCATTAATATGCATAGCTCAGTCAGTGAAGGCAAACCTCCATGGCCAGTTATTGGCAGAGCTTTGGCCCAAACCCCAAGTCCGCGCCTGCTGCATCCATCGGGAGGGGCAAGGTGATGCTGCGGAAACAGCCCATAGAGTGACAAGGGGCTGTCTATAGCTCATGCTCTATGTGCACCATGGATTGGCAGGGGCTCTTTTCTCTGCTGTCACCTTCACATAGGAATACGCGAGGGACCCAGACCAGGGGAGGTGCCACCTCTTAAGTGCCAGGAGAGGAGAAGGAAGAGAGTGACTTACGCTGTGCTGGCTTGTAAACATACGCCCAGAAGCACACACTTCACAGTTCACTGGGCACACAAACCATTTGCCACACCCATCCTCAAGGGGAGGGAGAGGGCAAGTTTGCTGCGTGACTGGGAAACACGCAGGAAATACCTGGTGGGCAGTGCGATGGGATCACCACCACGCTTTTTCTTCTGCCCCTCCTGGCCCCCAGAGAAGCACTGAGATGATCCTTGGATGGCAGAGCCCCCACCCCTCCCTGTACATCACTCTGCTTTCCCCATTATCTCCCTCTGCCTGGCTAAAAAATCCCAAAATCTTTATTGTTTCTCCTATGGGAACTGCATATATATGTCGGCAGACATTTACAGACCGTAGACCTGAAAGATGATATAAAAGGATAACTGAAATTACAGGCTACAAAGTCTAATAAAATAGCACTCGGGTTTCCCCAGATTCTTGACATCAGTGTTTATTTTCTGCATAACACTGGAAAGGAATTCTTTTCTAGACTCTCTTTCTCTCTTTCTTTTCTTTTCTTTCTTTCTTTCTTTCTTTCTCTTTATTTCTTTATTTCTTTCCTTTCTTTCCTTCCTTCCCTCTCTCCCTCCCTCCCTTCCTTCTTTCCTTCGCTACTCTCTCTCCCTCCTTCCTTCCTCCTTCTCTCCTTCCTTCCCTCTTTCCTCCCTTCCCTGCTTCCTTTCTTTTGCCTCCAAACTGTATGCAGAACTTTTATATTACTTTAATTTGAAATTAATGTAAGGAAGTAAAGAGAGTTCCTAAATAGTATTTTATAAATTGTACGTGGGTGTATATCATTACGGAAGCATTTTAAACATAGGCAAATGTAGAGTGCATAGTACATGGTTGTTTCAAAATGTGTTCGTGAGTCCTTTGACACATCTCTCATCAAGCAGTGGAGTCTATGTCCCTCTCCCCTTATAGCCGAATGGACCTTGTGACTACCTTGGCCAAAGAATGTGACAGAAATCCTGCTGGAGACTCTGACACAGGTGAGAGAGGGCAGCACAGGGACATACACCTTGGGAGCCTAGGGCCACCATGTGAGGAGTCTGAAAGAGCTGTCACACTGGAGAATCACACACACAGGAGCCCAGGGAGCCTTTGATGTGGGAGTCTCCCCAGCCCAGGTGCCAGACATGTGCCTGAGTGAGCCCTGAGCTGATTCCAGCGCAGCCGACTGTAACTACACGAGAGATGGTCTTAGTCCCTTCAGGCTGCTAAAACAAATCACCGCAGACTGGGCAGCTTGTAAACAACAGAAACTTATGTCTCACAGATCTGAAGGCTGGGCAGTAGGAGGTCAGAATGCCAGCATGGCCGGGGTCTGGTGAGGGCCTCTGCCCGGCTGCAGGCTGCTGACTCCTCCTTGGGTCCTCAGGTATCAGCCAGCGGCAGGCAGCAAGCTCTCTCCGGACTCTCATCCTTATCGCCCGCCAAAGGCCCACCCCTAATCCCATCGCACTGGGGAGTGGTGTTTTAACATAAGAATTTGGGTGGGGGGACACAAACATTTAGTCCATAACAAAAACATCAAAGCAAGAACCACCTAGCAGTGTTTGTTAAATCCCTAGGAGCTTGAGAGAGAATAATAAGATGACAGCAGTAGATTTAAGCCTCAACATCTTAAATGTGATACGTTGCACAACCACAGGTAACCAAAACACATCTGATGAACCCCACGTACCCATGGGCCCACCCGGCAGCTTCAACAGTTATCAGCTAAAGGCCAATCTTGTTACATCTAAACTCACACAGTGGCTCTACTTTATATTATTTTGGAGCAAATCTCATATGTTTCATTATATCGTTTCACCTATACATATTCTAGCATTTATCTAAAAAGGTGATTATAAGTATGTATCACATATATATGTCTATACATATAGACACATATATGTAAAAACACAGCCCCATATGTTGTTGGTTGAATTGGGGGCCCCAAAAAGATATGTCAAAGTCCTAACGTCCAGTACCTGTGAATGTGAACTTATTGGGAAATAAGATCTTTACTGATGTAATGAAGTTAAGATGGGGTTACGTGGGATTAGGGTGGACATAATCAATGACTGATGGGCAGAGAGACCCACAGACAGAAAGAGAGGAGGCCACATGAGGATGGAAGCAGAGGTTGTGCTGATGCATCTACAAGTCAAGGAACCCCAAGAATTGCAGCAACTGGGACTGTCCCCCACACATCAAGGGGTGGCTTCTCAAGCTAGGATGTCTTCTGCTAGGACTTAGAGAAGTTGGGACCCATTTCATGCTTTTCCAGCACGGGATTGGTCCAATTGCAGAGGCTGAGAGAGGGGCCTAGAACAGATTTTCTCTCATTGCCTCTAGAAGGAACCAACCCTGCTCACACCTTGATTTCAAACTTTTAGCCTCCAGAACTGTCAGAGACTCCATTCCCGTTGTTTTAAGACATCCAGTTTGTGGGACGTGTTACAGAGGCCCTGGGAAATGAACACAGCATCCGCGAGCACTCTTTTTTTTTTTTTTTTTTTTTTTGAGAGAGTCTCACTGCAACACCCAGGCTGGAGTGCAATGGCACCATCTCAGCTAACTGCAACCACCACCTCCCGGGTTCTAGCGATTCTCCTGCCTCAGCCTACTGAGTAGCTGGGATTACAGGCACGCACCATCATGCCTGGATAATTTTTGTATTTTTAGTAGAGACGGGGTTTCACCATGTTGGCCAGGCTGGTCTCGAACTCCTGACCTCAGGTGATCCACCCACCTCAACCTCCCAAAGTGCTGGGATGACAGGTGTGAGCCACCGAGCCTGGCCAGGGAGCACTCTGTTTTAAGTTGGAGATTTGGTGTATGCTTTTCCTCTCATGCATTGCTTCTCATCCTTCTCGAGAGTTTTAGAGATTCTAGTCACACATGGAATTATTATTTTGTACATAATAAAAATAAAAGACTGTCAACAGTACTGGGCTTATCATTGTGGTTTCCCTCTCGGTGGAAGGTGTTACAGTCCAATAGAAGTAATCATTGCCTGGACCCAGACAAGAGAAGTCAGTGACCCAGGGATGTTGTGGAAACCCCCGTTTTAGCCAGTGCATGTGGATTTGGGGGAGTTGATTCTTCTGTCAGAGGTTTGTTTACTCGGTTGTTGTTTTTTAGTTGTTGTCTTTTTAATAAGATTAACCCTTTATACGCTAAGGTACTATTGTGGAAGTAAATGAGATGACTCATGAGAACAACTGGGCTGATGGCCAGCAGTTTGGAGCATTGCTTCCGCTTTGAGTGACCAAAGTGGGAAGAGAACCCAGGTTGCTGAGTCTCTTGAGCTCCTCCAAGTGGTGAAACAGCTGCAAGTCTGTGCTGGAAAAGCATGAAATGGGTCCCATCTTCTCTAAGTCCAAGCAGAAAACGTCCTAGCTTGAGAAGCCACCCCTTGATGTATGGGGGACAGAATAGCAGGGCCCGACGAAGTGTGCTTTAGGAGTGTGGGGGAGGGATTCTAAACAAGCGTTCTGAAATTCTGCCATAGGAAAAATTAGTCCTTTTCTCCTGAGCTTTGAATTTGCATCTTCCGAAATATATGCAGTAACCCAAGTGGTTCCCACCACCCTGGAGACAGTTAACTCATTACAGTCCCTCCAGGACTGGAGGGGCCGGATGGCAGGCAGGCATGAGGCAGCCAGAGGAGGGGCCCCTAGAGGCTGCCTTGTCCCTACGGGCTCTGGTGGGGTTGGCTAAAGCACAAGACCAATGCGGCCGGCTGCAGGATTGGGTGTAGGTCCTCCCAGCTCTCCAAATCTTGGAAGTGTAGTTCTTATTCCTGGTTCTTCTGCTGGGCAAGGCATTCTGCCTCCCTGAACTCAGCTTCCTTCCATGTTGAAGGAGGGTGTTGGGCTGGACAGCGCAGAGGCCCCTTCAGGATCCTTTCATCCGTGGCATCACTAACTAGAGCAGCACTCACCGAGGCCAGAGAAAGGGCTGTCTGCTTTTACAGCTGGGTGTTGGCCTGCCTGTTAAGTTGGGCTTCAAGGAAGAGAAAACTGAGTGAATGGTGGCTTTAGCAATAAAGATGCCTGGTCAACAAAGGGAAGCAAAGGCTCTCGATTCAGGGCTGCCGGCTCCGCAGTGCAGCTGCCGCTGGTTTTCAGCCTTGTGTGGCTTCCTAGGTGCCAAATGGCTGGGCCCCCTCCTACACTATTGTGCTTCATACAGGAGCAAAAATCCTTCCGAAGAGCACCCCGGCTGGCTCCCCTTACATCACAATGGCCAGAACTGGGGCCTGCCCACCTGCCTGGATGTCCGGGTGTGTCCGGACCAAAGCTGAGCTCTGTTGGCAGCAGGAAGAGAGACTCCTGTTGAGCAGGCAGCCTGTTGGCCAAGCCAGCCATATCCACGGCTTCTCTGAGGTTCTCAGGTCAGAATCACGACATTAATAGTGTTATTGCCATGGAAAAGAAAATGAGCTTCAGGATAATCTGCTTTACAATGCCACTTCTGGAAAATTCCACTGGCAAAATGTAGGGCTTGCCTCTATTTTACTCCCTCTCCTAGCAAGGGGCACCTTGTTAGGAATCCTGTTTTGACAGAGCCCAGGGTAGGTTTTGTCATGACTCAGAGGGAAGATGGGGCCACCAACTCCCCTCCCTTTATGAGGAGCCTCTGCCTACTTCAAAGCTGGTGTCCTGAGCTCTGCCACAGGTGAGTGAGACAGAGAAATCCACAGAGGTGTCTCCATAGAAACCCCAGGGATTCTGCACTGTGGTCACCCCCACAGAAAAGCATCCACCCTGGCTCCTCGGCCAGGAGCTGGCCTCTGACAGAAGCTGCTTCCTGTTTTCACTGCGTTTCCTCGAAGACTTCAGCTGCTCATCCTGATTTCCTGGTGAAAACAATTTCCCCATCACTAGCCCAGTGTTGACTCCAGAACCCAGGCATGTGGGATGAGACGTCCAGGGGAGGAAGAGGAGGGGTGGAACGCTGCATGACAGTCTACTGGAGAGGAAAGATACGAATGAATGGCAGAGGTGGAGATGGTGTTTTTAAAAAGATAGAATTAAGGCAGAGGGCTCTGCCACAGCCTGCCTGCCGTGTGGACCAAGCATGGGATTTGGAGACCAATAACCCTGGCTCTGACATGTATTAGCTGTGTGATTTTGGGAGCCTCAGTTTCCTTATCTGTGAAATGGAGGTAGCAATGCCTTCTACACAGGGCTACTGTGAGCAATGCGGATACTGTCATTGAAACATTGGGCATGCGATTATTAAAATAACGGAAACATTTTCTGTCTTGAGATACAGTTTAATGTCACTGAAAGAGCATACGCCTTAGGGCCAGTGAGACCTCAGCTACATCCTGTCCTGCTGCTTCCCCTCTCTGGGACCATTGGCAGGTCGCCAGCAAACCTCTCTGAGAGTCTGTAGAATGGGCTAATGCCATCTGCCTTGTAAAGATTAGAGAAGCTATTCTGTTTTAAATATTTATTTTTGTGGGTATATAGTAGGTGTATATATTTATGAGCTGCATGAGATGTTTTGATACAGGTATGCAATGTGTAATAATCACATCAGAGTGAATGGGGTATCCATCCACTTATGTACTTAACCTTTGTCTTACAAACAATCAAATTTATACTCTTTTAATTATTTTAGAATGTACAACTAAATTATCATTGACTATAGTTACCCTGTCATGCTATCAAATACTAGGTCTTATTCATTTTTCTAACTATATTTTTGTATCCATTAACCATTCACACCTCCTCGCTACCTCCCACTACCCTTCCCAGCCTCTGATAACCGTCCTTCTACTCTCTATCTCTATGAGTTCGATTGTTTTAATTTTTAGCTCTTACATAATAAGTGAGAACATGCGACGTTAGCCTTTCTGTGCCTGGCTTATTTCACTTAACATAATGGCCTCCATTCCATCCATGTGGTGCAAATGACTCGATCTCTTCTTTTTTCTGGCTGAGTAGCACTCCATTGTGTATATGTACTACCTTTATCCATTCATCTGTTGATGGACGTTTAGGTTGCTTCCAAATCTTGGCTATTGTGAACAGTGCTGCAATAAAACATGGGAGTGCAGATCTCTCTTTGATGCACTGATTTCCTTTCTTGTGGGTATATATCCAGCAGTGGGATTGTTGGATCATATGGTAGCTCTATTTTTAGTTTTTTGAGGAACCTCCAAATTGTTCTCTATAGTGGTTGTACTAATTTACATTCCCACCAACAGTGTATGAGAGTTCCCTTTTCTCCACATCTTCACCAGCATTTGTTATTACCTAAAGGCCATTTTAACTGGGGTGAGATGATATCTCATTGTAGTTTTGTTTGCGTTTCTCTAATAATCGGTGATGTTGAGCACTTTTTATATGCCTGTTTGCCATTTTATGTCTTCTTTTGAGAAATATCTATTCAGGTCTTTTGCTCCCCCCTTTTTTTTGAGAAAGGGTCTCCCTCTGTTCCCCAGGGCGGAGTGCAGTGTTATGACCATGGCTTACTGTAGCTTTGACCTCCTAGGCTCAACTGATCCCCCATCTCAGCCTCCTGAATAGCTGGGACCACAGGCACATGCCACCACACCTGGCTAATTTTTTGCATTTTTTTTGTAGAGACGAACTCTTGGCATGTTGCTGGTGTTGAACTCCTGGGCTCAAGTGATCCGCCCACCTCAGCCTCTCAAAGGGCTGGTGAGATTGCCTACAGATAGGGTATGCGTGGGAGCTGTAGACAGCAGTGCCATTGATACTGAGATGGGAAGTCTAGGAACACCTGGGTTCCTTGTTACTATTGTTTTGCTCTTGGCAAGGAGGGATTTGGAACCATGAGGCCTGCTTTGAACAAGTTTGAAATGTGCTTAGATACCCAAGTGAGGCTGTCAAGCAGGAAGGTGGGTAGAGGAGTCAGGGGTTTCAGGGAATGATGTGGGCTGAAGGTACCATCCGCACTAAGATGGGATTTACAGCCAAAGTCTGAATGAGCCCTGGGTTGAGCCCAAGGGAGTGAAGAACCTGGAGGGAGGCTCTGCTGATGGAGTTAGATGCCATTTCAGCTGCAATCATGACCCTTGTCTGCCTAGACCTGGAGATAGAAAAATTTTCATTTCCTCTCTGCCAAGCCTCTTTTTCCACTCCTTACCCCACACGGCCACACCCACATCTCAGATCCTGAAAACAAAGATGGTTCTCAGTCTCAAGATAGTCTAGTGCCTCCCAGATCTGGGACTAGAGAGAGGTCAGCGTGCTACTTGCTTCGGGTGCAAAACGAGGGGGTACCAAAACACTCAATAATCAAGATAAGTAATATTTTAATGCAAAATATTTTTAAAAACCAAAATTAGTGCCAAAAAATTCATGATGAACAAAATATCAAAATGTTTTTTTAAAAGACAGCATCATTGACAGTACCTCACCCTATTGAAGCCAGAGGCGAAAGGAAAGATCTGAATTCTGCCCCTATCTTTAGGTAGAAAGTGAAACTCCCCACTTCCCTCAGCCTGGGCCCGGCCTCCACAGCCTCCTCCAGACTCGCCTGCACATTGAAATCAATCATTCTTCTTTTAAGAAAATGCAGGTGGCTGGGCTCCATCCACCACAAGTCACTGCAAAGAGAATGTCAGGGGTGGGACCTGAGCATCCCCAGGTGATTCTATGGCACAGTCCAGACTGAGAATCCCCGAGTTAAAACGCTGCCATACTTAGGTTAATAACAGTCACTGCCGGAGTCCGGAGGACTACTAGAAAGCCAGCCACCCCTCCTCTGGGGCAGAGAGAGGCAGAAGCGAGTAATTATACTTTTATTTTTCCTGCATAGAAACTGGAGAAAAGCCAAAAGTCGGGAATCTCTCTGCCAAGCCCAGATTTATAGGTTCCTGGATAGCCCTTGCAGCCACAGACTGGTGGCTCACTCCTGGCTCACCTGCTCGCTCTCCAGCTGACGGTCCTGAATCCTGCCTTGCCTGTCATGGCAGGTCATTAGGCATCACCAGGATACAGTGTCACCTTCCGCCACAGAAACAGCATATTCCTTTGTAAGGGGATTGTGAGAAGCAAACTCAAAGCAAATGCCGTTCACGGTACCTGGAATGTGCTAAGGCCTCAGCAAAGGGCAACCATTGTTACCACTGTTAATACTTAACTAACTTCAACTTCATAATAACGGCACTGAAGGTGAATATATGTATTCCTTTAGCCGAGTGGACAGATTCTGCAGGTGCGTCGGGTAGATTCACTGTGTTTTCCTCTGGGAACCTATGTTCATGTAGTCTGGGAATAAATATTTATTATTTACCCACTGAGAACTAGGCACTAGGGCCAGGATGGGGGAAAATAAAAGACCAAGCCTCTCCCCTTGTAGTGCTTATGGAGAGACAGAATAAGTCAAAGAACAGGCAAATGTACCATTCAGTGTGAAGTAGAGGAATGTGCTTTGAAGAATAAAGTGAGATAGAAGGACAGAGAGAGCCTGGGGGTGCTATGTAAGCCAGGAACTGGGGGGCACTAGGGCACAGCCATGAATGAGGTAGAGGAGTGAGCCATGACCTCATCTGGAGGAAGCATAGTGCAAAGGCCCTGGGTGGAAATGCTCCTGGCTCTTCCAGGAACCATAGGGGGCCCACACGGCTGCAGTGAAATGGGAGAGGTTGGAGCCTGGCGGGAGAGTAAGGGATTGGGTTCTGGGTTCATATTCTGAATGCGATGGGAAGCCATGGGAAGGTTTGAATGGGGAGAGTGTAGTATGGCTTGATCACTTTTTATACATGTTATCGAGAGATAAAAGAGGCTAATAAATCCTAATGCATTAGCCACGTGGGGCAGTGGGGGAACGGTTGCTGTAGAGGCCTCCAGTGAGGGGATATGGGGCTTTGCCTGCCACGGGAACCTTCTACCTGCCCTAGAGAGCAAACCCTCCCTGAGAACACTTCCTGAACCCTGCCTAAGGCCCAGGGGTGGGCACACCCCTGCAAGACGGGGTTTCAGGAGCAGCTCTTGGTGCCCTGGGCCTTCACAGTGACCCCAGCTCTCACGGCCTTGCTACTGAGGGCCGCCACTGCTCTCTCTCTCCCAACAATTATTCCGTTCTCTCTGTAGAAAGAAAGACAAGAAGGCCAGAGGAGTTAGAAGCAGAATTTCTGCACCCGTGAATGGCTTCTTGAAATAACCTCAGGGTTCAAAGTGTTCACTTCCTTGGGTGCCTGAGCTCTGGTGGACAGGATGTCCCTCCTTCCAGCTGGGGGCTTGATAGCATCTGAGCACTCTCATATGGCCAGGACCTCCTGGCCTCAGTCAGTGCTGGGCTTTTTTCCAGCCTGAAATAAATGCTCAGCTTGCTGCTATTTACCAGTCTGTGTACTTCACAGCAGGCACCTAGGTTAAACCAGGTGAGGCTGCAGCCAGGCTTTGGGGAAGTGGGTGCAGCATCTTGGGAGGCCCTCCTTTGTGCAGGTCAGGAAGGAGGGCTGGAGCCCACAGCAGACGACGTGGGAGAACATCCAACAGGTACATGTGCAGCTCCCACTGTGTGCCAAAGACAATCAGACAATCCCAGGTGCTCAAGGGACACAGCTAACGAAACAGGAAAAGGACCCAGCCTTTGGGGGCTGACAGGCCAGGGGGAGATAGCTCCTCTAGCTGAGCTGCCCCTTCCTTCCCAAGTAAAGTTTCTGCTGTCACTTCTCAGGGATCAAAACTGCTCTACCAATGGCTCTGGCTACAGTCTTCCCCACGTCTCATCTTAGCCTTTACAAAGTCAGTTAGAAAACATCAGTCATGCTAAAATCACTCTTCAGGGCTGGGCGTGGTGGCTCATGCCTGTAATCCCAGCACTTTGGGAGGCTGAGGCGGGTGGATCACGAGGTCAAGAGATGGAGACCATCCTGGCAAACAGGGTGAAACCCAGTCTCTACTAAAAATACAAAACTTAGCTGGGCGTGGTGGCATGCACCTGTAATCCCAACTACTCCAGAGGCTGAGGCAGGAGAATCACTTGAACCCGGGAGGCAGAGGTTGCAGTGAGCTGAGATCACACCACTGCACTCCAGCCTGGGCAACAGAGCGAGACTCCATCTCAAAAAAAAAAAAAAAAACAGAAAAGAAAAGAAAAAGAAAAAAAGAAAAAAAAATCACTCTTCAGTCTGTGGAGATTCATTCCACAGACATGCATGTGCACCTGCTCTGTGCTGGACAGTGTTATGTGCAGAATGTTTATTGCTTGCTGTTCATTTGATTTTTTTTTTAAATCATTGGATCTATATTGAATTTATATTTTTGTTGAATTTTCTGGCAGTATAGGAGCCACACAAATAAAGAGCTTACAGTGTTAAGAAAAAAATATTCAATGACACTCGATAAAGCACAATAGAGCTTACTTTATTCAGGACCATCTTGATAGGTGTAGGGACAATTACAATGGCGTTTTGCAGTGGGGGAGAGATTGGGCTCAACTCCGAATCCAGCAGGGGCAAATGGGAGCAGGGTCAGGGTTAATGGATGGAAATTACTGAGAGGAAACATCAAGCGTATGGGGGATTCTGGCAAAACAAACCTAACAGGCCTGAAAACAGGCCAGGGTGACCGGATATCCCCTGGGGATGGTGGAGGCTGAGGATCCTGATCAAGTATAGAGGATGATTAGATGTTAAGGATAGGAGGTTCTTGCCAAACTGACTTAGCAGGATTCTTTGCTAGGACTGGATTTTACAAGGAAGTGTACAGATGGGCTTAGCAGAAGATTGAAAAGCCTGACTAAAGTTTGGTCAAGCAGAGACTCTTTGTCAACACCGACATGCACATTTGTGCGTATTTAAATCAGAATACAATTAGTGTAACTGAAATCAAGGCAGATCTGTACCTAACTGGAGTCTACCACTGAATTTGAAGAAAGGGCTTGTGAAGAAACTGCAGGCTGAAATGAAGCCGGGGGCAGCAGTTTCCCACCGGGAACACCTTTTATTGCCCTTCAGTCGGACTTTGGGGTGAACTCCTGACTCGGCAAAAGCACATACAACACTGAATCTCCTGTGATACAAAAAACTAGAAGACATCTCTGGTTTGGAGTTTTTTTGCACTGATAAATGTCATCCCCTGAGGGTTCTAAGTGTAGCAGCGTGGAGACCAAATTCCTTACACTTGAGTCACATTCCCTCCTCAGAAGACCTCCTAACCTTGGACTTGTCCATAGTAAGGATTTAATGAATGCATGTAAATGACATTTCACACATTTTGATTTATTTGTTTTTACCAACCGTAAGAGAACTTAGCCTCCTGGGTCTTCCTGGAGAAGCAGCTATTTTCTCTTCAGATACGATATAATCTTCCCTTTTCTGTCCCAATGTATTTCTCCCTTTCCCTCCAGCCTTTTCTATTTGGACCCGTGTCATCTTCTTATTGAGGAAATCAGTCAGAGGTTGCTTTTTATAAGCTTTCTCATTCTGGTTGATTTAGCTATTATTAGACCATTTTGATTTCTTCCTAAAGTATTCATATTTAATTACATGTTTTTCTTCTGCCTTTGGTTCAAGTGTGCTCATTATGTAGTATTTAGTCTGTCTCAAGTTTATTATTAGACTTTTCATTGTTCCTCTATTTGCTAAATTGCAGAGAATTTGTATTTTTAGGATTCTCTCCATTCATGGTGTCATTCCTTGAGGAAAGCCAAAGAAATATTAAAAAGTTGGCTTTGCTCAGTGTTTCCAGCTCCAGGTGTAGAAGAATCCTACATACAGAATTGAAGCTGGTTGATTTTGTCGTCAGCCAGCTTGTGAGCGTTACTTTAACAAAGTCAGCTTGGTACTAGAGCCTTTTCTTACAATGAATGGTTGAAAACCAGGGGAATTGAGATACTGAAATGTTTCATCATCCACTTTTGGTACTTTCAGTGTAGCTCCTGCTATAGAATCTTGCTTTGAAGATGAATATAAAGCTAACCACATGGATGAACGGTGGCCTGGCTCAGAACCTGTGACTCCACCATACCACTGTGGGTTTCTGATATAAGCAGGCAATCAGCCCACAGCTGCTGCTGCAGTGCCCTTTCTTTCAACATCAAGGGAGCCCCATCTACTCGCCTCTGCTTCTTCTTGGCCATTTCACAGCTTATTAGAAGCTATTTCATAGAATGGTGAGGGGCATGACTATTACTACTATTCTCACTTGACTCAGTTGTTCATTCATTCAGTCAGCAGATATCTGCTGAAGGGCTACTATTTTAGGTGCTGAGGATAGAACTGTGTACAAACTAACTAATGTTCCTCTTCTTGTAGAGTTTATATTACATGGCAGGAAATGTACTCTAGCTAGAAACAAATGAAAATGTAATCTGTCAAGTGGTATGGTGAGTTGGTTCCCCAACTCTTTACACCCTGCTCATATTAGAGTTATGCATCACACTTTACCATGTAACAGTGGAGTTTCTCCCCCAGGAGACAGAGTATGTTTTCCTGCCCCTTGTCTTTGGACTTGGCTGTGTGACTCTCTATGGCCTGTGGGATATTTGCGAGCATAATGTGAGCAGAGGCTTGAAATGTGCTTGTAGGGTTTGGCCTGCTTTTTTACTTCTGCAAATACATATTGCCATGAGAACATGCCCTGGGTGGTCTCTGGTCCCAGAATAATGAGATACTTATGGAGCCAACTTGGACCCAACATGCAGCCTGGAGACAAGCCCAGCAGACCTGAAGAAGGAGGAAGAACCACTCAGCTGAACCCAGCCTGAATCAGCCAATCCAGTAGGCCTATAGGTCCATGAGCCTGAGAATAAAGGCTTGCTACTGCAAGCAACTGAGCTTTAGGAGTGATTTGTTATGAAGCATTATCATAGGAAGAGCTGAGTAATGGAGGTGATAGTACTGGCTAAAGGAAAAATAAAGCAAAGTAAGGAACAGAAAGTACTCATTGCAAGAGAAAAGGAGTACTATTTTCTTGTGAATGGCAGAGTAGGCTCTTTGGATATGGTGATATTTGAGCAAAAACTATAGCACTCACCACCATTGTTGAGCAGTTGCTATATGCCAGACACTGAGTTATCTCATTTATTTTTCATGCATTTAATGTGGTACATGCTGCTAATATTGTCATTTCTAAGACAAGGAAATTGAGTTGCAGAGAGGTTTTTGTGATTTGCCCAAAGTCTCACATATAGTAAATAGAAAGGTTGGGATTCTTTTCTGTCTCAACCCCAACTGGATGTACAGCAATGCACTTCTGGTACTAACCATCCAGAGTCAGCATAGTCTCCACAAGACCAAGAGCGTGGTCTCCAAACAAGACCTCCCTTACTTCAGATGCCAGCTGCACTTCAGGAGTCATCAGGCTACTCACAGTTATGACACTTTTCATAATTCAAATCCAAGGGTTCCCACAATTCCTCTGCAACCCAGGTTCAATCATTTACTAGAATAACTTGCAGAACTCAGGAAAGCACTATACTTACAATGACAGTTTTGTGTTTTTTCTTTTCTTTTCTTTTCTTTTTGAGACAGGGTCTCCCTCTTACCCAGGCTGGAGTGCGGTGACATGATCATGGCTCACTGCAGTCTTGACCTCCTGGGATCAAGCAATTCTCCCATCTCAGCCTCCCAAGTACGTAGGACTACAGGCACACACCACCATACCTGGATAATTTTTGTATTTTGTTTGTTTTTCTTTCTTTTTTGTTGTTGTTGTTGTTTGCTTGCTTGTAGAAACAGGGTTTCTTCATTTTGTCCAGGCTGGTCTCAAACTCCTGGGCTCAAGTAATACTTCCACCTCGGCCTACTAAAGCACTGGGATTATAGGCCTGAGCCACTGTGCCTGGTCCAATTACACTTTTAGTATAAAGGATACAATGAGGAGAAACAACCAAATGAAAGACATAGAGTGAGCTCTAAGGAGCACAGAGTTTCCATGCCCTCTGCTCATGGAATCAGGGCATAGCACTCTCCTAGGACATTGATCTGTTCACTGACCAGGAAGCTGGTCCTGAGCTTCAGTGTCCAGAGTTTTTATTGGGGTTCATTATGTACATTATTGATTGAATCATTGATCCCATAATGGACTCAATATCTAGCCCCTATCCCCTCCCTGGAGGTCGGGTGGCTGAAAGTTCCAACCTTCTAATCATGTGGTTGGTTTTTCTGGTGATCAGCCCCATCCCGAAGCTATCTAGAGTCCCACCATGAGTTGTCTCATTAGCAGGAGAAAGACGTCTCTATCATAAATTTCAAGAGTTTTAAAGCTCTGTGCCATGAACATGCAAATAAAAAAGGTGGAAATGGAAACTCCCTAAACAGATTAAATAGCAGAATTGATTCAGCAAAGAAAAACTTTGTAAACTGGAAGAAAACCCTAAAGAAATCACCCAGAATGCACAACCAAAAGATGATGAAATGGAAAATAAGAGAGGTTTGAAGATACAGAGAATAAAGTGAGAACTTCCCTCAAATGCCTAAATAGTGTGACAAAAGGAGAAAAAGGAAGAATGAAAGAAGCAAAATTGGATGACATAATGGTTAAGAATTTCTAGAAATGAAGGGAAAACTTTAGCTTCCTCAGCTTTAGATAGCCTAACTAATGTCATGTAGAATATTTTTTAAAAATCTGGAGCTTCTAGAGAATTGAACACATGGAGGTTCCTGGAGGGTAGTGTGCCCTGAGAGGGCATAGAAACTCCATATCCTCTCTCCCACACCTCATCCTACACATCTCTTCCATCTGGCTGTTCATCTGTATCCTTTGAAATATTCTTTATAATTAACCAGTAAATATTCCTTTTTTCCAAACTTTCTTTTTCTCTAATTATGGAAGAATCTGGGATGCAAGTACCAGCTTCTGCTAGACAAGATCTCTCCTATAGGATTCACTGTGGCTGATAAAGTACACAGTCTATTCTTCCTGGAAATAGATTTTATTGAAATATTGCTGATCCAGCCCACACAGAAGAATGTGCCTATAAAAATTCTCCAGAGCTTTGCCAAATACTTTTTAAATAGAGAGGAGAATGTGGTAGTTTTGTATTACTAAGATAACAGTAGTAGCATCCACAATGATACAGAAAAAAAAGTATTTCTTTAATGGCACTCGAAAGTAAAAATAGGGCCAGATGTGGTGACTCCCACTTGTGATCTCAGCATTTTAGGAGGCTGAGGTGGGAGGATTACTTGAGCACAGGTGTTCAGGACCAGGCTGGGTAACAGAGCCTGTCCCTACTTCATTGATTAATTAAAATAGAAAAAATAAAACAAAGATTAAAAATAAAAAAGACATCTGCAACTGAGCATAACATAGAGAAATTATAGAACACCAAAAATAAAATTTTTAAAGTCATCCAGAGAGGAGAAAAATAAACCCAGCCAGATTAAACACAAAGGAATTACAAGACTGACAGCTGATTTCTCAACCTACAGTGAAGCAAGGAGACAGGGGAATGATGTCTTCAAATGATGAAAACTGCTAACTTACAAAGGACTAGAATGGGTAAAGGATGGTAACTGAGGCTTTTAAAATAAAGTGGAAATGGGAACCAGAAAAATAAAAAATTTTTAAAGAAACTTGGAGGTGCCATCAATTGGGTTTGTGGGTTAGAGAATAGGTAACCTTCAATCACAACTCTAGGGGGTTCATGCTGATTTTCTTGAGTACTGTGTTGCCATCATACTCAAAAGTTGGAAGTCAGAAAGGAGTGAATTGGAGAAAAAGATGATGAAATAGGGATTTTGTTGTTGTTATTACTATTGTCATTTCTGATTATAAGTGTGAAACATGACACATACATAAATATTCATTTTAATAATCTCTTTGATTTTGTCATCTAATAAATGAAAATTAAAACCACAATGAGACACAGTCTTATATCAGTCAGAATGGCTATTGTTGAAAAGTCTAAAAACAACAGATATTGGGCTGGGCACAATGGCTCACGCCTGTAATCCTAGCACTTTGGGAGGCCAAGGTGGGCAGATCAACTGAGGTCAGGAGTTCAAGACCAGTCTGGCCAACATGGTGAAACCCAGTCTCTACTAAAAATACAAAAATTAGCTGGGTGTGGTGGCAGATGCCTGTAATCCTAGGTACTCAGGAAGCTGAGGCAGCAGAATCACTTGAACCTGGGAGGTGGAGATTGCAGTGAGCCAAAATTGTGCCACTGCACTCCAGCCTGGACAACAGAGCAAGACTCCATCTCAAAATTAAAAAAAAAAAAAAAAAAACAGATGTTGGTGAGGATATGGAGAAAAGGGAACACTTATACACTGTTGGTGGGAATGTAAATTAATACAACCCTTATGGAAAACAGTATGGAGATTTCTCAAAGAACTAAAAGTAGAACTACCATTTGTCCCAGCAATCCCACTACTGGGTATACACCCAAAGGGAAAGAAATCATTATATCAAAAAGCTACATGCACTTGTATGTTTATCACAGCACTATTCACAGTAACAAAGATATGGAATCAACCTAAGTGTCCATCAGTGGTGGATTGGATAAAGAAAATGTGGTGTAAATGTATACCATGAAATACTACGTAGCCATAAAAAAGAATGAAATCATGTCTTTTGCAGCAACATGGAAGGAACAAGATGCCATTATCCTGAGTGAAATAACTCAGAAACAGAAGGTCAAATACTGCATATTCTCAATTACAAGTGGGAGCTAAACAATGGACACACATGGATATATATGAGTGTGTGTGTAAGTGTGTGTGTGTATACACACACAGAGAATGTAATAATAGACATTAGAGCCCACTAAAGGCAGGAGGGAGGGAGGAGGGTTGAAAGATTACCTACTGGGTACAGTGTTCACTATTTGGGCGATGGGTTCACTAAAACCCCAGACTTCACCATGATGAATATATGCATGTAAGAAACCTGCACTTGTACTCCTTAAATATATAAAAAAGCTTTTTAGGCCAGGCGCAGTGGCTCATGCCTGTAATCCCAGCACTTTGGGAGGCTGAGGTGGGTGGATCACGAGGTCAGGAGATCAAGACCATCCTGGCTAACACGGTGAAACCCCGTCTCTACTAAAAATACAGAAAATTGCTGGGCGTGGTGGTGGGCGCCTGTAGTCCCAGCTACTCGGGAGGCTGAGGCAGGAGAATGGCATGAACCCGGGAGGTGGAGCTTGCAGTGAGCCGAGATCGCACCACTGCACTCCAGCCTGGACAACAGAGCGAGACTCTGTCTCAAAAAAAAAAAAATGTTTTTTAAATTTTAATGTGGAAAAAAAATCTCTGCAATTTTCTATGGTTAGAAATATTTTATAGGTTTCTTTTTAAAATAAGGTGACACGTATCTGGGGAAGAAAATTAATAAATTGTGAAAATACATGCAAAGAAAACTCTAACCAGTCATTGCTAAAGAGTTAACTCCTGTTAAAACTTTGTGGTTGAGGAGTTTGAATGCCTCAACGTTCTGGTACCAGTAGGATCCTCAGGCAAACCTTTAGAAGCAGGGGACAAGTGCAGATGCTGATTGATTTTTGATGGTTGGCTGAGCATGTGTTTAACCTTTGGTTGAGACGTTTGTACTTCGAGCAGAAGAGGAAAAAAAGCATGAAACGACGTTCTCGGCACTTTCCCCTCATGCTCTATGCCTACCGCAGTGAACTAGGATTGACAAGGCAAACGTTAGTCATGAATGCATTAACCTCGTTTCCTTGGGAACCACCGAATGGAGGGGAGAATGCTGGTCACATTTAGCAGCCTGCTACGTGTAAGGCAATTAGTTCCAGGATTTGTCAGATGACAGTTCTATTTTTGAGCACTTTCTTATCAATTAGGAGAAAAATATCCGACGTGCAGAGATTTCTCAGTAGCTTGGGTTGCGACTTAGTTTACAAGCAACAGGAAGGCAAGTTCAAACTGCCTCATACAAAGATCATTATAATTTGTCCCTCTCAGTGGAGGGTCTTGATGGATCGACTCAGGGTAAGGGTGTAAATGAGGAGTGAAGAGGCTGATGTTTAGCTTGTGCTCCTCAGAATGGAAACAGATCTTGGCAGACATCTGCTTCATCCTCAAAGGCAGCCCACACAGTTCTTCAGTGTTTTTCTCTGGAAATTAATAGTGATGTAGAATATGGAAGTAGTTATTTTATGTTAATCATATGGGTTTGGGGAGGTTTTGAACAAAAATAATAAAAATAATCACCACAACCGCAGCCATGTACTACACGCCAGGCTGTGGGCTAAACATGCACATCCATCGTGTCACCCAAGCAGCCCAGCAAACCCTGGGAGCAGTCAGGAGATGACATATTGGCCTCCAGTGTGAGCTTGAAAAAAGAAAATTAAGAAAGTTGTGAAGAATTCATAAACTAGAAGTTCTGTGGGTGCGGATAGTATCCTTTATCCACCAGCTTACAATGTATTTATGCCCATTTGAAGTTAAGAAAACTGAGGCTTAGCTGGGCATGGTGGCTCACATCTGTAATCCCAGCACTTTGGGAGGATGAGGTGGGAGGATCACTTGAGCCCAGGAGGTCAAGACCAGCTTTGGCCACTAAATGAGACCCCGTCTCTACCAAACATACAAACAAACAGTCTGATGTGGTGTCACACACCTGTAGTCCCAGCTACTCAGCAGGCTGAGGAGGCAGGATTGCCTCGGCCCAGGAGATTGAGGCTGCAGTGAGCCATGTTTGCGCCACTGCACTCCAGCCTGAGTGACAGGGCAAAAAGAAAAAAAAGAAAAGAAAAGAAAGAAAGAAAGAAAAGAGAAAACTGAGGCTTAAAGATCTTAAAGCTGCAGAGTTAAAGTTAGTTAAGAGCAAAGCAGAATTTGAGCCTAGTTATGTCTGTTTGCATGCCACAATCTTATTATGCCTCATTATTCAGAGCATGGATCCCGCCTTGCAGCACAGCCTTCACCTGAGGCTTGGCCTCACCCAGACCTACTGAATTAGATTCTCCATTGTAACTCGACCCCAGGTGGTCCTGAGGAAAGTTTGAGAGACTTGACTCTACACCCATGCAGCGAAGGACAATTGCCATGGGAAATGTGTATCACTGGCCATCACTGAAGTGATATAGACAAAGTGCCAAATGAGTGGGTAGACAGAGAAGACCTAGGATTTTAGAGAAGGAGGCTGGTGTCAAGAACTGGGATGGTAAGGGAAATCTACCCAAAGGGGGTGAACCTAGAGGGAAGAGTTGGGACCCAAGTCCACTAGCACTTGAAAAATATTTTGCAAAACATCCTTCCCACCTAACCACTCCTCTGTCTCCATGCGCAGCGGCTACTGGAGTATCCAAATTGCCCCAGGCACTGTCTTTCCTGAAGTTCATGATTTTGTCTGTAATCTGGTGACTGCCTATGTTGGGAAGCACTACCAAGTTGTGAGGACAGCTCAGGTGAAATGAGAGACTGTCTTCCGGCCGTGATGGCACTGGAGAATGTCTGCCTTGCAGTCTGAGTATGTGTGGTGAGACTAGTCATCCACTAAACCTGCATGTCTTTCAAAGCAATCTTAAATTAGAAATCTATCTCCAAGGAGTGTTTTCTGTATTTAAATTCAAAGATGAAATACACATTTTTAAAAAATACACATATATAGGCATCGTGTTAGTCTATTCTGGCTGCTATAATAGAATAGTATAGACTGGGTGGCTTATAAATAACAGAAATATATCTCTCACCATTCTGGAGGCTCGAAGTCCCAAGATCAAGGCATAGTAAACTTGGTTCTCGATGACAGCCCTCTGCCTGGTTCATAGACAGCACCATCTTGCTGTGTACTCACATGATGGGAAGCGTGAACAAGCTCTCTGGGGTCTTGTCTCATAAGGGCACTAATCACATTCATGAGGGCTCTGCTTTAGTGACCTAATCACCTCCCTAAAATCCCACCTCCTAATACCATCGCCTTGGGGTTAGGATTTCAACATATGCATTATTGGGTGGGAGGGACAGGGTCCAAATTTTCAGATCATAGAAGTCACAGACGATGATTTAAGTCTATCTGAATTTGTTTTAGCGTGTGATTCTTTCTTTACATAGTCCTGCCTGGCATTTGCCTATTTACAAAAGAGACAGAAGATGCCATTACTGATACCAACTAAACATTATTAAAAGGTCAAATCTGAAACTTCACCCTGTTTCCATAGCAGCCACCCTCCATCTGGCCTCCCCCAGCCTCCTGTGTCCTTAAGAAGGTATCACCATGCCCCTGCCACAGCCTCTCCCACCCCAACCAACCCACCCACACAGTCTCCCAGACAAACAGGCCCTCCATCAGCCGCTAGCTCCTGCTAGCCCTGGGTGTGGTCTCCAAAGTGTTTGTGATTCACAGGCATGATGGAGAGCGTTGGCATGTGAGATGGCATTTCTTGTGCCATCCCTAGTTTAAAACTAGTCCAATGTGGCCTGGCGCGGTGGCTCATGCCTATAATCCCAGCACTTTGGGAGGCCTAGGCAGGTGGATCACAAGGTCAGGAGATCAAAACCATCCTGGCTAACACGGTGAAACCCCATCTCTACTGAAAATACAAAAAACTAGCCAGGCATGGTGGCACATGCCTGTAGTCCCAGCTACTTGGGAGGCTGAGGCAGGAGAATGGCGTGAACTCAGGAGGCGGAGCTTGCAATGAGCCGAGATCGCACCACTGCACTCCAGCCTGGGTGACAGAGCAAGGCTCTGTCAAAAAAAAAAAAAAGAGAAAGAAACTAATCCAATGTATGCATCTTGTTCCCATGCTCAGTGCTGATGCTGTAGTTTGAAATTTGCCTGATGGGTTGATCCAGAGGCTAAGATGGGTTGGGATGAGGGAAGATGATAGCTCCTGGCCTCCTAAACTACCCCCTACAGAGATGGCTTACTGCACTGGGATTCCGTCCTGCCTGTGAATCACAAACACTTTGGAGACCACACCCAGGGCTATGACCAATTGGCAGTGTCTGCTGACACCTTGGAATGCCCTTGGACCTAAGCCTTGCAGGAGGTCTTTAGCCAAGCAATCAAGCTAATGCTAGGCCACTTTCCATAATTAAAGTGAGCAGCATAATAATGGATATTTAAGACATCACATAGTGGCATGGGCTAAGAAGAAAAATAAAGCTAGATAAGGAGATAGAGAGTGATGGGGCAGATGCTGGTCAAGAAGGTCCTTTCTGGAAGAAGTCAAATAATCCTTGTTTTCAGATGATACGATTTTATATTTAGGAAAACCTAAAACCACCACCAAAAACTATTAGAATTGATAAATTTAGTAAAGTTGCAGGATACAAAACCAGCGTACAAAAATCACTAGAATTTCTATATGCCAACAGTGAATGATCTGAAAAAGAAATACAAAGTAAACCATTTTTAATAGCCACAAATAAAATGAAATACCAAGGAATAAGCTTACCCAAGGAAGTGAAAGACCTCTACAAAGAAAACTATAATACATTGATGAAAGAAATAGAAGAAGACACAAAAAAATGCAAAGATATTCCATATTCATGGATTGGAAGAATCAATATTGTTAAAATGTCCATACTTCCCAAAGTAATCTATAGATTCAATGCAATCCCTATCAAAATACCAATGGCATTCTTCACATAAATAGAAAAAACCATCCTAAAGTTTCTATGGAACCACAAAAGATGCAGAATAGCCAAAGCTATCTTAAGCAAAAAGAGCAAAACTGGAGGAATCACATTATCTGACCTTATACTACAGAGCTATAGTAACCAAAGCAGCATGGTACTGGCACAAAAAACAGACATATGAAACAATAAAACAGAATAGAGAAACCAGAAACAAATCCACACACCTGCAGCGGACTCATTTTCAACAAAGGTGCCAAGAACAGACATTGGGGAAAGGACAGTCTCTTCAATAAATGATGCTGGGAAAACTGGACATCCATGTGCAGAATGAAACTAGATCCCTGTCTCTTGCCATATCAAAAAGTCAAACCAAAATTGATTGAAGACTTAAATCTAAGACCTCAAACTATGAAACTACTATGAGAAACCACTGGGGAAGCTCTCCAGGCACTGATCTGGGCAAACATTTCTTGAGCACTAGCCCACAAGCGGTACTCCACAGGCAACCAAATCAAAAATGAACAAATGGGATCACATCAATTTCAAAAGGTTTTCCACAGCAAAGAAACAATCAACGAAGTGAAGAGACAACTCACAGAATGGGAGAAAATATTTGCAAACTACCCATCTGACAAGAGATTCATAACCAGAATATGTAAGGAACTCAAACAGCACTATTAGAAAAAACTAATAATCCAATTTTAAAAAATGACAAAATATTTTAATAAACAATTCTCAAAAGAAGACATGCAAATGGCACACAGGTATACAAAAAGGTGCTCAACATCACTGATCATCAGAGAAATGCAAATCAAAATTACAATGAGATATCATTTCACCCCAGTTAAAATGGCTTTTATCCAAAAGACAAGCAATAACAAAGGCTGGCGAGGATGTGAAGAAAAGGGAACCCTCCTACGTTGTTCATGGGAATGTAAATTAGTACAACCACTATAGAGAACAGTTTCGAGGTTCCTCAAAAAACTAAAAATAGAGTTACCATACAATGCAGTGATCCCACTGCTGGATATATACCCAAAAGAAAGGAAATCAGTGTATCAAAGAGACATCCGCACTCTCATGTTTGTTGCAACACTGTTCACAATAGTCAAGATTTGGAAGCAACCTTAAGTGTCCATCAACAGATGAATGGATAAAGAAAATATGGTACATATACACAATGGAGTACTATTCAGCCATAAGAAAGAATGAGACTGAATCATTTGCAAAAGCATGGATGGAACTGAAGGTCATTATGTTAAGTGTAATAAGCCAGGCACAGAAAGACAAACATCACATGTGCTCACTTATCTGTGGGAGCTAAAAATCAAAGCAATTGAACTCATGGAGTTAGAGAGTAAGAATATGGTTATCAGAGGCTGGTAAGGGTAGTGGGGAGATAGGGATGGTTAATGGGTATAAAAAATATAAAAATGAAAAGAATGAATAAGCCCTAGTATTTGATAGCACAACAGGGTGACTGATATGGTTGGCTGTGTCCCCACCCACTCTCATCTTGAATTCCCACATGTTGTGGGAGAGTCCCAGTGGGAGGTAATTGAATCATGGGGGCAAGTCTTTCTCATGCTGTTCTCATGATGGTGAATAAGTCTCATGAGATCTGATGGTCTTAAAAAGGGGAGTTTCCCTGCACAAGCTCTCTTCTCCTGTCTGCCACCATGTGAGATGTGCCTTTCAACTTCCACCATGATTGTGAGACCTCCCCAGCCATGTGTAACTGTAAATCCAATAAACTTCTTTCTTATGTAAATTGCCCAGTCTCGGTATGTCTTTTCCAGCAACATGAACATGGACTAGTACAGTGACTATAGTCAATAATAATTTAATTGTACATTCTAAAATAAAAGAGTATAATTGGATTGTTCGTAACACTAACACAAAGGATAAATGCTTGAGGTGATGGATACCCCATTTTCAATGATGTTATTATTATGGGTTGCATGTCTGTATCAAAACATCTCATGCAACCCATAAATATATATGCCTACTATGTACCCACAAAAATAAAAAATGTTAAAAAAGATGGACCTTTCTGATCACATGATTGTTAAGTAAAAAAATGATGGAGTGAACTTTGTAGGTATCAGGGGAAACAGTGTTCCAGGAAAGAGGGAAAGCTGGTGTAAAGGCCCTGAGACAATAATGTAACTGAGAGTTTTGAGAAGCATTAAGGAAGCAGTGTTGCTGCAGAGAGTGAGCAGGCTAGAGAATGATAGTGGGTAAAAGTACATAGTGGCTGGAGATTTGGATAGTGCTGGATTATTATTAATGGACCTTAAAAGCTTTGGTGAAGGTATTGGAATTTGTTCTGAGTGAGACGGAAAGAGGGTTTTGAGCAAAGGAATAAGTGATCTCCCTTACATTTTGAAATGGCCACCCTTGCTCTCATGTAGAGGAGCAGGAATAGAGATAGGAGGCTACTGCAATAGTCCAAGCAGGTATGATGGTGGCTTGAACAAGAGTGCAGGGGTAAGAGTCAGGTGGTTCTGGATATATTTTGAAGGTGAAGTGAACAGGATTTGCTAATGGGTTAGATGTGGGGTATAAAAGAAAGAGGAGCAAAGGACTAATTCTAAGATTTGATTTAAGCCACAAGAAAACTAAAGTTGCCATCTGCCCAGAGAAAGGACTGGATGCAGAGCTGGATTTGGATGGGGCAAGGAGTGAATTTGAGGCACCAGCAAGACATCCTGGTGGAGGTGTTGAGAACATATTTGTTAAATATAAGTATCCGCAGCCACCACAATGGCTCGCACCTGTAATCCCAGTGCTTTGGGAGGCCAAGGTGGGAGGATCACTTGGGGCCAGTAATTTGAGACTAGTTTGGGCAGCAAAGTGAGACTCCATCTCTACAAATAAAAAATTTTAAAAATTAGCCAGGCTTGGTGGCACACGCCTGTAGTCGCAGCTACTCAGGAGGCATAGGTGGGAGGACTGCTTGAGCTCAGGAGTTAGAGGCTGCATTGAGCTGTGATCACACCACTGCACTCTAGTCTTGGTGACAGAGTGAGATTCCCATCTCTTAAAAATAAAAATATTTGAGTTCAGAGAGGAAGTCTCAACTGGGAGATACAAATTTTCAAGTGTTCAGCACACAGATGCCCTTAAGTGTCTGGAGATTATCGTCTCCAGAGAATTACCAGTTAGTAAGCCTTGGGACTTTAGGAGATCACCTGCAGAGTGAGACATCTGAGGACTGAGCCTTGTGATTTCAGTATTTAGAGGCTGTGAAAATGAGGAGGATCCAATACAGAGACTGAGAAGGAGCAGCTCGAGAAACGGAAGGAAAATCCAGAGGCACTGGGGGACCAGAGGCCGCGTGAAGAAAATGTTTTAAGAAGAAGGAATTGTGTTCAATGCTGTGGCCAGGTCAGCTAGGATGAGGGCTGAGAAGTGACCACTGGGTTTGGCAATGTCGAAGGTGGGCCAGGAGGGGGTCTTTCCCAGGAGTAGGCAATAAGGGGGTATGTTGTCTGGACAGAATTTAAAAATAACAATTAACTGACTAAAAATGAGCCTTCTTATTATCCTCACCATGCAGTGGCAATTCTGAACAATGTAAGTAAAAAAAAATCCTTAATTGGTCTAGTTCTAAACATTGTTGCAGTTGTTATTGGGTTTAAATAACACATGTGAAAGCTTCAAATTAGCACATTTGTGTTACTTTCTCTTAATAAAATGGTACCTCGAGAGAATGACCAGCATATAGTCAGCCCTCCAGATGCATACTCAACTAAATTTTTTGCTTCTAGAGTCATTTGCAACAGTCTAAAATGGTTTGAGCCCAGTTCACCATCTCCAGCCCCCTTGAGACCATATTCCTACATTTAAACAGATTTGCCATGGACAATGACAGCAGAGAGATGGTCCAAACAAACACAGGCCAGCCTGCACAACATAGTAAGACTCCATCTCTACAAAAAAAAAATTAAAAATTAGCCAGACATGGTGATGTCTGCCTGTATTCCTGGCTACTAGGGAGGCCGAGGTGGGAGGATTGCTTGAGCACAGGAGTTCAAGCCTGCACTAAGCCATAATGACACCACTGCGTTCCAGCCTGGGTGAGTTAATCCATTTTTACACTGCTATAAAGAACTGCCTGAGACTGGTTATTTATGAAGAAAAGAGGTTTAATTGACTCACAGTTCTGCAGGCTGTACAGAAGCATGGCTGGGAGGCCTCAGGAAACTTACAATCATGGAGGAAGGCAAAGGGGAAGCCCACACATCTTACCATGGTGAAGCAGGAGAGAGAGGGAGAGAGAGAGAGAGAGAGAGAGAGAGAGCATGAGTGAAGGGGGAAGTGCCCACACTATTAAACCATCAGATCTTATGAGACTCACTCACTATCAGGAGAACAGCAAAGAGGAAATCCACCCCCGTGATCCAATCACCCCCGGCCAGGCCCCTCTCCTGACATGTGGGGATTACAATTCAGCATGAGATTTGAGTAGGGACACAGAGTCAAACCATATCAGTGACAGAGTGAAATCCTGTCTCTAAACAAACAAACAAACATAACTTGAGTTACTTCAATTCTGTCATTTTGTGTAACCAACTGACATTTTTATTTGTGTTTCAAATTTAGGAGAGTAAAATAGAGTGCAAACTGCAAGGTGCAATGTTTTGGTTGCATAAGAGCAAATTTTCATTGTGAAATATACTGAATTTGAATAGCTTTGAAATGGAAATTTACTCTTCTCTAGTTGTGCTTAAACTAGAGAATGAATCAAGAAAACAAAGTTTATTGCTGACTATAATCGTGCTGTGTAGAGGAGAGGCTGTTGAAAATGACCTGGATGGGTGTGAAATATGCTAGGGATGTCTTCTTTGGAGGTCATGGGGTAACGTCAAACAGAGCAGTTTTGTGGAAGTGATGGGAAGAGAACACGATAGGGGTTGAGAGAGAATGGAAAAAGACAAAGAGGAAACAAAGAGCAGAGACAACTCTTTCAAGAAGCTTTGCTGTACAGTGGGTAGCGGGTACTGTGAAATCCAGGGAGGGCTTTCAAAAATGTGAGATGCTATTCTGAGGAACACAGCAAGACCTTGTCTCTACAAAAAAATAGCCAGCCATGATGGTATTCACCTTTAGTCCCAGCTACTTGAAAGGCTGAGGTGGGAGAATTGCTTGAGCCTAGCAGTTCAAGGCCAGCCTGGGCAACATAGCAAAACACTGTCTCTACAAAAATGAAAAATAATAGCCAGGCATGGTGGAACACACCTGAATTCCTAGCTACTTGGGAGGCTGAAGCAGGAGGATCACTTCAGCCCAGGAAGTCGAGGATGTGGTGAGCTATGATCATGCCACTACACTCCAACCTGGGTGACAGAGCAAGATCCTGACTCTGTTAAAAAAAAAAAAAAAAAAGTGAGATGCTGTTGTATATTTGTGCTGTTGTATATTTGTATATTGTGCTTTGTTGGGAGTGAGCCAATAGTGAAGGGAAATGAACAATACAAGAGACAGAAAGGAGATGTACTGGAAGAGTGTCCTTGTTGGGAGGGGATGGCCTCCTAACGACAGTTCAGCCGTGACTGGGAGAGGGCAGATGCAATTATTGTGCTGGGTTTGGGCACAGCCTGTGGCGGCTCTATTCTTGGTGCTTCTGCTGGTTCTGTTAGGCTGGAAGCAAGTCACACAACACAGGGGTATGTGGGAGATGACAAGGGTTGAAGAGAGAGGAAAAGATATGGAAGGGACTTTCTAGGAGAGAGGGAGGCCAAGTTGACCAGAAAAGTGTAGACAGCTGTGATAGTCAGCGGTTCTGTGCGTGGATTTGCAGGGAGAGCAGCCAGTACTCCCAGCACCTGGGATGTAGTCCCAGTTCTACTGCATACCAAGCATGGCACCTGGGGTGAGTTCCTGAACTGCTATGAGCCTCAATTTCCTCATCTGTTTCATGGTGATGAGAGCCCTGATTAATGATTTTTCCTCCGAGAATTAAATGAAATCAGTAAACACCATAACACAGGATCTCACTCACATGAATGCTGCTTTCCATTTCCTTCTCTTTGGTGCACGGGTCTCACAGACGTTGGCATCACTAGAAACTAACCCATTTGTTGCTTCTGGAAACTGGGTTCCTCAGTCCACACTACCTTCCCCAAACCCTCTGCATTAACTTAGAAATATATCCCCTAATAGTCCACAACACCCATCACCCATCCCTGGTTCCAAAATAACTAGCCATGTAGCCTGCCTCCCTGATCAGGAAGCACTCCTCATTGGGAGAAAAAGATGGCTTAGTCCCATGTGAAGGTCAGAAAATGACACCCCACCCTAGCCTCTCTGACTGCCTGAAATATGATACTGGGCTTGGAGTGAGGTCTAATTCCAGCTCAGCCCTTACTAGTTGTATAATTTAGTCAACCTCGTATGCTCCAGTCCACTGACCAGTGTGTGACCCTGGGTACGTTATTTGCCCTCTAAGCTTTAGTTACTTCCTCTGCAAAATGGGTTAACTAATAGTCACTACCCTCGAAGGATGCTTTGTAGTCATTGTAACGATCACATATAATGTTATAAGTAAGAAGCCTGGTTCTGTCCCTGACACATAGTAATCATAAGCAGTAGTCATTTCTTTCTTCAAAAAATTGGAATTCGTGCATTTTTAATTGTAGTTAAAAAGAAAACACATAATCTAAAATTTGCCGTCTTAACCATTTTAAAATGTACAGTTCAGTGGCATTAAGTACATTCACATTGTTGTACAACCAATCTCTGGAACTCTTTTTGTTTTGTAAAACTGTAATTCTATAGCAATTAAACAATAATTCTCTATTTTCTAATTCCCCCAGCCTCTGGTAACCATCCTTTTAGTTTTTCAGTAAATTTGACTAATATAGGTACCTCATGTAAGTGAAATCATACTATATTTTTCTTTTCGTGACTGGATTATTTTACTCAGCATAATATCTCAAAGTTTATTGATGTTGTAACATATATTGGAATTTTCTTCCTTTTTAAGGCTGAATAATATTCTATTGTATAGACAGACCACATTTTCTTTATCCGTTTATCCATCAACAGACACAAGTTGTTTCCACCTCTTGGCTATTATGAATAATGCTGCTATGAGCATGAGTGTACAAATATCTGTTCAAGATCTTGCTTTCGCTTCTTTGGGTATATACTCGGAAGTAGAATTGTTGGATCATAAGGTAATCCTATTTTTAATGTTTTGAGGGACCGCCATACTGTTTTCTGCATCATTTTACACCCCCACCAACAGTGCACAAGGGTTCCAGTTCCCCACACCCTCAACGACTCGTATTATTTTCTAGTTGTTGTTGTTGTTTGTAGTGGTCATCCAAATGGGTGTGAGGTGATACCTTATTGTGGTTTTTTTGTTTTTGTTTTTAGATGAAGTCTTGCTCTGTCGCTCAGATTGGAGTGTAGTGGCTCGATCTCAGCTCACTGCAACCTCTGCCTCCTGGGTTCAAGTGATTCTCCTGCCTCAGCCTCCAAGTAGCTGGGACTGCAGGCACACGCCGCCACACACGGTTAATTTTTGTATTTTTAGTAGAGATGGGGTTCTCTGTGTTGGCCAGGCTGGTCTCGAACTCCTGACCGCAAGTGATCTGCCTGCCTCGGCCTCTCAAAGTGCTAGGATTACAGGTGTCAGCCACTGCACCTGGCCAGTTTCATTTCTTTTATCTTTTTATTTTTATTATACTTTAAGTTTTAGGGTACATGTGCACAATGTGCAGGTTAGTTACATATGTATACATGTGCCATGCTGGTGCGCTGCACCCACTAACTCGTCATCTAGCATTAGGTATATCTCCCAGTGCTATCCCTCCCCCCTCCCCCCACGCCACAACAGTCCCAGAGTGTGATGTTCCCCTTCCTGTGTCCATGTGTTCTCATTGTTCAATTCCCATCTATGAGTGAGCATATGCGGTGTTTGGTTTTTTGTTCTTGCGATACTTTACTGAGAATGATGATTTCCAATTTCATCCATGTCCCTACAAAGGACATCATGAACTCATCGTTTTTTATGGCTGCATAGTATTCCATGGTGTATATGTGCCACATTTTCTTAATCCAGTCTATCATTGTTGGACATTTGGGTTGGTTCCAAGTCTTTGCTATTGTGAATAGTGCCGCAATAAACATACATGTGCATGTGTCTTTATAGCAGCATGATTTATAGTCCTTTAGGGTATATACCCAGTAATGGGATGGCTGGGTCAAATGGTATTTCTAGTTCTAGATCCCTGAGGAATCGCCACACTGACTTCCATAATTGTTGAACTAGTTTACAGTCCCACCAACAGTGTAAAAGTGTTCCTATTTCTCCACATCCTCTCCAGCACCTGTTGTTTCCTGACTTTTTAATGATTGCCATTCTAACTGGTGTGAGATGATATCTCATTGTGGTTTTGATTTGCATTTCTCTGATGGCCAGTGATGGTGAGCATTTTTTCATGTGTTTTTTGGCTGCATAAATGTCTTCTTTTGAGAAGTGTCTGTTCATGTCCTTCACCCACTTGTTGATGGGGTTGTTTGTTTTTTTTTTGTAAATTTGTTTGAGTTCATTGTAGATTCTGGATACTAGCCCTTTGTCAGATGAGTAGGTTGCGAAAATTTTCTCCCATTTTGTGGGTTGCCTGTTCACTCTGATGGTAGTCTCTTTTGCTGTGCAGAAGCTCTTTAGTTTAATTAGATCCCATTTGTCAATTTTGGCTTTTGTTGCCATTGCTTTTTGTGATTTAGACATGAAGTCCTTGCCCATGCCCATGTCCTGAATGGTATTGCCTAGGTTTTCTTCTAGGGTTTTTAGGTTTTAGGTCTAACATTTAAGTCTTTAATCCATCTTGAATTAATTTTTGTATAAGGTGTAAGGAAGGGATCCAGTTTCAGCTTTCTACGTATGGCTAGCCAGTTTTCCCAGCACCATTTATTAAATAGGGAATCCTTTCCCCATTGCTTGTTTTTCTCAGGTTTGTCAAAGACCAGATAGTTGTAGATACACAGCGTTATTTCTGAGCGCTCTGTTCTGTTCCATTGATCTATATCTCTGTTTTGGTACCAGTGCCATGCTGTTTTGGTTGCTGTAGCCTTGTAGTATAGTTTGAAGTCAGGTAGTGTGATGCCTCCAGCTTTGTTCCTTTGGCTTAGGATTGACTTGGTGATGCAGGTTCTTTTTTGGTTCCATATGAACTTTAAAGTAGTTTTTTCCAATTCTGTGAAGAAAGTCATTGGTAGCTTGATGGGGATGGCATTGAATCTATAAATTACCTTGGGCAGTATGGCCATTTTCACAATATTGATTCTTGCTACCCATGATCATGGAATTTTCTTTCATTTGTTTGTATCCTCTTTTATTTCATTGAGCAGTGGTTTGTAGTTCTCCTTGAAGAGGTCCTTCACGTCCCTTGTAAGGTGGATTCCTAGGTATTTTACTCTGTTTGAAGCAATTGTGAATGGGAGTTCACTCATGATTTGGCTCTCTGTCTGTCTGTTATTGGTGTATAAGAATGCTTGTGATTTTTGTACATTGATTTTGTATCCTGAGACTTTGCTGAAGTTGCTTATCAGCTTAAGGAGATTTTGGGCTGGGACAATGGGGTTTTCTAGATATAAAATCGTGTCAACTGCAAACAGGGACAATTTGACTTCCTCTTTTCCTAATTGAATACCCTTTATTTCCTTCTCCTGCCTAATTGCCCTGGCCAGAACTTCCAACACTATGTTGAATAGGAGTGGTGAGAGAGGGCATCCCTGTCTTGTGCCAGTTTTAAAAGGGAATGCTTCCAGTTTTTGCCCATTCAGTATGATATTGGCTGTGGGTTTTTCATAGATAGCTCTTATTATTCTGAGATAAGTCCCATCAATACCTAATTTATTGAGAGTTTTTAGCATGAAGTGTTGTTGAATTTTGTCAAAGGTCTTTTCTGCATCTACTGAGATAATCATATGGTTTTTGTCTTTGGTTCTGTTTATATGCTGGATTCCATTTATTGATTTGCATATATTGAACCAGCCTTGCATCCCAGGGATGAAGCCCACTTGATCATGGTGGATAAGCTTTTTGATGTGCTGCTGGATTCAGTTTGCCAGTATTTTATTGAGGATTTTTGCATCAATGTTCATCAAGGATATTGGTCTAAAATTCTCTTTTTCGGTTGTGTCTCTGCCCGGCTTTGGTATCAGGATGATGCTGGCCTCATAAAATGAGTTAGGGAGGATTCCCTCTTTTTCTGTTGATTGGAATAGTTTCAGAAGGAATGGTACCAGTTCCTCCTTGTACCTCTGGTAGAATCCAGCTGTGAATCCATCTGGTCCTGGACTCTTTTTGGTTGGTAAGCTATTGATTATTGCCACAATTTCAGCTCCTGTTATTGGTCTATTCAGAGATTCAACTTCTTCCTGGTTTAGTCTTGGGAGAGTGTATGTGTCGAGGAATTTATCCATTTCTTCTAGATTTTCTAGTTTATTTGCATAGAGGTGTTTGTAGTAATCTCTGATGGTAGTTTGTATTTCTGTGGGATCAGTGGTGATATCCCCTTTATCATTTTTTATTGCGTCTATTTGATTCTTCTCTCTTTTTCTTTATTAGTCTTGCGAGTGGTCTATCAATTTTGTTGATCCTTTCAAAAAACAAGCTCCTGGATTCATTAATTTTTTGAAGGGTTTTTTGTGTCTCTATTTCCTTCAGTTCTGCTCTGATTTTAGTTATTTCTTGCCTTCTGCTAGCTTTTGAATGTGTTTGCTCTTGCTTTTCTAGTTCTTTTAATTGTGATGTTAGGGTGTCAATTTTGGATCTTTCCTGCTTTCTCTTGTGGGCATTTAGTGCTATAAATTTCCCTCTACACACTGCTTTGAATGTGTCCCAGAGATTCTGGTATGTTATGTCTTTGTTCTTGTTGGTTTCAAAGAACATCTTTATTTCTGCCTTCATTTCATTATGTACCCAGTAGTTATTCAGGAGCAGGTTGTTCAGTTTCCATGTAGTTGAGCGGTTTTGAGTGAGTTTCTTAATCTTGAGTTCTAGTTTGATTGCACTGTGGTCTGAGAGATAGTTTGTTATAATTTCTGTTCTTTTACATTTGCTGAGGAGAGCTTTACTTCCAACTACGTGGTCAATTTTGGAATAGGTGTGGTGTGGTGCTGAAAAGAATGTATATTCTGTTGATTTGGGGTGGAGAGTTCTGTAGATGTCTATTAGGTCCACTTGGTGCAGAGCTGAGTTCAATTCCTGGGTATCCTTGTTAACTTTCTGTCTCATTGATCTGTCTAATGTGGACAGTGGGGTGTTAAAGTCTCCCATTATTAATGTGTGTGAGTCTAAGTCTCTTTTTTTTTTTTTTTTTTTTAATTTATTTTTTTATTGATAATTCTTGGGTGTTTCTCACAGAGGGGGATTTGGCAGGGTCATGGGACAATAGTGGAGGGAAGGTCAGCAGATAAACAAGTGAACAAAGGTCTCTGGTTTTCCTAGGCAGAGGACCCTGCGGCCTTCCGCAGTGTTTGTGTCCCTGATTACTTGAGATTAGGGATTGGTGATGACTCTTTTTTTTTTTTTTTTTTTTTATTGATCATTCTTGGGTGTTTCTCGCAGAGGGGGATTTGGCAGGGTCATAGGACAATAGTGGAGGGAAGGTCAGCAGATAAACAAGTGAACAAAGGTCTCTGGTTTTCCTAGGCAGAGGACCCTGCGGCCTTCCGCAGTGTTTGTGTCCCTGGGTACTTAAGATTAGGGAGTGGTGATGACTCTTAAGGAGCATGCTGCCTTCAAGCATCTGTTTAACAAAGCACATCTTGCACCACCCTTAATCCATTTAACCCTGAGTGGACACAGCACATGTTTCAGAGAGCACAGGGTTGGGGATAAGGTCACAGATCAACAGGATCCCAAGGCAGAAGAATTTTTCTTAGTACAGAACAAAATGAAAAGTCTCCCATGTCTACCTCTATCCACACAGACCCGGCAACCATCTGATTTCTCAATTTTTTCCCCACCCTTCCCGCCTTTCTATTCCACAAAACCGCCATTGTCATCATGGCCCATCCCCAATGAGCCGCTGGGCACACCTCCCAGACGGGTCGTGGCCGGGCAGAGGGGCTCCTCACTTCCCAGTAGGGGCGGCCGGGCAGAAGCGCCCCTCACCTCCCGGATGGGGCGGCTGGCCGGGCGGGGGGCTGACCCCCCCACCATCCTCCCGGACGGGGCGGCTGGCCAGGCAGAGGGGTTCCTCACTTCCCAGTAGGGGCGGCCGGGCAGAGGCGCCCCTCACCTCCTGGATAGGGCGGCTGGCCGGGCGGGGGGCTGACCCCCCCACCTCCCTCCCGGACGGGGTGGCTGGCCGGGCAGAGGGGTCCTCACTTCCCAGTAGGGGCGGCCGGGCAGAGGCCCCCCTCACCTCCCGGATGGGGCGGATGGCCAGGCGGGGGGCTGATCCCCCCACCTCCCTCCCAGATGGGGCGGCTGGCCAGGCGGGGGGCTGACCCCCCCACCTCCCTCCCGGACGGGGCGGCTGGCCGGGCAGAGGGGCTCCTCACTTCCCAGTAGGGGCGGCCGGGCAGAAGCGCCCCTCACCTCCCGGATGGGGCGGCTGGCCATGCGGAGAGCTGATCCCCCCACCTCCCTCCCGGACGGGGCGGCTGGCCCGGGGGGGTCTGAACTCCCCCACCTCCCTCCCGGACGGGGCGGCTGGCCGGGCAGAGGGGACCCCCCCACCTCCCTCCCGGACAGGGCGGCTGGCCGGGCGGGGGGCTGACCCCCCCACCTCCCTCCCGGACGGGGCGGCTGGTCGGGCGGGGGGCTGATCCCCCCACCTCCCTCCCGGACTGGGCGGCTGGCCGGGCGGGGGGCTGACCCCCCCACCTCCCTCCCGGACGGGGCGGCTGGCCGGGCAGAGGGGCTCCTCACTTCCCAGTAGGGGCGGCCGGGCAGAGGCGCCCCTCACCTCCCGGACTGGGCGGCTGGCCGGGCGGGGGGCTGACCCCCCCCCCACCTCCCTCCCGGACGGGGTGGCTGCCGGGCGGAGACGCTCCTCACTTCCCAGACGGGGCGGTTGCCAGGCAGAGGGTTTCCTCACTTCTCAGACGGGGCGGCCGGGCAGAGACGCTCCTCACCTCCCAGACAGGGTTGTGGCCAGCAGAGGCGCTCCTCACATCCCAGACAGGGCGGCGGGGCAGAGGTGCTCCCCACATCTCAGACGATGGGCGGCCGGGCAGAGACGCTTCTCACTTCCTAGATGGGATGGCAGCGGGGAAGAGGCGCTCCTCGCTTCCTAGATGGGATGGCGGCCGGGCGGAGACGCTCCTCACTTTCCAGACTGGGCAGCCAGGCAGAGGCTCCTCATATCCCAGACGATGGGGGGCCAGGCAGAGACGCTCCTCACTTCCCAGACGGGGTGGCGGCTGGGCAGAGGCTGCAATCTCGGCACTTTGGGGGGCCAAGGCAGGCGGCTGGGAGGTGGAGGTTGTAGCGAGCCGAGATCACGCCACTGCACTCCAGCCTGGGCACCATTGAGCACTGAGTGAACGAGACTCCGTCTGCAATCCCAGCACCTCGGGAGGCCGAGGCTGGCGGATCACTCGCGGTTAGGAGCTGGAGACCAGCCCGGCCAACACAGCAAAACCCCGTCTCCACCAAAAAAAAAACGAAAACCAGTCAGGCGTGGCGGCGTGCGCCTGCAATGGCAGGCACTGGGCAGGCTGAGGCAGGAGAATCAGGCAGGGAGGTTGCAGTGAGCCGAGATGGCAGCAGTACCGTCCAGCTTTGGCTCGGCATCAGAGGGAGACCGTGGAAGGAGACCGTGGAGAGAGAGGAGAGGGAGAGGGAGAGGGAGAGGGAGAGGGAGAGGGAGAGCGAGTCTAAGTCTCTTTGTAGGTCACTCAGGACTTGCTTTATGAATCTGGGTGCTCCTGTATTGGGTGCATATATATTTAGGATAGTTAGCTCTTCTTGTTGAATTGATCCCTTGACCATTATGTAATGGCCTTCTTTGTCTCTTTTGATCTTTGTTGGTTTAAAGTCTGTTTTATCAGAGACTAGGATTGCAACCCCTGCCTTTTTTTGTTTTCCATTTGCTTGGTAGATCTTCCTCCATCCTTTTATTTTGAGCCTATGTGTGTCTCTGCATATGAGATGGGTTTCCTGAATACAGCACACTGATGGGTCTTGGCTCTTTATCCAATTTGCCAGTCTGTGTCTTTTAATTGGAGCATTTAGTCCATTTACATTTAAAGTTAATATTGTCATGTGTGAATTTGATCCTGTCATTATGATGTTAGCTGGTGATTTTGCTTGTTAGTTGATGCAGTTTCTTCCTAGTCTCGATGGTCTTTACATTTTGGCATGATTTTGCAGCAGCTGGTACCGGTTGTTCCTTTCCATGTTTAGTGCTTCCTTCAGGAGCTCTTTCAGGGCAGGCCTGGTGGTGACAAAATCTCTCAGCATTTGCTTGTCTGTAAAGTATTTTATTTCTCCCTCACTTATGAAGCTTAGTTTGGCTGGATATGAAATTCTGGGTTGAAAATTCTTTTCTTTAAGAATGTTGAATATTGGCCCCCACTCTCTTCTGGCTTGTAGAGTTTCTGCCAAGAGATCTGCTGTTAGTCTGATGGGCTTCCCTTTGTGGGTAACCCGACCTTTCTCTCTGGCTGCCCTTAACATTTTTTCCTTCATTTCAACTTTGGTGAATCTGACAATTATGTGTCCTGGAGTTGCTCTTCTCAAGGAGTATCTTTGTGGCGTTCTCTGTATTTCCTGAATCTGAATGTTGGCCTGCCTTGCTAAATTGGGGAAGTTCTCCTGTATAATATCCTGCAGAGTGTTTTCCAACTTGGTTCCATTCTCCCAGTCACTTTCAGGTACACCAATCAGACGTAGATTTGGTCTTTTCACATAGTCCCATATTTCCTGGAATCTTTGTTCATTTCTTTATATTCTTTTTTCTCTAAACTTCCCTTCTCGCTTCATTTCATTCATTTCATCTTCCATCGCTGATACCCTTTCTTCCAGTTGATCGCATCGGCTCCTGAGGCTTCTGCATTCTTCACGTAGTTCTCGAGCCTTGGCTTTCAGCTCCATCAGCTCCTTTAAGCACTTCTCTGTATTGGTTATTCTAGTTATACATTGGTCTAAATTTTTTTCAAAGTTTTTAACTTCTTTGCCTTTGGTTTGAATTTCCTCCTGTAGCTCGTAGTTTGATCATCTGAAGCCTTCTTCTCTCAACTCGTCAAAGTCATTCTCCATCCAGCTTTGTTCCATTGCTGGTGAGGAACTGCGTTCCTTTGGAGGAGGAGAGGTGCTCTGCTTTTTAGAGTTTCCAGTTTTTCTGCTCTGTTTTTTCCCCATCTTTGTGGTTTTATCTACTTTTGGTCTTTGATGATGGTGATGTACAGATGGGTTTTTGCTGTGGATGTCCTTTCTGTTTGTTAGTTTTCCTTCTAACAGACAGGACCCTCAGCTGCAGGTCTGTTGGAGTTTGCTAGAGGTCCACTCCAGACCCTGTTTGCCTGGGTATCAGCAGCGGTGTTTGCAGAACAGTGGTTTCTCGTGAACCGCGAATGCTGCTGTCTGATCGTTCCTCTGGAAATTTTGTCTCAGTGGAGTACCCGGCCGCATGAAGTGTCAGTCTGCCCCTGCTGGGGGGTGCCTCCCAGTTAGGCTGCTCAGGGGTCAGGGGTCAGGGACCCACTTAAGGAGGCAGTCTGCCTGTTCTCAGATCTCCAGCTGCGTGCTGGGAGAACCACTGCTCTCTTCAAAGCTGTCAGACAGGGACATTTAAGTCTGCAGAGGTTACTGCTGTCTTTTTGTTTGTGCCCTGCCCCCAGAGTTGGAGCCTACAGAGGCAGGCAGGCCTCCTTGAGCTGTGGTGGGCTCCACCCAGTTCGAGCTTCCCGGCTGCTTTGTTTACCTAAGCAAGCCTGGGCAATGGCAGGCTCCCATCCCCCAGCCTCGCTGCCGCCTTGCAGTTTGATCTCAGACTGCTGTGCTAGCAATCAGCGAGACTCCGTGGGCGTAGGACCGTCTGAGCCATGTGTGGGATATAATCTCCTGGTGCGCCGTTTTTTAAGCCCGTCGGAAAAGCACAGTATTAGGGTGGGAGTGACCCAATTTTCCAGGTGCCATCTGTCACCCCTTTCTTTGACTAGGAAAGGGAACTCCCTGACCCCTTGCACTTCCCAAGTGAGGCAGTGCCTCGCCCTGCTTCGGCTCGCGCACGGTGCGCACACCCACTGTCCTGCGCCCACTGTCTGGCACTCCCTAGTGAGATGAACCGGGTACCTCAGATGGAAATGCAGAAATCACCCATCTTCTGCGTCGCTCACGCTGGGAGCTGTAGACTGGAGCTGTTCCTATTCGGCCATCTTGGCTCCTCCCCCCAGTTTCATTTCTTAGAGTGAAGAGTGTAAGGAATGCATTCAATTTTATCATTTTAAATTTTTTTAAATTTATTTTTATTTTATTTTATTTATTTATTTTGAGACGGGGTCTTTCTTGTCACCGAGGCTGGAGTGCAGTGGCACAATCTTGGCTCACTGCAACCTCCACCTCCCAGGTTCAAGCGATCCTCCTGCCTCAGCCCGCTTAGTAGCTGGGACCACAGGTGCGAGCCACCAGGCCCAGCTAATTTTTGTATTTTTTTGTAGCAATGGGGTTTCACCACGTGGCCCAGACCGGTCTTGAACTCCTGGACTCAAGCGATCTGCCTGCCTAGGCCTTCCAAAGTGCTAGAATTACAGGCATGAGCCACCGTGCCCAGCTTTATTGTGGTTTTGGTTTGCATTTCCTGGCTTTCTAGTGGTGTTGAACGTTGTTCTATCTGCTTATTGGCTACTTACATACCTTCTCTGTAGAGATATCTTTTCAAATTCTTTGCTCATTTTTAAATTAGGTAATTTGATTTTTTTGTTGCTGTGGAGTGGTGATTTATTTATATATTCTGGATATGAACCCCTTATTTGATATAAGATTTGCAAATGTTTTCTCCCATTTCATAGGTTGGCTTTCCACACTATTGACTGTTTTCTTTGCCTGACAGACGTTTTTAAGTTTGATGTAGTCCCATTTATCTGCTTTTCTTTTTGCGGCCTCTGCTTTTGGTGTCATATCCAAGATATCATTACCAAATTCAATGTCATGGAACTTTCCCCTATGCTATCTTTTAGGAGTTTCATAGTGTCAGGTCTGAAGGTTTAAGTCTTTAGGTAGTAGTTAGTATTAATATCATTAGCATTATTATTACTACTTCTGCCACCCAGAAATGCCTCCTGCCATTGATGCAGAAAATTAAGAGCTTACTGCAGTACATTTTAATGTAATAAATAGTAACTGTGTTCACTCACATAAATCTCTCTAATATCTCAGTAGAAGGAATATGAAATAAATAGAAAGACGTGATCCTTTCTCTTAACTAAAGCCTAATCCACGAGATAAAATATTAGTCTTGTGTATTCTCAATGCCACCTCTTTGCTCCCTTGTAGCCTCTGCTCTTACTGGGGTGCAATCATTGTTTCCATTTGCAGTTGTCATTAATACTTTGCTTGTTTCCAACTGGACTTCCTGCATCACCATGTGTGCAAAATACAAGAGAGAGTTGCCACCACATCTCTAGCAATTAAGGGGGAATTTCCCTCAGGCATTCAAGCAAAATGAAAGGGCTCTGGAGAAGACACACACGTTGCAAATGTTGCTAATGCTGTGGTCAACCCTTGCCTTTAGGAAGAGTTACTAACAACAGAGAAGGGTCATCAGCCCCCGCTCAGTGAGTGCAGTCTACAACTTGCCATTGGCAAGGAAAAACTCTTTCAGCTCTTTCAGCTCAGAGCCCCCACTGCCACCAAGCCAGCCCCAGGCACGTCCCCTCTGTTGATTTCTGGAGTCTGCCTGACCAGAGAGACCACAGCTCATGGAGGCCCTAGTTTGTGTGGTTGGAAACCCCAGCCTGTTTTTCCCTCCCATCTGAACTGCAGTTTTAGGCTCTCTCTTTTTCCCGCCCCCTTGACTGACTGGGGTTTTTCTACGTAGGAGGATGGAGACATTACTTATGTCCTAGACTAGAAACCATGCAGACCTGCATGAATCTGAATCAAGGGAGGAGGCAGCCTTCTGGTCTGGACCAACTCAATAAGCAAAGACTCAGGAAGCAGCATCCGGGGGGAAGAGTGCCTGAGCGAGACCGGGCCCCTGGGAGCCCACCTGTGGGGCTTCACAGGCGCATAAGTCTGCTGCTGTGCATATCTTCCCTAAGGGGGAGACCTGAGGAGGGTTGCAGCTGCTCAGAAGCTCTGAAGACACTTCCTCTAGGAATGAGTCTAAGTGCCGGGCATTCCTAAGAACTCGGTGGCCTCACAGGATGCTGTGTGGCCCCTGTACAGAGTTTGAATTTTAGGTGCCTAGTAACTCACTGGCCTCCCTCAGAAAACCTCCTTGAAGGAGGGGTTGTCTCTTTCCTATTGACCTAGCACAGTGTGTGCCACCAAAAAGGGGGCCTTAAGATAAGCAGTCCATTTATCTCTATCCTTTTACTTTCCTCCTCTTCAAATCCTGACTTACCAGTGTATCACCACTTCCCTGCTAGACCTTAAGCTCTAGGAAGGCAGGGCCTGCTTTGCTCACTGCTGCCCCGCAGCACCTAGAGAGAGCCTTAGAATCAAGATTTTGTTACACGAAAGAAGGAATGAATGGACAGATGTGTGACCCTGAACCTTTTAGAACCAGCTTGCTATTTCCTAGCTTGGTGGGGACACAAGAACCATTTATGATTCCTACTACCCCGATGTTAGCCTGACTCCACTCCCCCTCATCAATAAATACCCTCCTCCCCGGCCCCCTTGTCACCCTGACCACCTGGCTTCCTACCTGGAGTAGGAGTGTGGTATTCAGCCCTGTATTATTAGTCAAGGTTCTCCAGGGAAACAGGACCAATGGGATGTGAGTATATAAAGAGATACATTTATTTTAAGGAACTGGCTTGTGAAATTGTACAGGCTGTAAGTCTGAAATCTGGAGGGCAGGCCAGCGGCCTGGAGCTCCCAGGAAGGGTGGATGTTACGGCTAAGTGTAAGGCAATCTGAAAAAGCAGAATTCTCTCTTTCTCAGGGCACCTCAGTCTTTTTCCTTCCCACTGACTGGATGAGATCCCCTCACATTATGGAGGGACATCTGTTTTACTTGAAGTTTACTGCATTAAATGTTCATCTCATCCAAAATATACCTTCACAGCAACATCCTGATTGATGTTGGACTCAGTAGGTATTATGGCCTAGCCAAGCTGACACATAAACTTACCAACACATCCACCTTGGTGAGCCTCCAGCTAGTCCTGCCTGTAAAGTGCACTCCGCTTTTCACTATGCTGCACCCCAACGTGGGAAGAGCCAAGTGGGCCTGTCATTTTCCTCATTTTTACAAATTTCTTATAGAAACTCCATGAAAATCTGACTTTAGAATTTCTCTGGGGAACACAAACCACCTTTCCTTCAAAGTCCAATGACTGTTTTGTGCATGTTTTATCTTAAATATTTGCGGGAACACAAAGACACCCTCGCATGGTTTATATTAGCTTCTCAAAGGTATCAGTGGAAGTTATTTTGAACAAAGACATTGGGTATTCCATTTCCCTGGGCCCAGCTGGCCTCACCTACCTTCTCATTTCCTGCCTGTCTTCCAGCAGGTCAGGAAATAGAGAACACGCCATCCTGGGATGCTCCCGAGGCATGTTCACATCAGATACGCAGAAGGACTGCAAGGCCCGAAGGGATAATGGGCAGGCATATTCACTCCTTTAACTATTTCCTCAAATTGACGTGGTCACTGCGGAAAGCTTTCCATTGCTGGTGGTGGGTTTGCCGGACACAGAAGCTCATAACATATGTAAAGGAAAGATCAAATGAAACTAATGCAAAAAGTGCCTTGTGGCTTAATGGTTTGCAAAAGTCCCTCTTTACTTCCTTAATCATGGGCCATGGTACTTTTCATTCTTAGAACTGGTCTGTGACCCACTCTTTGCTCCAGGGTGTGTGACAGTTGCCTGAGCCTGTTTCCCAGCCTCACCCAGGGTCTCCCTCTCTATTTTAAGAGCTCACATTTTCTCACTCATGACCATTTTGAATGTTGACCCAGCTGCCCTCATAACCGTGGGCACTCTGTATGGAAAGCCCACATGGAGAGTTAGCCTCCAAATTTTGTTTTCATCCTTCCAACAAGCTTGGGCATAGATATTTCCTCCCCTCTTACAGGTAAGTAAACTGATTCTGAAAGTTTAGGTGCCTTGGCCACAGCTACCCTAGCAGGCAGGGCCAGGGCAAGATCAGGACTCAGGTTGGCTGATCCCAAAGCCCTCTGGCAGAAGTGGAGCGTGTCCTTCTAGTTCCTCTAACCCTCTCCTTCTCTGTGAGATGCCTGGTCTCAGGAGCTGGAACTCTCCAGCTTCTCCACTTCTGCCCAACATCACTTTATTTCAGAACAGATTAATAAAGTTATCCATCATGAGGTGTGAATAACTGAGGTTGATTATGTATTCCTTCTCCCCGGGGCAGTAGGGGAGCTTGGCAAAGTCTTTATTTCTGGCTGAGGCCCAAGGAATGACACTTCTCATCGCCCCAAAACGTTACAGTTCTGCATGAACCAGGGGGTTCATATCTAGTAATGAAATTTTGGGTAAAGTCATGTGGCTAGGGGAGGTTTTGTTTAATTTCTATTTGTGGGAGCACAAAAGAACCTTCCTTTATCCTCTAGGAGGCATCGCCCCGTAGCATGCTTTGCTCATGAACTCGCCTGAGAGCCATTCTCTGGGGGAGAAGCCACTCTGCAGCAGAGGTCAGGGACATATTCTCTTTGAATCTGAGTCAGGAATGCAGTCTCATTTATTTCTATGTGTCCACAGGGTCTAGCACATCAGAGAGGCTCAAGAAATCCTCGGTGAACTACTCTTGAGTTAATGAATAGGCTTATTTGTTTGTTCATCCAACACAAGGTTGTTGATTACCTCTGATATGTTGGCCCCTCTGCAATGTGCTGGGTACACAGGTGAAAAGATAGACATGATTCCTGCCCTGAAAAGATGGACACAAATCAGGGGATGCACAACAGTGTAAGTGTGACATAGGGCAGGTGACCCATCCCTGCCTGGGGCTCAAGGAAGACTGTGGCAGGGCTCAGTAGATGAAGGGCAAGCAAGGAACTGCAAGAAAAGAGAACATCATGCACAAAGGGCTGGAGGTAGTGGGAGCTGTATGTTTGAGATACTGCACATGTCTAGATACTGCAGATTCTGCATTGTGACCAGAGAATATCGCAAAGCAGGAGAAGTAAAAGAGGATCCTGGAGAGTTGGGCCAGATCCCAAAAGGTCTTGTCTACTAGTATTTTTCAAACTTGTCTTGACTGCAATCCAGGGTAAAAAATAATAATAATAATACATCTTACAATTACACCCAGGGCACACACCCAGGCATGAATCAACAGTCACAAACAACACTGGCCCTCATCATGCACAAACCACTCTACAGTATTTCTATTCTATTCTACTTTTTAAGTGCTGGTTATTGATTTTACAACCTTCTAATGACTCTGCATACACCTTTGTAAGTCATGGAAGGGAGTCTGGACTTTATCCCAAGGTTAGGAGGGAGCCGTTGATGGGTTTTAAACCGGGGAGTGATGTGGTTTAGCTTCCTTGGTGGCATGACACTGCAGAGGGTGGATTGTGGCCGCTGCAGAGGGTGGATTGTGGTGGATGTCAGGAGGGCCACCCTGGGGCCTGCTGGTTGCTGTGATCCAGTTGAGAGAGGAGCACACCCCAAACGCAAGCATTGATGGAAAAAAGTGGATCGATTTTTGAGATTCCTAAAACAGAGAATAGATGGTTGGCTGGAACCATGAGGTGAGAGGAGGGAGAAGTCAAGTGTAACTCCAGGATTCTGCTTTGGAAATTGCAAGGAAAATAGGCTGTCTGTTGAGATACAGAGCGTGGGGAGAGCCCCCTGTGAGGGTGAAGGTACTGAGTTCCATGTTGGGCAGATTGGGTATGAAATATCCAAGAGCCGATGTCCCATGGATTTTGGTACTCAAGAGAGGGAGCTGGGTTTGGTGTGTGGAATTGGGCTGAGCAGCATTCCAGAACTTAGAATAGAGGAGGTATCCTAGAGAGGGTATGTGAGAAAAGCAAGGACAGACTTGGGACACTCACAGTCCTTCTCCAGAGTGATCTTTGAATCCGAGTAAGAATCAAGTCATCATCTGCAATGCACTCCAGGCCTCGGATAATATTACTCAGAGGAGGTTAACACAGAACAGGCTTGTGTTTGACCTGATTGTTAAAGAGTGTCTCAAGAAACCTGACCTGAGCCTCCATTATGGCAAATAAACCTCTTCTCCTGGCTGAATATGGGGGAAGCCACATGCAAATTGCTAACCTGGGGGCTGGTTCACTCCTGTGGCTTGGCCATGTACTTCCAGTGTTTTCCATCTTGGCTGTTTTTGAACTGAATGTGTTCCTCATGCTGGAGAAAACATGTGTTTGATGTTATTAGAAACCTGAACAATTAAAATATGTTGGAAATTACTAGAAATTGGAGCAGCTGGTTTTGAAATATTCTAGCCCTAGGTTTCAATGAGTAAGTTGGCTTCCTTGATAAGCAGTAGTATTAAATTCCAGCCCCCAAATTTGGCAAAGGACTTGGCTGCTATCCAGGATGCGGCCTGAAATAGCAGGTTCTGTCTGTCTCCCTCTCTCTCCCTTCATCTCACTGTCTCTGTTTTCCATTCCTGCCCATCACATCCAAGTATCTTGAGTTAAAACAGAAATGGCATAAAGTAGAAACATATAGATAAAACGCTACTCGCTTTTTCAATTGGCCTTTTCCTTATTAGCAAAATATGTTAACTGCAGAAATCTTAGAACATATAAGTTAGCAATGGAAGAAAGTAAAATAATTCATCCATCTCGTAAACGTTTACTTAGTGGCCACTCTGCTCCAGAGACTTTTAAAGGTGCTGGAGACACAATAGTGAACAGAACCAACAGGAATCCCTGTCTATCATGCATGTTAGTAATAAGCGCTAAGAAGAGGACAGGGGCATGAAATAGCAGTGGGTTGGTTGTTAACATGGTCACTATGATGAACGGGGAAGGACGCACTGAAAGGTGACTTCTGAAATAAGACTTGCAGGCAGTGGGGGAAGGAGACATGTGGAGAGCTGGAGGAAGAATATTCTGGGCAGAGGGAAGGGCACATGCAATGGTCCTGAGGCTGGAACATGCCCCATATGTTGGAGGCGCAGCAAGGAAATCAGTGTGGAGGAGCAGAGTGGGGGGTGGGGGAAGGAGAGAATATGGGGGTCAGAGAGGAAAGGTGGAGCTGAGGGAAAGAGCATAGAAAGCTTTCTAGATTTGTAAGTAATAACTTTGGCTTTCCCTCCCATTTCCAAATGAGTTTGGGGCCAATGGAAAAACTGATGCACAAGAGTGACTTGATCTGATTTGCATCTGACCGGGAGCACCCTGGCTGCTGTGCTGATGAGGGACTTCAGGAGGGGGAGGTGAGAGGCAAGGAGATCAACGGGGTCAGCCCAAGACAACCATTGCACATGCACACTTACTTCCAATCTTGTTTTTAACACTCGCACACGTATAAATGGGTCAAGCTCTACAAGCTCTTCTTGAACCTTCATTTTGTACTTGTTTATTCATGAACATCTTTCCATGCCATTGAATATTTGCCTACAGTGTGGTTTCTGGTGCCTAAGACAATTTTGTTTTAGACATTATATGGCCAGGCAGAAGGATTAAAAATCTAGCCTGTACCTAGTGCTTACCATATTCTAGCCACCGCAGGGCTCTTCCCCATAACGCTGAGAAAGGGAATCTCAAGATGCCCATTTTCAGATGAGGGACCAAGGGTAAGGAACTGGCCCAGGTTCATAAAGACTCACAAAGAGCAGAGTTAACATTTATCCTAAGTGCTATATCACCTCTCCTCCTAACCAACTTGCTGTCATTGAATTTTGAATGAGTTTGCAACTTCTCTCTTTTATAGGCATAAAGCATCCCTGTAGCTAAATCTTTGTAAATGTCAATAATTGTTTTCCTAGAACCAATTCCTAGAATGGAATTTCTAAGTCAATTCATTTAAGGTGACAAAGAAATGATATTTGTTTTGTAAATTAAACAATTATGAACAAATTGTTTCAGATGCTTGGAGGAACCATATTTATTGAACACGATAACTGACAATTGATTTACAAGCAGTAATTACTATTGGTCTGATGGGATTTCTTTGAAATGTAACTTCCTATTTACATAGTTTCTCCTGAACAAGAACTTGACTGAGCATAAGCAGGCATTTCTCTAGCTCCGGCCCTTGGCTCCATGTGCCCCAAGACAGGTTGGTGGCTGTACTCTACAGCAGACACCCACACCAGATCCCACCCCTCAAAGATTCAGGCAGATGCCTCCTGAATAGCTATGCTGCACCATGACAGTACGCCAGGGCAGAGAGGCACTGTCACATTCTAGATGTCCCTCCGGCCCCCACCCCAGCCCAGGAATGAAAGGATGGAACAGTATTAGAGTTAGACCTTCAAGGACTGCCCCATAGCCACCCTGCCATCCTGGGCAGACGAGCTATGCAATCTCTAAGTAGAAATAACCCCTACCTCTGGGTTTGTGGTAAAAGTTAAAATTTGACAGTCTATTATGCTAATATTTGGCCTAGATGAGGCTCTCAGCAAACCGTGGCTAATACCATCATCAGCTTCATTCAGATTTACCATCATGTGTCCTCCCTCCTCTTATGCTTCCCTTCCCCCTCCCAGCCCTCTGCTACCAGAATATAAATATGTGCTAAGAGAAAAGAATGTGCTTATATGAGAGACTTAGAGTAGTCAAATTCATGGAAACAAAGTAGACTGGTGGTTACTAGGGGCTGGAGGAGGGCAGAATAGGGAATTCGAGTTTAATGGGTACAATTTCTGTTTTGCAAGATGAAAAAGCTCTGGAGATTGTTTGCGCACCAGTGTGGATGTACTTACTACTGGACTGTACACTTACAGGTGGGTAATGCACTAAATTTTATCTTATATGCCTTTTACCACAGTTTTTTTAAGTTAAAAAAAAACTTTTGTTCAGGAAATAATGTGCTTACACCACAATATTCTCATTAATCTTGGTGGGTCAAGGCAAGGGTACGCTTTATGCTTTCTGGTTATCATTTCCAAAGCTCCCGCACAGTGAGCTGGGCCCCTGCCCTTGTCTCAGACTCTCCTCTTCCACGTCCCTGCCCCATGCAGCCCATGGAAACCACAGCCGGGTGGCAGGGTGAACACATTCCTGGCAGGGTAAGATCTCTTTTAATGAAGTCTTGTTGTGTTTTTTTTGTTTGTTTGTTTTTTGTTTAATGTAAATGTAAATCCAAGTCTTCGATATCCCTGTGAAACAGGTATTATGACTTTAGAAAACACAAAACCTTCCCTTGACCCTCTGCGCCTAGCCAGCCTGCTGCATTTCTCCCACCCACACCCTCCACCTTTCAAAAATACTTTACTTTTTGACGTCTCCTCTTCCACCTCGGCTTACATCTCCCTGTTTTAAAATGCAGGTTTTATTATTATTCAGGTATGGTGAGGCTGACAGATCAGGGAATGACTGCCATTGAAAAGAGTTTATTGTTCACAGTTCCCAAAACAAGGGGGCATGCCACGCCACACAGGGCCACACGGGAGAGCACCAGGGCCAATCCGGGGAAGCGGGGAAGGGGCAAAACATGGCAGGAGCCTTCATTGTGGTTTCCTTGAGAAAGGCGAGGCAGGCCAAGGATAGGCTAGTTTGAATTTCTGTGAGCTCGGGCGCATACGCCCTAGGTTGTCTGGTATCTGCCCTGGAGTGATTGGGGCAGAGGATAGTGGCCGGGAGCGTGAGAGCCCTACAGCGGAGGTGCTTGGAGTGTGGGCGCTGGATTGTTTGGTTGGCAGATGAAAGGCACACCGGCCGGGCGCGGTGGCTCACGCCTGTAATCCCAGCACTTTGGGAGGACGAGGCGGGTGGATCACCTGAGGTCAGGAGTTGGAGACCAGCCTGGTCAACATGGTGAAATCCTGTCTTTACTCAAAATACAAAAAAAAAAAATAGCTGGGCGTGGTGGTGCGCGCCAGTAATCCCAGCTACTCGGAAGGCTGAGGAAGAAGAATCCTTGAGCCCGGGAGGCCGACGTTGCAGTGATCCAAGATTGTGCCATTACATTCCAGCCTGGGCAACAAGAGCGAAACTCCGTCTCAAAAACAAGAAAAAAAGAAAAAGAAAAAATAAAGAAAAAGAAAGGCACACCCATGGGTGCATCCTGTGTTTGCTATCGCTAAGAATTGGCTAGCCCTGGGAAGGGCACTCCTTCTAGGACCAGTAAAGCCTCAAATGTCAGAACATCAAGCTAAGATGCTCTCTCTAGCCCCTCCCCACTGCCCTGAATCTCCTCTCTCCGTAACTGCTAAGTCCGCTCTTTTCTTCCAAGGCTTCGCCCTTCACCGCATGATATCCTGTGTCACAGGTTCTCACCCCTGGCTGTCCAGAGGAATTGCTAGAAGGGATATAAAGATCCGAATGCCCTGGCCTCGCCTCCCACCAGTTATGCCACTCCAGGGAGAGGCACAAGCGCCAGGCAGCTTTAGGGTTCCTGATAATTCCAAAGTGCAGCTGACGCTGGATTTAACCCCCCTTTTCACTCCTCCTTAGGAAAAAATACCTCATTCCCAAAACCCTCCTCCTCCTCGTGCTGCTGTTTTCCCATCACTCAGGCTGTTGTTTCTCAGATGTGCTGCGTCCACACAGACTGAAAATAAGCTAAACAAAGGGAACTGTGGCAATGACGCAGCCCAGGGGTTCTCTGTCATGGGGCATTGCAGAATCACTCAGGTGGGTGCTGGGGGTGCATTTCCTAAGGCTCACCCCCAAAGTGCTATTCTGGTGGGAATCTGCTCTGCTGAGAAGCACCCAGTTTTTTCCACGTTTTCCCCATTCTGTGACGTGCTTTCTGCTTTCTTCCTTACTGAATCAAGTACCTACAAGAGATCAATGTTTTGCTAACAACTTTATAAAATAGAAAATATTGCACTGAGAAGATCATCATGTAAAATAGGTGAAGAAATGTTTATCAGTAGTTGTGAAGAATACAGAAGCTTGGGTCTCAAATGGGGCAACTATGTATTTCAAAACATATCCTGAAGACTGATCTAGTTCTAAAAGTTTATTTGCTCTTCTTTCCTTTCTCTTTTTTGCATTTCATAGTATTTTGGAATTTTGTAACAAGAAAATGAGGTGCATTAAAGTAGAAAAACTTAAAGGACAGTAAAGTACGATTGCTTTGCTTCAACTGAGAAGGGCTCTTTTGTGTACACAGTCAGCTTTCGGACCTCCCCCTGATCATCTGTGGCCAGTGGAGAAGAAAGGCCTGACCGGGAAATTGAAGGAGCCAGCAGGGTACCTCCACATGATGGAACTCTTGGAAACATTCGAAAAACCCCACTCCCATTCTCAAGATGAAAAATACACCAACCTGGCCCCGCGGTTTCCATACCTAGTGAGGACACACCGGGGAGGTGGTCAGGGGACTGCGGTGATTATCCACCTTCACACATACAGAGGAAATACGGCCTCAGATGCAGGCCATGTGCCCCTCTCCTTCTTGATGTAAATGTTTTTCATTATTCCTTTCAACTACAGTCACATCAGTCAGAATTAAAATAGCCTTCAAAAGTTTGGCTGTCGAATCTACCTCAAGTCATGGCTAGACTCCAAAGCCCATATTCATTTTATTATAATAAATTTTCTTGGCCAGGAGCAGTGGCTCACACCTGTAATCCCAGCAATTTGGGAGGCCAAGGCAGGCAGATCGCTTGAGCTCAGGCGTTCAAGACCAGCCTGGGCAACGTGACAAAACCTGCTCCTCTATAAAAAAAAAAAAAAAAAACACCCCACAAAAATTAGCTGGGTGTGGTGGCATGTGCCCTGTAGTCCCAGCTACTCAGGACACTGAGGTGCGAGGATTGCTTGAGCCCAGGAGGTGAGGTTGCAGTGAGCCCAGATTGCACCACTGCACTCCAGTCTGGGCAACAGAGCCAGATCCTGTCTCAACAAACAAACAAACCAATAAATATAAATATTCTGTAAAAAGTTGTAGGAAAAATATTGTTTCGTATTAATTTTTTCTAAGTTTTTTAATCTTTCAAGCAAACTAATGTACTGCCATTAACTCCTGAGGTTGTAAAAGAATGGACAGAGAGGAGGGGGAGAGAGACAGAGAGAAAGGCTGAAAGGAAAGAAGAACTTTTTTTAGGAAATGAAAACTAAAATATCACTTTTCTCTTAATTAAGAGTAATTTTCTCCAAATAGTAATATTCTAAGTCAGAGAGCTTTTATTATTATTATTATTATTATTATTTATTTTTTGAGATGGAGTCTTGCTCCATCGCCCAGGCTGGAGTAGAGTGGAGCGATCTCGGCTCACTGCAATCCCCGCCTCCTGGGTTCAAGCGATACTCCTGTTTCAGCCTCCTGAGTAGAGTAGCTGGGACTACAGGCACACGCCACCATGCCCGGCTAATTTTTGTATTTTTAGTAGAGACGGGGTTTCACCATATTGGTCAGGCTGGTCTTAAACTCCCGACCTCAGGTGATCCACTTGCCTCGGCCTCCTAAAGTGCTGGGATTATAGGCGTGAGCCACCACGCCCAGCCCAGGGAACTTTTAAATACCTTCTTCTGTATTATTATGAATTCTCTGTTGCCAAAATTAGGTTTGTTTTATCCATTTGGGCTCTTTTCAATTCATAGATTCAAGGGCACTGTTTTGTGTTATTTATTTCAAGGACAGCTTCAGAAACAGTTCTTTGAAAAGAGAAACAAACAATATATAATAAGTCCAGAAGGGTTTTTTTCCCAAATCAGTTTGCACAGTCAGTCACTGGGGGAGTTTTTGAATGGTCTTGGAGTTCTGGTTTGGGTAAAGATGATATCCGGACTTCAGCTGGTCCCTCCATGCTACCCCTGTCTAGAAGGGGCCTCTGGGGATGGGATCTGGGAGCAGAACAGACCAACTTGTTCTTATTGATATTTAAAACCTGCTGTGCTGAACCTAAATGGCCCTGCACTGGGTTGGGTATTGTCCCCACCAAAATTCACATCTACCAGGAACCTCAGAATATGACCTTATTTGGAAATAGGGTCTTTACAAATGTAACCAAGCTAAGATGAAGTCATACTGGATTAGGGTGCAACCTAAATGCAATGACTGGTGCCCTTACAAGAAAAGGAAAGGAGGGGCAGAGACACAGAAGAATGCCAGGTGAAGGCAGAGGCAGAGATGGGTGGGATGCGGCTACAAGCCGAGTGCCAGGGATTGCCAGGAGCCACCAGGAGCTGGCAAAGGCAAGAAAGGATGCTCCCCTAGAGCCTTCAGAGAGAGTGTGGCCCTGCCGACACCTTGGTTTTGAACTTTCACCCGCCAGAACTGTAAGAGAATAAATTTGTGTTGTTTTAGGCTCCTTAAGCTTGTGGTAATCTGTTATGGTAACCCTAGGTAGATTCCAGCCAAAGAGGCTAGCATTCATTGGGCCTCACTCAAGCCAGATCAGTAGATGCTACAAGATGAAGCAGCCCCCTCATGGCCTAATAGATTAATAATAGATTAATAACATCAAGTCTTTAGGGATGACAGAGCCTGGAATTGTGGGGAGGAGAAAGAGAGCAATGGGATGGAGGAAGAGGAAATAATATCTTAGTAACAATTTCAGTAATAATAACAGTCACTGTATTAAGCACTGTGCAGAGTGCATTATGTATTTCTTACACCAACCCTGGGTAATGAATATTATTGTCTATATTTTATATGTCAGGAAAATTAATTGAGAGGGCTAAAGGGCTTCCCTCCAGTCATGCAGGTTGTAAGAACCAACTCCGAAGCCCCAGTACTAACCATTCTGCAGTGCCTCCTCTCAGAGCACAGGTCTTCCTGGATTGGGGTTTCCAAAGGAGCCTTCCAATGTTAACCTTTTGAGCAGCAAACATTATCACAAGGGTGGCTTCTGGGTAACTTAGATAACCACTTAATTAGTAATGCATTAAGCATACCACTCTCTCTGGGATGTATCTGGATAGTCAAGAAGGATGGAGGGACTCCATGGCTAATATCCTCTTCCCTTTGCTAGCAAACATGCAAATATCACCCTCTCCCTCAGCCTAATGTGAGCACTTTCTATTTAAAATGATGGATACTTAAAAAGTGAGGGTGGAGTCCACTGATCTTTTACAAAAGAGCAAAGGCAATAATACAATGGAAACAAGACAAAGAGAGTCTTTTCAACAAATGGTGCTGGGACAACTGGACATCCATGTGCAAGAGAAATGAATCTAGACACAGACCTATGTCCTTCACAAAAATTAACTTAAAATAAATCACAGTGTAAAATGTAAAACTATAAAATTCCTAGAAGATATATGGAGATTGGAGATTTGTTTTAGATACAACACCAAAGGCATGATCTATGAAAGAAAGAATTGATAAGAGGGACTCCAGACTCCATTAAAATTAAAAATTTTTGCTCCACAAAGACATAATGAGGAGAATGAAAAGACAACCCACAGACTGGGAGAAAAATATTTGCAAAAGACATATCTGATAAAGGACTGTTATCCAAAATATGTAAAAAGCTCTTAAAATTCAACAATAAAAATGAAACATCTGATCAAAAACATGGGCAAAAGACATGGAAGAGGATAGACTAATGGCAAACAAACATATGAAAAGATGGTCCAAAAGCCTATGTCATTAGGGAATTGCAAATTAAAACAACAATGAGATACTACTAAACACCGATTAGAATGGCCAAACTCCAGAACATTGACGACGCCAAATGCTGAGATGGATGTAGAACAACAGAAACTCTCATTCATTATTGGTGGTAATGCAAAATGGTATAGCCACTTTGGAAGATAGTTTGGCAGTCTCTTACAAAGCTAAACATACTCTTATAGTATCCAGCAATCACACTCCTTGGTACTTACCCAAAGGAGTTGAAAACTTAGGTCCACACAAAATCTTGCATATGGAGGTTTATAGCAGCTTTGTTCATAATCCCCAAAACTTAGAAGCAACCATGATTTCTGTCTTAGTCTGTTCAGATTGCTGTAACAAAATACCACAGACTGGGTAGCTTATAAACAACAGAAATTTATTTCTTGCTCTTCTGGCAACTGGGAGGTTCAAGATCAAGGTGTCAGCGGATTCAGCATCTGGTGAGGGCCTTTTTCCCTGTTCATAGAATGGCACCTTCACTGTGTCTTTACATGAAGGAAGAGGCAAGGGATCCCTTTTGGGCCTCTTTGAAAAGGACACTAATCCCGTTCATGAGTCCTCTACCTCCTAGCCTAATCACTTCTCAAAGACTCTACCTCCTAATATCATTACCTTGGGCATCAGAATTTCAATGTATGAATTCTGGAGGGACACAAACATTCAAACCATAACACTACCCTTCAGTAGGTGAATGGATAAATAAATTGTGGTCCCTCTATAGACAATGGAATATTATTCAGTGATATCAAGCCATGAAAAGACATGGAGGAAACTTAAATGCGTATTACTAAGTGAAAGAAGCCAGTCTGAAAAGGCTACATACAATATGATTCCAACTACAGTCTTTTCCTCAATATCCATGGTGGATTGGTTCCAAAAATTCCTTCAGATACCAAAAATCTTTGGATGCTCAATTCTGTGACATAAAATGGCATAGTATTTGCATATAACCTAACCACATCCTCCCACATACTTTAAATCATCTCTAGGTTATTTATAATACCTAATATAATGTAAATGCTGTGTAAATAGTTGCTGTAGTGTATTGTTTAAGGAATAATGACAAGGAAAAAATACCCAAACATATTCAGTACAGAAGCAATTTTTTTCCCCAATATTTTCAATCTGAAGTTGGTTGAATCCACAGTTGTGGTGCTCAGAGCTACAGGGCTGACTGTATATGACATTCTGGATGAGGCAAATCTATGAAGACAGGAATAGATCAGTTAGGTGCCAAGGATTGAGGAGTAGGGAGGGATGAACAGGCAGAGCATGGGGGTGGTTAAAGACAGTAAAACTATTCTCTGTGACACTACAACCCTGGAAATTATACATTTGTCAAAACTCAAAGAACATACAACACGAAGAGTGAACCAAGGGTGATTATGATGTGTCAGTGCAGGTTCATGGCTGTAACAAATGGACCACTCTGGTGGGAGATGTTGATAATGGAAGAGGCTGTGTATATGTGGGGCAGTGGATGGATGGGAAATTTCTGTACTTTCTCTCCATCTTGCCGTGAACCTAAAGCTGCTCCAAAAACAATTATTAAAAAAAAAAAAGCAATGGGGTGGGAAGTAGAACTAACTAGGCACGTAGATCTCAGCGCAGGCAGGTTCATATGACACCCCCGCCAACTACCCAGCACAACCGTATAAGACACAATCTTTTATAGCTTCTCGTTTCATCAGGAGTCTGACACAATTCTTTTATTTATTTATTTATCTATTTATTTATTTATTTATTTATTTATTTATTTATTATTTTTTTCTCTCGCTGTGTTGCCCAGGCTGGTCTTCAACTCCTGGCCTTAAGCAATCCTCCCACCTCGGCCTCCCAAAGTGCTGGGATTACAGGTGTGAGCCATGGTGCCTGGCCCACAATTCTTAATTGTAGATGATAAATTCTCTTTGCATCACAAGGCAGCAGAGATCAGCCTCTTTCACTTCTCTGTGCTGTTACCATCCGCTGGCAGTCTCGAAGGTTGGGGCATTAAGAGGCCTCTGAGACCAGAGTCCTGGCCCCTTAACCGGGTATTTTAATCCAGTGAGTCTGCCATGGGGCCCCAGAATCTGCCCTCTCAATAAGCAGCCCGTGTCATCTCTATGCAGCTATCTGCAGATCACATCTGGAGAAAAGCAAATCAGATTATAAAGCTCTAAAAGGCAGAGCTCACCATTGACTCCCTCCTGCCTGCCCCATGGTAACACTACTCAGGAAATATTAACTGAACAAATTAATACATTAATTTCTTGTCCAGTGTCTTAGAAAGTTAGGAGGATTTTACATCCAAGTTTTTTTTTTTTTTTTTGACGTGACAGAAAAGGAAAATGGCATAGTGTGCTAAGTTTGCCGACCGTACTGGGGAAGGAAGGGTCTGGCACTCCTTGGGATTCTGGATATGTGCTTTCTGCCAGCTGGAGAGCTCTAACCTGCTGTTAGGGAAGAATGGCAAAAGTCCAGCTTGGAGAAATTTCAAAAGGATAACCCAGGTGACAAGCTTCAGCCTCACTATGCAATGCTGTGTGACCTCATGGGAGTAAAACAGCTCAGATAATGAGACCATGAAAAGTTGTACAAAGCATTAAACACCATACATTTAAAACATTTAAAGTTGACTTTATTATGAAGCAAAACATTCAGGAAGAACTCAGGACTCCACCCCAGGGGACCCACATATCTACAGTTGGTTCAGACAGCCCCCAAAAGCTGGCATGCTGTGTGCTTGGGACAGAACTTACCAACTGTCCCAATAAAGACCCTTCCCAGGCTGGGCATGGTGGCTCATGCCTGTAATCCCAGCACTTTGGGAGGCTGAGGCAGATGGATCACTTGAGGTCAGGAGTTCGAGACCAGCCTGGCCAACATGGCAGGAACCCCGTCTCTACTAAAAATACAAAAATTAGCTGGCCGTGGTGATGTGCGCCTGTAGTCCCAGCTACTCAGAAGGCTGAGACACAAGAATCCCTTGAACTTGAGAGGCAGAGGTGGCGGTGAGCCGAGATCACACCACTGCATTCCAGCCTGGGTGACAGAGCGAGACTTTGTCCTCCCCACCCCCACCCCAAAAACAACCACCACAAAAAGCACAAGACCCTTCCCTACCCCTGTCTAGTGTTTTGTGATATGCAGCGTGCTTTTCTACGTATTGAATCTTCACAACAACCCTGTGAGGTAGGTACCCTCATATCATTTTACAAAAGAAGAAACTGAACAGTTGGGAATTTTTCCCAGGCTATAAGGCAGAACCAGGACTATAATTTCGATCTTCTGAGTCCGAGCCTTGACTAGGACTTTATTACGGAGGGCCTCTTTCCTCCTGTATCTCATTGGTTCATCATGCCTTTATCTTGGTTGGTACTTTGGTGGCTTTACATGGGCAAATAAGTTTAGCTTGTCCCACCTCCTGCCCCACTAATACTTCCTAATTCAGATCATGGATATTAACATGGGACAGGGCACAAGGGCTCAGTGATTTAAATGTTGTTCTAACCTTGCTCCTCCACATGTCATGGGCCTGGGTAGGAAGGGCAGAGGTGCTGCTAGAGTTACCCGGCTGTCAATTAGACTTATCAAGTTATGGCTGGAGGTGAGGCTGTGGCTCACTCCTTCAATCCCAGCAATTTGGGAGGCCAAGGCAGGCGGATCACCTGAGATCAGGAGTTGAAGACCAGCCTGGCCAACATGGTGAAACCCAGTCTCTACTAAAAATACAAAAAGTAGCCAGGCTTGGTGGCGGGCACCTGTAATCCCAGCTACTCAGGAGGCTAAGGCACAAGAATCGCTTGAACCCGCGAGGTGGAGGTTGCAGTGAGCCTACATCTCGCCACTGCACTTGAGCCTAGGCAACAGAGCTAGACTCTGTCCCCAAAAAAACAAACAAACAAAAAAAAAACCGGAATTGTCAAGTTCTTGGGTTACATTAAGAACACTTTTTTCAAAAATAAATTGGAGCAATTATAAAAAGTACAATCAGCTGACCACAAACAGACATGAAGGATCTTTTTGGAGGTGATGAAAATGTCCTCAAAGCAGATTGTGGTGATAGTTGTGCAACATTTTAAATTGGCTAAAAATCATTTAATTGTCCACGTGCAGTGGGCAAATGTCATGATACATAAACTAGATCTCAATGAAGCTGTTAAAAACATTCAAATATCGGCCAGGTGCAGTGGCTCCCGCCTGTAATCTCAGCACTTTGGGAGGCTGAGCCAGGCGGATCCCCTGAGGTAAGGAGTTCGAGACCAGCCTGGCCAACATGGTGAAACCCCATCCCTACTAACAGGACAAAAATTAGCCGGGCGTGGTGGCAGGCTCCTGTAATCCCAGCTACTCATGAGGCTGAAGCAGCAGAATAGCTTGAACCTGGGAGGTGAAGGTTGCAGTGAGCCGAGATCACACTACTGCACTCCAGCCTGGGTGACAAGAGCGAGATTCCGTCTCAAAAAAAAAAAAAGAAAAAATTCAAATATCAAAAATAATTTTACTAGAGTAAGTAAGCTGTGTCTGTTTTCTTTACATTACAAATGAAAAAGTATATTTTTTACCAGGCTTAGGGATTTTGTTTGTTTGTTTAGAATTAGGGCATAAAATGTCAGAAAAAAATGCGCAAATAAGTTTAAAATTAGTTTTTGAGAAAGTCAGGTGAAAATGTAGTAGAGGGCCCTGCAGATGTAATTTTGGAGAAGGAAACAGGTTTTATAAAGCAGCCCTGTGAAATCTGATGTGTCAGTACTGGGTTTTTCTCCTGTGTAAGCCGCACCTGTCCCGGGAGCCCCTGGGTATAGGCTACTTGAGATGTCACATGCTCTACCTGGAGAAACACAAATTGGCAGGTATTATTTTTTAGCATCTTGAAAAAGTGCTAATTGTCTCAGATTCTGTTAAAATATAAAGCTCCATTTTTAAACAAGTGCCATATGCTTTGTGCCTCTAGCAAAATCTTCCTACATGGTTTGGGGACTTTTAAAATCCTACCTTAGATGTAACACCTCTAAATTAGTTAAGAAAGGAAGTGAATAAGTTGGCTTTTAATAGTAAAATGCACAAACAACATTCTCGAGGATTAATTTGGAAGCTGGTGACCCTAAGTGAATTATACGCTTTGGCCTCCTCTAAAGCAGTGGTCCCCCACCTTTTGGCACCAGGGATCCGTTTGTTGGGAGGCAATTTTTCCACAGGACCAGGAGCGGATGGTTTTGGGATGAAACTGTTCCATCTCAGCAGATCATCAGGCATTAGATCATCGGGCATTAGATTCACATAAGGAGTGCGCAACCTAGATCCCTCACGTGCACAATTCACAATAGGGTTCCACTCCTATGAGAATCGAATAATGCTGCTGATCTGGCCAGAGGCGGTGCTCAGGTGGTAATGTGAGCGACGCGGAGCAACTGTAAATACAGATGAAGCTTCGCTCGCCCTCCACTCACCTCCTCCTGTGTGGCCTGGTTCCTAACAGGCCAGGGAAAGGTACTGGTCTGTGGTCCCAGGATTTAAGAACCCCTGCTCTAAAGAAAGGTGGTAGCACAAAGATACTTAAAAAATGAGTATTTTATGGCCATCCTGTGGGTTATTTTGGACTTTTCAGAAGTTCTTAAATAATCAGTTGTTCTTTCTCATAACCAGAGCAAGCATAGGCAGTCAGTCTGAGCCATAATCTATCTGAATCTGTAGAAATAAATTTGTCCACACTATGAAACCCTCACGTACACTGAGTGGGTACCACTAACATGGGGCTTGCCCAGGACAGAGGGAAGGAGGGAAGAGTCAAAGAGTAAAAGAGAAGATATGACTCGATTTTCCATTCTTCCATTTGTATCTGCTTAAGCAAATCATCTCATTGCATTGATTGAGTTTCCTCATCTGTAAATGGGAATAGTCACGTATCATCCCAGTGGCTGTGAGAAAGAAGTAAAAGCACATTTTAGATGCACTTTGTATATTTAAAGTCTTATTCTAATACTACCTATCACTGTTTCTTTGGTCAGAGCAACATTTCAGTCATCATTAGATTGGGGATATGTAAAGGCCTGAAATCTTCAAGCTGGACTCTAAGATTAGAGTCTCCCAGCCACCAGCTGGTATGCAAGGCTCTGGAGCTATGAATGGGTTGCTGGGGTGTCTGAGGCAGTAACCTCTTAGCCCTGCCAGCAGCAGCACAGGCCTGCGGTCGGTCTCTCTAGTGTGCCCTACAAATAACATTTTCTATACGAGTCTTGACTTTAGAAGGGTGGGGAAGCACCAAGGATTGAACAAAGAGATGAGACAGTGTCTGAATCCTCACAGCCACCCTGCATCTCCCATGGATCTGGCGTTAAATCCTACACTCTTGACAGCCAGCAGATTTTACATTTGAGGAGACAAATAGATCTCATCCACATTTGCTTGAGAAGCATCTGCAAAAGCTCCCGCATCAGATGCACACACGGTCCTACAGGCCCAAGGGCATCCTGTGTCCTGAGTGCCTGCCAAGACACCCGTAGCCCTGTGACAGTCCCACACACACGCCCTGCACCCACGGCCTTCACATCTTACCTTTCCTGCTGAAAGACATCCTTCCTGTGGCTCCCAATGCTGACTCATTCCTGATATAAAAGTCTGATAGGAACTGCTAGTTACATCATTATCTGAGTGGCCTCTCTCTGCATAGCCTAGGGGTTAAGGCATGGGCCCTGGAGTCAGACTGTCTGATTCTAATGCAGGGCCCTACTACTATACTTTCTAGGTAAATAACTGTGCATCCAGTTCTTCATCTGTAAAGAGGAGTCAATGTGAGGGTTAATTGAGAGAAACCATGTCAGTAGTTCCTACAACTGAGAACGTTTACCCTGGATGACTTATTAAAATGCAGTTTGCGCCCCCTGGCGTCCCAGGGTTTCTAATTCAGTGGGTCTGGAGTGGCCCTGAGAATTTTCCTTTCTCAAGTTCCTAGGCGATGCGGATGCCGAAGACGCAGGGGCCGAGCTTCCTGACCACTGAGCTATGTAAGGGGCTTAGCCTGGCATGCTATCAGCACACGAGAAATGTTAGCCATTACTAAGAAGAATAGGCAATGAAGATTTGCCTCATTAAAAGACTTCCCAGTTGTGTTCTACTTGAAAATTTCTCCCCAAGAATCTTGTTCAAGTCGAGGAATAAAAAATCTGGTTCCTTTCAGCTCACTTTTCTTTGAAGTTAAGACACGTGGCACGACACCTGTTTCTAAACACAGCTACTTGATGTATTACTTTTGGCAGCTCTTGCATATTTTTTCATCGCCAATAAAGTTATTGAAATTGAAATATACCATCTGTTTGAGAGTTTGTATCAAAAAGACAGGTGACAAGGTTGCAGGTAATGACAGAGTCAAGCTGTTCCCACAGCAAAGGGCTGTTCCTAGCTTCCCCGTCTGCCAAAATTGACTTCATTTCTTAGATTTGACATTTTTGAACCAATATGTTCTTCTGGAGCAGGGATTAAAAATCCAATATCACAAAACCAATTGGTTTTACCTGCAGCAATATTAAAGACTATGGAGAAAGAGCCCAACAAATTTCCCACCATTTGGCTGAAATAGAACCAGCAGAGAGAAAGCAAATTCTATCAGATGTACATATATATGTAAATGCATATATATATATATAATTCAAAATCTGATAATTAAAATGTAGATGTACCTGTGTGTAGTGTGTACCTGACTTTTTTCTTAATGTTTGTGAAAAACAGTTCCAAAAGAACTGCGCCTACTCCCACTGCGCATATGAGCGCTTCCTTCGCGGATCAGGGGTTGGCAGCCTTACACCAGGAACGCACCTGGGCGCAGCCTCGATCCCACAGGGTCCAGGTGCAGAGGCACCGGGATGCACGCAACACCTTTCGACGCAGAGCTGGGGAAGGGGCCAATAGGAATGGATGCTCCGACAGACGAAGCCACGTGGGAACAAGGACGAGCCCAGGGCAGCTTTTGCTGGAGGTACAGGGGCAGTGTCACAGGGGGCAAGTGGAGTTGCTGGGGAGGATACGATAGCATGTGGGATTTGAAGGTGGGGAAGATTCCGTTATTTTCCTGAACACCTAACAGTGATGCTGCAGGCTTTCTGGACGGGACGGGACCTCAGACACAATAATCCATTCCGCCGTCGCCACGCAGTGCCTTTCGACCATTCAGTTTCAGCGCTGGGAGGAAGGAGAGGCGTGCGCTCTTGCTGAAGGTCGCGCGGGGCTCACCGACCGGTTGCCAGGAAGTCTACCTCCTCCACGTGGCAATCGCCGCTGCTGCTCGGCTCCCTGCCACGGGGCTGCCCCGACTGTGCCTCCGCAGGTCTCTCTGGTTCTGCCCGCCTTTGTCCCCTCGCAAGGCATTATCCCTCCCCGCTTCAATCAGGGTCCGGCGGATCGTCTTCACGCCTGATCTTGAGGATGGGAAAGGGAGACAGGATCGTCTTCACGCCTGATCTTGAGGATGGGAAAGGGAGACAGGCATTTCTTACCTTCTCCTTCCTGACCACTTAAAGCCAAACATATTCCCAGCCGAAGATGAGAGTTGCTACCTGAAACGCCAAGTTTGCGAGCAGAAGGCCACTCGAATCCCCGCTTGACCAGGCCTTAGGAGGACGGTAGAGTCCTGGAGAGCTGCCCTGGCGCCGCTGCAGGGACCTCCGCTGTGTCCCCCAGTCCCTCAAAGCTCTCCTGGGCCGCATTTTCCCCTCTCATGTCTGTCTCACGAGGCCACTCACAGCCTGGCCTCCTCTCCCCAAGAAAACCTGGCAGGATCTCCCTACTGCACTGGAAACAAAAGCCTGGACGGGAGGTGTATGTGGACCAGGAAGTGCCAGCTTAAATGGAAGGAAACGGAGGGAACACAGCTCAAAAGCGTAGCCAAGTGGTGCTTTGCTATACTATGTTATCTCTTTTTGCATGTTTGAAATTTAACATAATAAAAAGACTTTTAAAGTTGGCAAAAGAAAAAGGGGAAGAGAACAAAGAAAGATAAAAGAAAGAAATGAGAGAGAAAAAGAAGGAAGGAAAAAAGAGAGAAGTAAGGAAGGAAAAAAGGAAGGAAGGAAGGAAGGAAGGGAGGGAGGCAGGAATGGAGGGAGGGAGGCAGGAAGGGAGGGAGGGAGGGAGGAAGAAAGGCTTTGGCAGGCCAGACACTGATACTTCCTAGCCTCCCGAGGCTGCCCCAGCGCGCCCCCTGGTGGTCGCACATAGAGTTGTCCTATTTGGAGAGCAAAGACAAAGGTTCTTTCCCTCATCCTCACTAAGTTCTTTTTTTTTTTTTTTTTTTTTTTTTTTTTTTTTTTTTGAGACGGAGTCTCGCTCCGTCGCCCAGGCTGGAGTGCGGTGGCGCGATCTCGGCTCACTGCAAGCTCCGCCTCCCAGGTTCACGCCATTCTCCTGCCTCAGCCTCCCGAGTAGCTGGGACTACAGGCGCCGGCCACCACGGCTGGCTAATTTTTTGTATTTTTAGTACAGGCGGGGTTTCACCATGTTAGCCAGGATGGTCTCGATCTCCTGACCTCGTGATCCGCCTGCCTCGGCCTCCCAACATGTTGGGATTACAGGCGTGAGCCACCGCGCCCCGCTGAAGGTCAGTTTTTAGAAGCCCATTCTTTATCTACTGGGAAAGGAGAACAGAGTGGGATTTTGTTTGAAATTTGTCTGTACCTCAACTGGTGTAGCTTGGGGGTGGGAGGATGGTTTTTCTTTTCCCTATGCTTGTCAGTGTCACAGACGTGAAGTCATCCTCCCCAAGCCACCGTCCTCACCACAGAACCATCTTTCTGTTGGAGTCTCAGCTTCCAGTCTCGGCTCCACTGGTCACTACTTTGCTGAACTGGGGCTTGTCGTGACTGTATCTGAGCTTCCCTTTCATAATTTCCCTGCCTTCTTGCCAGGCGTGAGGATGCAGAGGGAAGGCTTTAGAAAACCTTGCAGTAAACACAATGCATGGGTGGCCTCGTGTCCGCTTTGCTGAAAGCGCCTTCTATCTTTTGCGTGGACACAGCTCACTGAAGCCTCTGCCAGAGCACAGCTAGCCACACCATGGCACACAGCAGCACACAGCCTGGTCACACTTTCCTTAGTTGATTAATCACACTTCAGTCAGAGATGAAGATTTACCTCCTGACACTTGCACAGCCTCCCAGTTCCAGGGTGAGATCATTTGGAAAGGAACTAAAACAAATACCTTGAAACGGTTCAGTTCCCAGCTCGCTTCTTTCACAGCTTTAAATTCATATTGTGGCACCCATTTCTCATCGTGAAAGTCGCTGGAGACGGTGAGTGCTGTTACTCCAAGAACACCAGCAGAATATTTCTTGTTCACTTGTTACCTTTTACTTAGATCTTAGTGCCCTAGTCCCTTGTAATAAAAGCACTGTTGATTCAGATATTAACAACAGGACTGTGACCAAAATGCTAAATTAAAATACCTAAGACAGGTTGTTGTCCAGAAGCCAAAAGAATTTTAATCAGATTCAACCACAAGACATATACATTAAAAAAAATACCTTGCACTATTTGTTCCTTTAATTAAGCATGAAATCACTCTCTGTAACTATCATTGTGGGGAAAATCTAAGTTTATAGCATGGAGAGGAATGCAGATGAAGGATTCACTATCGGCTAAGATTGACAGGCACATGGATGCACGATACTGTGTTTTTTCTCAGTGGTCCTTTATTCTGTGCTCCAAGAGGAGCTTAATCCATTAGGGCTTCCTACATGCATGTCATGGTTCCTGCCATGAACAAATTTGCAGTTTAATCCAAGAGACAGAAACCCCTAAACTTGAAACAGTGAGGGAGATGGAGTTAATTTATTAATGCCCTTCTTTTACCAGACATTGCACATTATATTTACCAACTCTGGAGGTAAATATGTAATTACCTCCATTTCACAGATCAGAAAATTGAGATGAAGAAGGGTCATAATTTTGGTCTGAATGAGAGATAATTCCCACTTATAAATTAACACACCAGGTTTCTGATTTTTATAGCTCAGAAAAAGTTTGGATACTGGTGCCCACCACTGAGAGATGAACCCATTCTGGGTGTGTTTGGGAAGGAAGACCAAGGATTGGTTGGGTCTAAACTGAAGTATAGCATCACCAAGACACTGCCACTCCCAGGTCCTCTAAGCCTGCTCTGAGGCCTCCTGGCTTCTTACATTGCCCACATTCCTCTCAGTGTGAGTTATCTGTAACAATGACCACAAGGAATTTAGAAAAGAGAAATTTCTTACAAGAAGAGGTGCATCCAACAGCCAGATGTCCAGGGTGGATAAATGGCGCAGGCTGGATTTCCCCCAGCCCAGGCGATGTGACTTCAGACCTGAGCTACTGAACACACTCTTGCCACATCAGTGAGACAAAATTAAAATTATATTTATCTTTTTGAAAGTGAAAGCAAGTTTATCAAGAATGTAAGGAATAAAAGCTCATTTCATTTACTTTTTTTTTAAGAGACAGGGTCTCACTCTGTTACCCAGGCTGGAGTACAGTGACACCTTCTTAGCTCACGACAGCCTCGAACTTCTGTGCTTGAGCAATCCTCCTGCCTCGGCCTCCTGAGTAGCAGGGACTATAGATGGAAGCCTGGCTCATTTTTTTGTGTGTGTAGAGATGGGATCTCTCTATGTTGCCCAGGCAGGTCTTGAACTCCTGGCCTCAAGCAATCCTCCTGTCTCTGCCTCTCAAAGTGCTGGGATTATAGGCATGAGCCACTGCACCCAGCTAACATTGTATTTTAAAAGGCCTTACCTTTGGGGAAAGTTCCCTTCTCCCAGTCTGTGCTTCCAGAAGTAATAGTATAGCAGCCCCACAGTTATCCAAGATGTTACCATTAGGGAAAACTGGGTGAAGGACACACAGAATTTCACCATAGTATTTATTATTATAACTCCATGTGAATTTACACTTATCCATGTGAATTTACACTTATCAAATAAAGTTAAACAAACAGACTTACAATTTCTTTTAAAAAATTAAAACTTAAAAATGTATACTTAAAATTTGCTAAGAGGGCAGATCTTAGGTGAAGTATTCTTACCACCAAAACAAAATGATAATACTAGAAAAATGGCAGGAGAGAGCTTTGGCAGGGGGAGTGGGATATGTTTTTGGCCTTGGTGGTGATGGGTTTCTGGTATATTGAGATGTAAATTTGTACAGCTTTTGACATGTCAGTCATTCCTCGATGAAGTGGGGTTTTTTAAAGCTAAACAAATATTATAGCAGCAGCATCAACTATCACTTATTCATCTACTCAACAAGCATCCAAGTGTCCTCAACAAGGACACTTACTGCATGCCAGCCACTGTTGTCAGTACTGGGAGATAGCAGAGAATGAAACAAGCAAAACCTTTCTCTTGTGGAGCAGGATTCTAACGTTAGTTGGCTAGACCAAGGCTTCATTCCGACAGGTTGCTGAAAACTCAAGTTATTACATAAACACTAACTACAAAGTGTACTTCCTCAGTTTCCTCAGAAGATAGCTGATTAGGTTTTTCTGGGCTGCTTGACAAGACTCAGACAGTATTTGTGAATATCAAGCTTTGTCCCACGTGGTAAATAAACTTGTTTAGAAACACCTGTAAAGCTTAAACGCGTGCTTTCTTCAACGCGTTTGGAAACTCTAACCCCCTTCTCTTTTGTACTTTTGCTTGCTGTCCACTACAGAGGGTCCAAGCACGAAGCTGTGCACAGAGTCGCTCTCCACAGAGATGCTTAGGATGTGATCCATGAATCGCAAATCCCAGCTAGTGCTCACAAAGACGGACATTTCTCCCCAAGACCATTCCAGTGCCCCAGAGGTCCACAGACATCCAGGAAGATGCAGCCAGCAGACAAAGAATGGCAGCCACCCAAGTGCTGAGGGGAGCCCTCCCGGCCATTTCTGTCCCAGCTCCAAGGGTCTCTCCACGATGGCCTGCAACAGCACGTCCCTTGAGGCTTACACATACCTGCTGCTGAACACCAGCAACGCCTCAGACTCGGGGTCCACCCAGTTGCCCGCACCCCTCAGGATCTCCTTGGCCATAGTGATGCTGCTGATGACCGTGGTGGGGTTCCTGGGCAACACTGTGGTCTGCATCATCGTGTACCAGAGGCCGGCTATGCGCTCGGCCATCAACCTGCTGCTGGCCACCCTGGCCTTCTCCGACATCATGCTGTCCCTCTGCTGCATGCCCTTCACCGCCGTCACCCTCATCACCGTGCGCTGGCACTTTGGGGACCACTTCTGCCGCCTCTCAGCCACGCTCTACTGGTTTTTTGTCCTGGAGGGCGTGGCCATCCTGCTCATCATCAGCGTGGACCGCTTCCTCATCATCGTCCAGCGCCAGGACAAGCTGAACCCGCGCAGGGCCAAGGTGATCATCGCGGTCTCCTGGGTGCTGTCCTTCTGCATCGCGGGGCCCTCGCTCACGGGCTGGACGCTGGTGGAGGTGCCGGCGCGGGCCCCACAGTGCGTGCTGGGCTACACGGAGCTCCCCGCTGACCGCGCCTACGTGGTCACCTTGGTGGTGGCCGTGTTCTTCGCGCCCTTTGGCGTCATGCTGTGCGCCTACATGTGCATCCTCAACACGGTCCGCAAGAACGCCGTGCGCGTGCACAACCAGTCGGACAGCCTGGACCTGCGGCAGCTCACCAGGGCGGGCCTGCGGCGCCTGCAGCGGCAGCAACAGGTCAGCGTGGACTTGAGCTTCAAGACCAAGGCCTTCACCACCATCCTGATCCTCTTCGTGGGCTTCTCCCTCTGCTGGCTGCCCCACTCCGTCTACAGCCTCCTGTCTGTGTTTAGCCAGCGCTTTTACTGCGGTTCCTCCTTCTACGCCACCAGCACCTGCGTCCTGTGGCTCAGTTACCTCAAGTCCGTCTTCAACCCCATCGTCTACTGCTGGAGAATCAAAAAATTCCGCGAGGCCTGCATAGAGTTGCTGCCCCAGACCTTCCAAATCCTCCCCAAAGTGCCTGAGCGGATCCGAAGGAGAATCCAGCCAAGCACAGTCTACGTGTGCAATGAAAACCAGTCTGCGGTTTAGGGGGTCAGGGGGCCACAGAGAAGGGGCAGCTGAGCCCCAGTCCCAGGGTGGATCTGTCCTGCTCTGTTCCCTGGCATGTTGGTCATAGTCTGCACTTTGTGGTGGCAATTTAAGCACAAAGGTACTCATTTGTAATCAGATGAGCTGCAGCTCCCAAATTTCAAATTTTGGCACGATGAATTATTTTTGTTTCTCTTTGCAGAGAGCCAAATATGGGGCTGATGGGAACTGCAACGTCATTAAGTCAAAAATGGAGTGGGCTGGGGAGTGCAGAAGTTGGGCAGAAAGGGAGGAGGAGGGCAACAGGGAATGAAGCTGGTTGAGTGTGGGGCAGGAGGACTGGTCAGTCACAAGAGCTTCAACCTGCCCTGCGAGCCCTCTCTGCACCTGCTCAAGAGAAACCCTGAGAAACCCCAGTAGGTGTGAGCTCCTGGGTGTTCATTCATTTTGTTTGACACCAGGGTTCTTCAGCTATTGATGTTTGTGGTGTGTGGGGACTCACATGAGGTTCTTTATGTTGATCAGATGTGCATTTCTTCCCATGCCTAAGTATCTTTTCTAGAAAGAAACCAAAATCACACGGGGAAGCAGAGTGAGCCTCTGTGCTTTGAGCTCCCTGCAATGACGCATGGGAGGCCTCAGAGGCTTGAAGCCCAGAGAAGGTCCTGGGCAGCCCAGCTGAAGTGAGAAGCACATCCGGGAACTCCTGCATGTCCCCAGCGCCCCCCACCTGCTGGGCCCACCCCGTCCCTGCACCCTGAGGCCACTAGGCCTCCCTGTCTGCTGGAGAGCCCCTTGGCCCTTCCCTCTTTCCTCCACCCCTCTCCCTGCCTCCCTTCGTTTTCCTCCCATCCATATCCAGTGTGCTATAGCTCACCCGCTGAGCAAGCATCTGTAGTGACCTGCTTTCAGTGTCAGCAGTGAGCAGGCTGGGCTTAGTTTACACATTTCCTTTGGACACCCTGGAGCTCCAGAGCCCTTCAACCCACCAAATCCACTTCAGCACTGGACCCGCTGCAGGTGCCACACCAACGAGCCCAATTCTCGGGGTCCCCACTGGTCTCTGTGTTCCTCCTACCTCATTCAGATCCACTGCTGCCATCCTGTTTACCTACTGGGACCAGATCCCAGAAGTGAAGTTGCCCAAAGGGGGCTTCTCTGCTTGTGCTCTATTCGGCCACCACCAGGGGTCCCCACACTGGCATATGAGGGTCCTGAGTCCAGGGCATAGCACTGAGCCCACTGAGCTCTCTTTATTGTTCCAGATCTGAAGAGGGTGGGAAATTTAAGGAGAGATTTAGAAAATCTGATTCCAGGTCTGACTCTATCAGGAACTAGTCATTTGACCTTGATCGTTTCTCATTTCTGTGGGCCTCAGTTTCCCCATATGCCAAATGAGGAAGCAGATCTAGATGATTTCCAATGTCCCCTTTCATCTCTCAAACACTCTGATTCTGAAATGTGTGTTTTCTGTCTGTAGTCATCAGATCCCCTGCATTCATTTATTCATCCATGCAAAGAGCATGCATTAAGTGCCTACTAGGTGTAAGGCACTGTGCGGGAGATAGTGATGAATGAGGCATCATAGGCCATGCCCAAAAGCAGTTGTCTGATTTATCTCAGGATCATGGTAACTCAAATTCAGCCTAAGAGCACAGAAGCCCCATTTTTGCTTCACTTCCCGTTTCTTTCTAAACTGCATTAAGAGCCAGCTCCTCCTTCTCATACTTTCTTCCCGCAGTAGTGGTAACATGGGCAGAGAAGAAAGGGGGGTGAAAGGGAAAACATCATTTCTCTTAACCCTCCTCTTCAGCCCAGAGGAGGGTTAAGAAGATAACTGACACTTGTTCCCCCTCACCTCCCTCCCTGTTTATACCCAGATGGAGAGAGAGGGAGAAGATGAGCAATTGATGTGTGACCGACGGAGGTGGGTTCCATCAATTCTGTGTCCCCAGGTCCCCCAGCAAGGTGGGGATTTGCCTTCAGCTCCATGGAGCAGGGCTCTAGGGCCTCAGTAGTGCCCAACAGCACAGCCAAGTCACCAAGGGGACCAAGCCCATGGGCACCTCCCCTCTGGTGGGCATTTCAGATAATTTTCTTCAGGAGCCTTGAACAAAAGGGAAATCACAACTGAATAAATGAAGGTACCAAAATTTACATCAATCAGTGTTATATGATGTATGTTGGACAGTAATATATATGTTTCAAAGTAATAATTTTGTATATATTTTAAATAAAGTATTATTGCTCTTTCGGTGTATAAGCCTAAGTTCTTGCCAAAATTTGCACCAAGACCATACATATTAAGCCCAGGATCCAATACCCAATACTCCTATATCAGTTTGTTCAGACTGCTGTAACAAAATGTGTTAGATTGGGTAATTTATAAACAACAGAAACTTATTTCTTCCAGTTCTGGATGCTGGGAAGTCCAGGATAAAGGTTTAGGTAGATTCAGTGTCTGGTGAGGGTTCCTGCTCTGCTTCTTAGGTGACGCCTTGTTGCTGTGTCCTCGCATGGCAGAAAGGGAAGGGGCACTCCCTCAAGCCTCTTTTCAGGGGCACCAATCTCATTCACCTCCCAAAGGCCCCATCTCTTAATACTATCACATTGAGTATTAGTTTCCAACACATGAGCTTTGGAGACACCAATATTCAGGCCATAGTGATGCCTGAATAAGACAAAAGACTTCAGGAAGTCTAGAGCCTGAAAGTTAGTAGCAAAGCTGGAAAGACTAAAGATAAGATGACAACTGGGAGACTGTTGCAATAACATGGGTCACAGCTGGGTGCCCAGGTGTTTTGTTTTGGTTTTATTAGGATGCTGCTAAATCACTCCAGCCAGTTAGTCTTCTCTGACTTGCAGTGTGCCACTTTCATAATCCTATCTGGCCTTACTTGAACCTTTAACGAACGTTGATTTCCTAAGATACCAAGATATCTGGTTCTGGTCTCCTTCCCTGAGACTCGCAGGATCAGCACTGCTTGATTGTTTTATTTTTTTGAGATGCAGTCTCACTCTGTCACCCAGGCTGGAGTGTAGTGGTGTGATCTTGGCTCATTGCAACCTCCGCCTCCTGGGTTCAAGCGATTCTTCTGCTTCAGCCTCCTGAGTAGCTGGGATTACAGGGCTGTGCCACCAAACCTGGCTAATTTTTGTATTTTTAGTAGAGATGGGGTTTCACCATATTGACCTCCTGACCTCAGGTGATTTGCCTGCCTCGGCCTCCCAAAGTGCTGGGATTACAGGTGTGAGCCACCGTGCCCAACCCATTGATTTATTATTATTATTATTATTTTGCATCTTCTCTCTAGTCCTATGGTTCACCCAAACCCTGGACTCTGTGTGAAGTCTGGGCAGCTTCACAGCTAAATTGTCTTTGTAGGGCCTTATGCAAGAGCTGGAAACTGGCTGACCATGATAATAACCCTGGAGGCAGACACGGGATCCTTGGGAGATTCTTGCCTTAAAAATGAGACACAAGGAAGTCTCAGAAGTGTCCTCCTATTTGTAACTACTCCTGCAAATCTGCCACCTTTTCATCTTGAATTGTAGTCCCCAAGGTCAGGGTGAAACAAAATCAAAGGTTCCCTAGGATGTTCTGATGACCAAGATGAGCAGCAAATACCTAGATCAATTCTTACTTTGCCATTCTGAGCCCTGGGTGTATTTTCCCTGCACACAAGTCATGGTGAGTGCTTTTTTTTTGGACTAAAAATACCTTCTGCGTTAAGTATTTTCAACACTGCTCAGCTCCCTTGTTCATGTAGTTGGGAACTTTGGTCCCAGAACCCTCACAGTTGCAGGAGTGCCCAGTGCTCAGTTTCTGCTCTTATGGAAACACAGGGGATGTGGAGTATGTGCTTGAAACAGGACAGTCTGAACCCCAGGGTACCTCGCTCTCTGTGGGTTTCTGGGCAAGTGACACGGCATTCCTGTATCCCACCTGCCTCATCTCTGAAATGGCAGAAATACTCCCAGCCAGAAGACCACGGTGAGGAATAAAAAATATCATACATGTAAAAGATCTAGTCCAAGGCTGAGTCCATGGTAGATGCTGAAGACACAGAGGCATTAGAGTTGCACTGTCAACCTGCTGATAGCCAAGGTTTGTTCTTTTTGGGCAAGGGTGGAAAGTTCTTTGAGAAAATGGCTATTTGGTCATTCTGGAAAAAAACAAAAAACAACAAAAAAGCAAGCAACTCTCTAGTGGAAAGCAGCTGGGTGTCCTGTAATTCAATTCAATACTGACACTACCTACCTGGAGTTAGAGTCAGATCCCACAGGTTGAGGGCTCGGTCCCACAAGACTACCACCCCCATTTCAGATGCCAACCACAAGTAGTTGGTCACCTGTGCTCCTGGCCCACAGGCTATAAATGGGAGTTTCTCACAACCCCTTTCTCAGGTTTGATTAATTTGCTGAAGTTGCTCATAGAACTCAGGGAAGAACTTTATTTATGTTTACCCATGTATTACTGTATTACTCTGTTCTCATGCTGCTAATAAAGACATACCCAAGACTGGGTAATTTATAAAGGAATGAGGTTTAATTGACTCACAGTTCCACATGTCTAGGGAGGCCTCACAATCACGGCGAAAGGCAAATGAGGAGTAAAGGCACGTCTTACATGGTGGCAGGCAAAGAGCTTGTGCAGGGGAACTCGACTTTATAAAACCATCAGATCTCATGAGACTTATTCACTACCATGAGAATAGTATGGGGGAAACCATCCCCATGATTCAATTATCTCCACCTGGCCCTACCCTTGACACGTGGGGATTATTACAATTCAAGGTGAGATTTGGGTGGGGACAAAGCCAAACCACATTAATTACAAAGCTATTACAAGGGATACAGGGCAAGGCATGTGGGAAGGGATGTGGAGCTTCCACGCCCTCTCCCAGATCACCACCAGGGACCTCCACACGTTCAGCTACTCAGAAGCCCATCTGAACCTAGACCTTTTCAGGTTTTATGGAGGATTTATTCCATAGGCATGACTGATTACATCACTGGCCATTGTTGATCAACTCAACCTTAGCCCCTCTCCCCTCTTCCTTCTCATGAGATTTTGGGGGTGGAGTGAAAGTCCCAACCCTCTAATCCTGCCACAGTCTTTGTAGTGATCAGCCCTCCTCCTGAAGCCACCTAGGGGTCCCCAGCCACCAGTCATCTCATTAGAATACAACAGACACTCTTACCACTCTGTAGATACTAAGGCCAGGAACCAGGGGCAGAGACCAAATATATAATATATTATATCACAATATCACAGACTCGTTCCTCATCCTCATGTGGTCTAGGATTTCAGGGTTGAGTTGACACTAACACCACATCCACAGAAGCCAGGAGCATGAGTTTGGCTTTAAAGAGCAAAATTCTACTTGCTGGCCTCAACTGCACCACTTCACTCCATTCAAAACTCTCCCTAGGTTGTAAGCTGACCTCACAGGGATGCACAGAGGGATGAGATGGATGTATGATGCAACCCATTCCCATGCCTAGAAAACACAGCCTCTGGTGCACATCACTGCTCTCAGGGCTGTTCTGAGGTCCCCAGGGCACTGTGGAGCCTGTCTGGGAATGCAGAGAGGCAAGAGGAGGGTGGAGGCAGATTGGGTAAAAGGCTGCTGTCACAAAGACAGCCAACACTAAGGGCCTGAAACAGACAAACTTTGTTTCCCTCCAATTAATAGCCCAGGCAGCCAGGTGGGTGCTCTGCTCTGTATGGTTGTTTAGGATGCAGTTGCCTTCCATCTAGTTTCCCACTGTCCCCGGGGCACTGTCCTTATCTTTATGGTCACTCTGGGCTGCAGCCACTTCCATGTTCCGGCTCATGAGGAGGGGGAAGAGGAGGGGGAGCATGTGCAATAAGACACCCCACACTCCACCCTGGTCTTCCACCACCAAGAGTGGAGGCTGCTGGCCACACCTAGCTGCAAAGGAGCCTGGGAAATGGAGTCCCTCATCGGGAGGCCGTCTGCCCAGCTGCAACCTACTGTGGAAGAAGATGGGAGCTGGGTGCAGTGGCTCACATCTATAAGGACAGCACTTTGGGAGTCCTAGGCAGGAGGATAGCTTAAGCCCAAGAGTTCAGTTAAAGATCAGCCTAAGCAACATAGTGCAGACCCTGTCTCTACAAAAAAATACAAAAATTAGCCAAACGTGGTGGTTCACACCTGCAGTCCCAGCTACTCAGGAGGCTGAGGCAGGAGGATTACTTGAGCCTAGGAGGTCAAGGCTGCAGTGAGCCATGATGGCGCCATTGCACTCCAGCCTGGGCAACAGAGAGAAACTCTATCAAAAAAAAAAAAAAAAAAAAAAAAGACGGGAAGGATTTGGTGGACACCTGGCAGTGTCTGCCAAAACATTACACAATTTTGAAAAAAACAGGAGATCCTAGCAACACATACAAACTACGAATTTCACAAAGAGCCTTTGTTTATTGTAAAGTAAGCATATCTCTAACACATCAGCCAAAGATGGTTGCCTCTTTCTTTATCCCAGCCCCCAACACACAGAGTTCTACGTCCAAATACAGAAAATACATGCATTTATGCATGCGGTAAGGAAAAAAAGGCACCACATTTAACCTTTCAGACACAAATGGTGGAAGACATAAAATAACTAGACTGAAAATCTGGAGCCACAAGGAGATGAACTTTGCCAGGATAAGAAAAAAAATTACTATTTAAAATAACAAACAGTCAACACTGATTACGATCAACTCTGCCCAAGAATTTGATTACATTAAAGGAAAGAAGGTAGTTTCAATGCTCTGGCTGTTGAAAGGTGGAGGCTGGTGGCCACGGCACAGAGGGAGCACCACAGAGTATGCGCGGGGTTCAGGCCAGGGCACCATAATTTAACTATTCCAGTGGACGGAGGGCTTGGGAACCCTCACTGGGAGGTCAGCATCTGGATTCTGTAAGAATAGAAGGATGTTTGCATGCAAAAGTATGGTGTGTGCATGTGTGTGCGTGCATGCACAGGTGTGTGCATTATTATGGGCTGGTGTCCAAGGTTACTTTAGCAGAGAGTTCCAATGTCCTTTCTGCTCTCTTGCCCCTTCATCTGGGAGGAGCAGGGAACAAGGTGTTCTAGGAATAGGAGAGGTGCCAGCGATTGCCATGGTCAAAGAGGGAACCAGTAGGAGCTGCAGCACAGACTTCTCTTAGTTAGTCTGATAAGAACGGAAAGAACTTATCTGTGTGAGAAACACTTAGATGAGACCAGAACTTTACCTTCTGCATCCACCAATCCGAGGGCACTGATATGCAAGTTCAGCCTCCTGGGTGTTCAGGTAAACTCCTGAAGATCCCCAAGGTCCAGTTAATGAGAACAAATTACTTGCCCTGGGTCTCTATGTTCCATCTCCGTTCTCTCTGCTGCTGCCTCTGGCATCTGCTGTCCCTCTGCCAGCTATTCCTGTCTAGGAAAAATAACCAAGTTCATTTTCGGAAGCATTTTTTAAAAGAAAGTCCTGCTGTTCTTTATTCATGGTCCTTTGGAGGAATATATTTCTCATTTCCTCCCTCATTAAAATACTGCTGCCGGGAAGGAAGGAAAGAAAATTGGAAAGGCTCCTCCTCTCCCTCTCCCTCCTCTCCCTCTCCCTCCTCTCCCTCTCCCTCCTCTCCCTCTCCCTCTCCCTCTCCCCACGGTCTCCCTCTCCCCACGGTCTCCCTCTCCCTCTCTTTCCACGGTCTCCCCCTGATGCCGAGCCAAAGCTGGACTGTACTGCTGCCATCTCGGCTCACTGCAACCTCCCTGCCTGATTCTCCTGCCTCAGCCTGCCGAGTGCCTGCGATTGCAGGCGCGCGCCGCCACGCCTGACTGGTTTTCGTATTTTTTTGATGGAGACGGGGTTTCGCCGTGTTGGCCGGGCTGGTCTCCAGCTCCTAACCGCGAGTGATCTGCCAGCCTCGGCCTCCCAAGGTGCCGGGATGGCAGACGGAGTCGCGTTCACTCAGTGCTCAATGGTGCCCAGGCTGGAGTGCAGTGGCGTGATCTCGGCTCGCTACAACATCCACCTCCCAGCTGCCTGCCTTGGCCTCCCAAAGTGCCGAGATTGCAGCCTCTGCCCGGCCGCCACCCCGTCTGGAAAGTGAGGAGCATCTCTGCCCCGCCGCCCATCGTCTGAGATGTGGGGAGCGCCTCTGCCCTGCCGCCCCGTCTGGGATGTGAGGAGAGTCTCTGCCCGGCCGCCCCGTCTGGGAAGTGAGGAGCCCCTCCGCCCGGCCGCCACCCCGTCTGGGAAGTGAGGAGCGTCTCTGCCTGGCTGCCCATCGTCTGGGATGTGAGGAGCCTCTCTGCCTGGCTGCCCAGTCTGGAAAGTGAGGAGCGTCTCTGCCCGGCCGCCCATCGTCTGAGATGTGGGGAGCGCCTCTGCCCCGCCGCCCATTGTCTGAGATGTGGGGAGCACCTCTGCCCTGCCGCCCCGTCTGGGAGGTGAGGAGCGTCTCTGCCTGGCAACCGCCCCGTCTGAGAAGTGAGGAGCGTCTCCGCCCGGCAGCCACACCGTCTGGGAGGGAGGTGGGGGGGGATCAGCCCCCCGCCTGGCCAGCCACCCCGTCTGGGAGGTGAGGGGCGCCTCTGCCCGGCCGCCCCTACTGGGAAGTGAGGAGCCCCTCTGCCCGGCCGCCACCCCGTCTGGGAGGTGTACTCAACAGCTCATTGAGAAGGGGCCATGATGACAATGGCGGTTTTGTGGAATAGAAAGGGGGGAAAGGTGGGGAAAAGATTGAGAAATCGGATGGTTGCCATGTCTGTGTAGAAAGAGGTAGACATGGGAGACTTTTCATTTTGTTCGGTACTAAGAAAAATTCTTCTGCCTTGGGATCCTGTTGATCTGTGACCTTACCCCCAACCCTGTGCTCTCTGAAACATGTGCTGTGTCCACTCAGGGTTGAATGGATTAAGGGTGGTGCAAGATGTGCTTTGTTAAACAGATGCTTGAAGGCAGCATGCTCGTTAAGAGTCATCACCACTCCCTAATCTCAAGTACCCAGGGACACAAACACTGCGGAAGGCCGCAGGGTCCTCTGCCTAGGAAAACCAGAGACCTTTGTTCACTTATCTGCTGACCTTCCCTCCACTATTGTCCTGTGACCCTGCCAAATCCCCCTCTGCGAGAAACACCCAAGAATGATCAATAAAAAAAATAAATAAATAAAATAAAATAAAATACTGCTGCCGTATTTCCTCCTTTTGGCATTTTTGCGGTGGTCTCATGAAGACTTTAGATGCTTTATTACACCATAACAAGAGAGTCACTAAGCTCACTGTACAAGATAAAAAGACTGAATGATTTTAAAAATGCACAAGGAACAATGGGAAGCTTAATTTGCTTTGAAACTATCTGAAACAGGAGGCTCTTTTTCCCCAAGGCCTTGGAATTCTCTCTGGAATCTGAAGGGGCTCTTGGGGAGCAGCCAGTCTAGGCCACTAGAAAGTCCTTTCCCCCTTGCAGGGGGTTCTGGGGAGTGCCGGAATGCATTCCCTTCAGACCCACACAGGTGGCTGTGGGCACCATGCGGTTTCCCTCCAGCCAAGCCCAGATGGGGCCCCTGGCTGCTTCCACATTCCCCAGGATGATGATCCATGATTTTTTGTCCCACTCATCTCTAAATCTCTGTTATACTTCATGGGAGCCTCCTTTTGCCTGCATGTCCTCTTCATTCCCCTACCTTCTTCTCTGGTTTCCTTCTCCTTAAACCATGCAATAAGCAGATACCAGCCCTTCCTGTGATGTGAGATGATATTAACATCTTTTTTTTTTTTTTTTTTTGAGACAGAGTCTTTCTCTGTCGCCCAGGCTGGAATGCAGTGGCGTGATCTCGGCTCACTGCGACCTCCACCTCCCAGCTTCACGCCATTCTCCTGCCTCAGCCTCCCGAGTAGCTGGGACTACAGGGGTCCACCACCACACCCGGACAATTTTTTTTGTATTTTTAGTAGCGACGGGGTTTCACCGTGTTAGCCAGGATGGTCTCGATCTCCTGACCTCGTGATCTGCCCGCCTCAGCCTCCCAAAGAGCTGGGATTACAGGCGTGAGCCACCACGCCCAGCCAAGGTGATACTAACATCTTAAAACTTAAGTTATAAATTGTGTACAAGAATGACATATATGAATAAATGCCCCTTAGTTTTTTGTTTGCTTGTTTTTTGAGATGGAGACTAGCTCTGTTGCCCTGGCTGGAGTGCAGTGGTGCGATCTCGGCTCACTGCAACCTCCGCCTCCCGGGTTCAAGTGATTCTCCTGCCTCAGACTCCCGAGTAGGTGGGATTACAGGCATGTGCCATGACACCTGGCTAATTTTTTGTATTTTAGTAGAGACAGGGTTTCACCATGTTGGCCAGGTTGGGCTTAAACTCCTGACCTCAGGTGATTCGCCTGCCTCGGCCTCTCAAAGTGCTGGGATTACAGGTGTGAGCCACCGCGCCTGGCCTTGTTTGTTTTTTTTAAAGAACAGGGTCTCACTCTTCCTCCCAGGCTGGAATACAGTGGCGTGATCATAGATTACTGCAGCCTTAAACTCCTGGGCTCAAGTAATCCTCCCAGCTCAGCCTCCTGAGTAGCTGGGACTACAGGCGTGTGCCACCATGCCTGGCTAAATTTTAAAACGTTTTTTGTAGAAAGAGGGTCTCACTATGTTGCCCAGGCTCATCTGGAACTCCTCGGCTCAAGCAATTCCCCCACCTCAGCCTCCCAAAGCACTGGGATTACAGGCATTAGCCAATGAACCTGGCCTCCTAGTTTAAAAAAATTTTATCTCCTGATTCTTTAAAATTATAAAAGTAACGTGCTCCTTGTAAAAACAAAACAAAAACCAAACAACCAGTGTGTTTATTGGAGGGTTTTTAAAACTAGTTTTATTATTATGTATAAAAATATGCTTTTTCTTTTGCAAAATTCAGATCATACAGCATCACAACTTTGTGGCCCGGTTTTTATCTTTGTTTTGGTTTTGTTTGCTTTTGTACCATTTTTGGAAGTGATTTCTGGTGGCCAGGAGTTCTCCATTGTGGTGATATGCCTCTGATACTTAAGGCTTCCTATTTTGGATATTCAAGGTTTTTTTTTTTTCTATTTTTTACCATTTAAACAAATGCTATAATGAGCATCCTTGACATAAATTTTTCTGCCTAGCTGCTGATCATTTTCCTAAAATAAACTTCTAAAAGTGGAAATGGTGGTTTCTGGTGCCATAATAAAATCGCTTTTCAGAAAGTTAGTGTCAAGTTATTCTCTCACCAGCTGAGCTGGAGAATTCCCAGAACCATGGGAAAGTCTTGGAGAGGTCACGAAGTACTTCTCATCAGCCACCCCTGGCCCTCACAGGCAGGCTGTGTCAGGCTCCTTTGGGCCACAGGTTGGATTATGAATCAGGTTAAGAAGGTACTGGGGAGAGCAAACACAGCCTTTTTGACTTAGGAGGCATTATTCAAGAACTTTGCAGTTTTACAAAAGCTAAGACCAATTAATATATATTTACTAATTATATATAGGAGAGTATAAAAGAAACAATTATTGAAAGTATTTTGCACCTCCCAGAAACCAATTTGGGCTGGAAGAATTGCTCGTGGCCACTTCAGGCCCATTTGAGTCACCTAGACTCAAGAAACCCTTTGAACAAGCAGAAGTAAGTATGCTTTCTGCCTGCCAGGCTGGCCTAGGAAGGGTTTCCAGACTCGTGTCCTGTTTCTGGCCCCTTCCTACTACTATGGCATGAATTGCGTCTCCCTTGCCAAATTCATATGTTGAAATCCTCACCCACAATGTGATGGCCTTAGGAGGTGAGGCCTTTGGGAAGTGATTAGGTCATGAGGGTGAGGCCCCCATGATGAATTAGGAAAAGAGGTAGAGACCCCAGAGCTTCCTCTCTCTGCCATGTGAGGACGCAGCATGAAAGGGGCCATCTGAAGCCAGGAAGAGAGCCCTCTCCAGGAACTGAATCTGCTGGCATCTTGGTCTTGGACTTCCAGCCTCCAGAACTGTGAGAACTAAGTTTCTGTTGCCTAAGTCTGCAGTCTGTGGTATTTTGTTACAGCAGACCAAGCTGACTAAGACAGATACTCGGAGGCAAACTTTTCTGCCTTGTTGTGAGAAGTATATGAAAATTTTAATGTTCTATTCTCTGTCCTGAGAAGCAGAATACAATTTCAGCTGTCCCAGTGGCCTAATCAAAAAGATATAGTAACCATATTTTCTATTTTCTGTAACTGATGCTTTGATAACTGGGCCCTTGCTGACCCTAGAGGACAGACTGCCCCTCCCAGCATCAGCCAATTCCTAGAGGCAGTAAACAGCTCGCCCACAAGCAAGCTTTCCTTTCTTTCTTTTTTTTTCAGTGACAGGGTCTCACTGTGTTGCCCACAGTGCAATGGAGTGCAGTGGTACAATCATGGCTCACTGCAGCCCCAAACCCCTGGGCTCAAGTGATCCTCCTGCCTCAGCCTCCTGAGTAGCTGGGAATACAGGCATGTGCCACCACACCTGACTAACGTTTTACTTTTTGTAAAGATGAGGTCTCACTATGTTGTCCAGGCTGGTTTCGAACTCCTGGCCTCAAGCGGTCCTCCTCCCTTGGCCTCCCAAAGTGGTGAGATTACAGATATGAGCCACCCCACCAAAGAATGCTTTTCAAATGCAAAACAACCATTCCAGGGCTTACACCCCAACCACCTCCTTTATGGAGCTCTCACCCATGGGGTCGCCATCCACCTGTGCCAATCACCCCAGAGCCAGGTACCAAACAATTAGGGAAGCCCCTGCACCCCAAAGCCCACTGAAATCAAACCAGCCAATCCTAAGCCTGCTCACCCTGTCTCTCCCATTCCTTCCCATGGAAGCCACAACCACGGGAAGGCTCCTGACCACATTCCCCACCCCTTCCTCTGCCTCCTGACCAACCTGGTGCCTCTCCATGTGGCCCTGCATGGGATGCTGTGCCCCTTCTCGTGGGAGCTGTGGTAACAACCAACCTGTTCAGCAGCAGTCATCTCCTGATCTGTTGGCCTCACCATACCTCACGTTTTCTATTAATACTCTCTATTTTAAAGCAAAGTATTCTATGATGAGCTGATTGGCTAAAACAATTTGCATTCTGCACCCCCTCCCTTTCTTATGTTTTAAAAAACTTTGACTATGCAAAGCTCAAGATGAACAGGCAGAATACCAGAAGGAAATGTTGGCAGTGGCTCTCTTGGGTGGTAGAATTGTTGCTCTTTCCATAGCTCAAATACTTGTATTATTTTGCTTAGAACCAGGAGAAAGCCTCCCCTCCAGCCTTATCTCTCACCATTCCTCTGTTACTCCCTGGGGTCCTGGTTACTCAAACTGACCCCTTTCTCTCATTTCCAAGGGGCCATCACCTCGCTCACTTCTAGGGTTGGTCCTGCTGCTCCTTCTGCCTGGGGCACTTTTCCCCGACTTAAGGCTCCCCTCCTGGGCTTCTGGCTTACCCGCACTGCCCACTCTAGCATTTGTCCCACTCTGTTGTAACTGTCCCTGATTGTTTACAAGATAAAACAATGTAAACGTCTAAAGAGATTCCATTTCTTTGATTTTAGTCAGTTTACAAGAAGGTATTCCCTTTATATGAGTACACAGTCAAAAACTCAATTTTAAGCCTGCCCCGCCCAAAAGACAGGTTATCATATTACTGGTCTGGCTATATTTAAGTGCATTTTCCATGTATGTTAGTGTCAGAGGCGTCTGAACCAGAGCACTCCATCTTGAATAAGAGCTGGGTAAAATAAGGCTGAAACCTACTGGGCTGCATTCCCAGATGGTTAGACATTCTAATCACAGGATGAGATAGAAGGTCGGCACAAGATACAGGTCATAAAGACCTTGCTGATAAAACAGCTTGCAGTAAAGAAGCAGCTAAATCTCACGAAAACCAAGATGGCGATGAGAGTGACCTCTGGTCGTCCTCACTGCTACACCCCCGCCAGTGCCATGACAGCTTACAAATGCCATGGCAACGTCAGGAAGTTACCCTATATGGTCTAAAAACGGGAGGCATGAATAATCCACCCCTTGTTTAGCATGTAATCAAGAAATAACCATAAAAATGGGCAGCCAGCAGCCCTTGGGGCTGCTCTATGGAGTAACCATTCTTTTATTCCTTTACTTTCTTAATAAACTTGCTTTCACTTTATTCTATGGACTCGCCCTGAATTATTTCTTGTGCGAGATCCAAGAACCCTCTCTTGGGGTCTGGATCCGGACCCCTTTCTGGTAACATTAGTATTCTTGCCATTTTCATACTGTATTTTTTTATGGTGGTAAAATATACATAACATTAAGTTTATCCTTCTGACAGATTTTAAGTGTATAGTTCTGTGGCATAAATACATTTACATTGTTATGCAATCATCACCACCATCAGAACAGAAACTCTGTCCCCATTAAACACTAATTTCCCCTTTCTCCCTTCCCAGCCCCTGGCACCCACCATTCTACTTCCCATCTGTATGAACCTGACTATTCTAGGTGTCTCATAGAAGTGGAATCACACAGTATGTGTCCTTTTGTGACTTGCTTATTTCACTTGGCATAATGTCCTCAAGATTCATCCATATTGTAGTGTGTGTCAGAATTTTCTTCCTTTTTCACACTGAATAATATTCCATTTCATGGGTTTTAAATTGTATATTTAGTTACAAAAGTGTTATGTGCATAGACTATTTGGATGCATTTTATATAAAATTAGAATTGCTATTTCATATATTCATATCAACATAAAAAATATAACCCTATATCAGACCATCTAAAAGTCATCTGCTTATTGCCCTAATCCCTCCCATTGGGTCCAGACAGACCAACAAGCAAAGCTCCTGAATGGTCTAAGGTGGGCCCTTGAAAATGGGTTCAAAATCAGCACAAGGTCTTTGCCAAGACCTGTTGGTTTTTTCATCATTTTATCCACAGAACTTTGCACAATGCCTGGCACACTGCAGTCTCCCAACATATACTTGTGGAATGAATGAATAATTGAACACATGAATGAATGAATGAATGGAAAATGGAAAAACTGCCCCCTTTGCATGAAACACAGTTCTTGATGAGTCCCTCAGTCCCTGAGCTGCCTCCCTCTATGACCAGGTTATTGCTAATTCTGCAGTTGCATGAACATGATCATAAACTTGGAGTAAGTCACTGCTGCTGAGGCTCTGCCCCAGGAGGAAACAAGGCCACTCGCCAGCTCATCAGCCCCAGATGCTTCCCAGACAGAAAGATCCTTCCGTCTTCCTGGCCCACTGGATGAATGTGATGGTCAATTTCATGTGTCAATGTGACTGGGCCACGGGATGCCCAGATTAAACATTCTTTCTGGGTGCCTCTGTGAGGGTGTTTCCAGATGAGATTAGCTTTGGGGTTGGTGGCCTCAGGAAAGATCTACCCTTCCCTATGTGTGGGCATCATCCAATCCACTGAGGGCCTGAATAGAACAGAAGGCAGAGGAAGGAGGAATTTGCCTTTTTTTTTTTCTTAACTTGGCTCAGTGCTTGAGCTGGGATATCTCCTCTCATCTTCTCCTGCCCTTAGACTGGGATTTAGACCATCAGCTCCCTGGTTCTCAGGCCTTCAGACTTGGACTGAATTATGTCACAGGTCTTCCTGGGTCTCCAGAAGCTGATGGCAGAACATAGAAACTTCTCAGCCTCCAGAATGGCCTGAACCAATTCCTCACAATAAATCAGTCTCTCAATCACACGCCCTTTCTCTCCCCACCCCTACACACACACACACACACACACACACACACACACACACACACACTGTCTCTCTCTCTCTCCTATTGGTTCTCTTTCTCTGGAGAACCCTGCCTGTTGCAATGTGCATCCTGGCACGGCCATGGCAGTGGGAAAAGCTGACCTTCCCTGTCGGTTGCTGCTTAAGAAGCAGCTTGTTTTCCAGCATTTGTGTAAACACAAGATACCTGAAAATTACACCAGTAGGCGCAAATCGAGCACAGATGGGAAACTGGCACTGCCACTGCATGTTTCCAATGTTGAGTTGCATGAAATTACAGTTATGGGAGCAGAGATAATGATGGGTTTACAGGAGGCTCTCAAGTTTGATGTGATGTGACAGCCAACCTTCCCTCTGTAATTGCATAACCTTTGCTGTGGTCTATTCCACACGGAATCGCCCAGGACACTGGCCTGCAATGCAGGTGTGGAAATATGTTAGGAAATCTACAGCATCAAGACACCACAGCAGTGGGAGAAGGAGCCTGACCAAGGAAACAGGCTGGTTCTAATTTGCTGAGGCGCTGCGCCCCGACTGATACACAGGGAGAAGTGAATACCAGCCCTTCCCCTCCCAAGCCCAGACACAAACACGCATGCTGTCTATACTGCCTGCAAAGTCACTTCTTGCCCTCCCAGGAAAGTGAGGATAAATGTCCCCTTACTGTCCTGTGATCAGCTTCAGCAGCTCTCTGCACTTCCAGATGTCATGCAGTGGTGACCCTCTCAAAAACAGGAATTGGAACCCTACTAGCTGAAGCAACCATCCAAGAAGGGGCATGACTAGAGATCTGGGCACACAACACACCTCCTTCCCTTCCCAAAAGATGTTGTAGAGGTTTATATGAAGAGGGGTTGGGAAAAAAGATGGAAAATGTGCAAACCTTCATTAGGGGACCTGCTAATGAAACACACAGGGCAGGTGGCCACTCTGTCATCTGCTCTGACCTACAGGGCAGCAGCTGCCCTGTCTCTGGCCACATTTTCCTGTAAGTTAGTCTGGATCTCGTTCTGAATCAGCTTTACACAGACCTCTGCATAGGAACAAGTGTCACATCATGGATGGGGAAACCTTTGTGCCTTTCCTTGTTGGCAAAGGATTTTGAACCCATTTTCAAGGGACCACCTTAGACCATTCATGAGCTCTGCTTGTTGGTCTGTTTGGACCCAATAGAAGGGATTAGGACAATAAGCAGACGACTGTTAGATGGGCTGATATAGGGTTATATTTTTCTATGTTGATATGAATATAAAAAATAGAAATTCTAATTTTATATAAAATACATGCAAAGAGTCTATGCACATACACTCTTGGTGACTACACTATTTTAAAATCATGAAATGGAATATTATTCAGTGTTAAAAAGGAAGAAAATTCATGGCTGGGCATGGTGGCTTATGCCTGTAATCCCAGTACTTTGGGAGGCTGAGGCGGGCAGATCACTTGAGGTCAGGAGTTCGAGACCAGCCTGGCCAACGTGGTGAAACCTTGTCTCTACCACAAATACAAAAAATTAGCCAGGCATGGTGGCATGCGCCTATAATCCTAGTTACTTGGAGGCTGAGGCAGGAGGATCCCTTGAACCCGGGAGGCGGAGGTTGCAGTGAACTGAGATCTTGCCACTGCACTCCACCCTGGGTGACAGAGTGAGATTCTGTCTCCATAAAAAAGGAAGAAAATTCTGACGTATGCTACAATATGGGTGAACTTTGAGGACATTATGTCAAGTGAAATAAGCCAGTCACAAAAGGACACACACTGTGTGATTCCACTTTTATGAGACACCTAGAATAGTCAAGCTCATAGAGATAGAAAGTAGAATGGTGGGTGTCAGGGGCTGGGGAGGGAGAAACAGGGAGTCAATGTTTAATGGGGACAGGGTTTCTGTTCGGGATGATACAAAAAGTTCTGGAGATGCATGGTGATGATGATTGCATAACAATGTAAATGTATTTATGCCACAGAACTACACACTTAAAAATTGTTAGAATGATAAACTTAATGTTATGTATATTTTACCACAATAAAAAAAATACTATGAAAATGGCAAGAATATTAACATACATGCAAAATGCACTTAAATATAGCCAGGCCAGTAATATGATAACCTGTCTTTTTTGGGGAGGGCATAAAATTTGAGTTTCTGACTATGTTTACTCATATAAAGGGAATACATTCTTGTAAACTGACTGAAGTCAAAGAAACTGAATCTCTTTTGAGGTGTACATCATTATGTCTTGTAAACAACTGAGAAATGCTCTCCTGTACTCTGTGTTAAGAAAGTAAGTTTAGGATTTCAGTTATATTCGTTTATAAGCTTCAGTCAATAGCTGCCTGTAAGTCAGCAACATATTAAAAAACAGTTTGGAAATAGTTGGTGGGGTTTTACCATAATGTGCTGGCTGCAGAGGCGGGAGTGAGGGAGGGTAGGCCAACTGACCACCCCAGTTCTATCATGCACATTGCTGTGGAGGTAAATCATAAACATGTGTGGGCAACCAGACAGAGGCAGGGGCTGGGTGAGTCAGCTCAAAGCACGTAGCGTCATCTTAGCTCACATTCCTGTTGAGGTCAGGTTGGGGATTGGCCACCCCAGCTTCGTTGCACACACATGGATTCCGAAAGGGAAAAACTGATATTTCAAGCAAGACAAATGGAAAATGTTCTCTAGAGAAAGAGGAAGGACTTGTGAAACCTAGAGCACATGAGAAAAGGCAAGGGGAGCCGGGCACAGTGGCTCAAGCCTGTAATCTCAGCACTTTGGGAGGCCGAGGTAGGAGGATCACTTAAGGTCAGGAGTTCAAGACCAACCTGGCCAACATAGTGAAACCCTATCTCTACTAAAAATACAAAAATTAGCTGGGCATGATGGCATGTACCAGTAGTCCCAGCTACTCGGGAGGCTGAGGCAGGAGAATCGCTTGAACCCGGGAGGTAGAAGTCACAGTGAGCCGAGATCACGCCACTGCACTCCAGCCTGGGCGACAGAGCAAGACTCCATCTCAAAAAAGGACAGGACAGGCAAGGCAAGGCAAGGCAGAGGCTGGAGGAAAAGGGGCAACTGAAAACCACTTGAAAAAAGGTATGTGTAGACCAACTCCTCTCCTGGGTCCAGCTGGAACCGGGATTGAGGAGTAGAGTGGGCTAGAGTCACTTTCCAAATCAAGGAACCATGCAATGAGATTCCGGAGTGCTCAGACACACCTGTGGGGGCACATCTGTGGGATGTGTGCATGAGTCCCTGTGCTGGGTGCTTTCAAGGGCCACCTGAGACCCTGGTCCTAGAGGACATCTTTTGGTAATGAAGACTGAGACCACACTGCTACCCTGCCCTGACTTCCATTGCTTGGAACAGAAGGTTAACACGAGAAGGGAACTCAGATACTGCCCAGCTCCACCTCCTGCTTATGGACGATGCCACTGATATGGTTTGGATGCGTGTCGCCCTCCAAATCTCATGCTGAAATTAACCTCCAGTGTTGGAGGTGGGGCCTAGTGGGAGGTATTGGAACCCGGGGACGAATCCCTCACGAATTACCTCCCCGTGGTAAAGAGTGAGTTCTCACTCTGTTAGTTCACGTGAGAGCTGGCTGTTTAAAGGAGTCTGGCACCTCCTCCTCACTGTCTCTCTCCAGCTCTTGCCATGTGATGCATCTGCTCCCCCTTGGCCTCCCACCATGGCTGGAAGCTTCCTGAGGCCTTCCCAGAAGCAGATGCCAGCACCACGCTTCCTGTACAGCCTGTAGAACAATGAGCCAAACAAACCTTTTCTTTATAAACTATCCAGTCTCGAATATTTATTGAGAGCAATGCAAAAATGGACTGACGCAGGCACGGAAGTCTGGGTGACCTGACTTGCTGAGGACCACAGCCAGGTGTGTCAGAGCCCCAAGAAGCCCACGCTCCCGACACCTGACATTTGACTTCTCAAGTCATGCTCGTCCTGTTGAGTTGCGTGCGTTGCTTTCCAAGCTCTTCTTGCCACGTGATCTCATTTAACTAATTTACGACTCTGGACTGCAGGCTGAATGATAGCTATTTGTTTCCCTCCCCCAGTTGCAAGCTAAGGAAAAGTAGGCTTCATTAATTCAAGTGCTTATCTCCCAACAACTGCTAAGCCTTGGACGGTGCTCCAGCCAGTTAGCTGTTTTGAGAAGGTGAAAGGGCCTCTAGTCCATATGGTCTAGATTCTTGTACAATTTCGTTTCAAACGCTAAGGCTGACAGATCTGCTAAGAGCAAATGGGGTGTTAGTTAATATCTAATTACTCTAACACGAGTCACAGCCCATTTAACTGAGTCAGACACCAGTCTTTGCTTTCACTGACAGACACATTTAGGACATCAATTTACATACTCTCTCTCCAACCACTTAGCCTAATCTGCCGTTGTAACATTCTCACAATGCAGTTAGTGTGAATCTACATGTCTTCCTTTCCAGTCAGGTTTATAAGTCTAAAGGCCCCCTCTTACTTATTCTCTAATATGCTAATGGGCCTTCAGATACCAATGAGGTAAAAATGAGAAAAGAATATTGCACCTGCTGCTTTATGATTTTCTAAAAACCGCAATGCGATGGTTGGAATCTAAAAGCCAATGCGAGTCCACCCTGGGCTGTGTTCTGGTTATCTCCTCATGGTTGGTGAAGCCCCAGGTGGGAGGACCTGCAGGTGGGAGCCACAGATCTAGCTTGGCACCTCCTCCAACTCCAAGAAAACACGCTTGACACACTGCACCTCAGCTTCTTCAAATTCAAGTATGCGTGAGTTCATGACACCTTGCCTCTATTCACACGTATTTGGGATTCACCCCAATCCACTGAAATGAAATAGGGTCAGAATACTCGGGGGGCCAAGCATGGTGACTCACGCCTGTAATCCCAGCATTTTAGGAGGCCAAGGCAGGTGGATCACCTGAGGTCAGGAGTTCAAGACCAGCCTGGCCAACATGGTGAAACTCTGTCTCTATTAAAAATATATATTTTTTAAATTAGCTGGGTGTGGTGGACGGGCACCTGTAATCCCAGCTACTCGGGAGGCTGAGGCAGGAGAATCACTTGGACCCGGGAGGTGGAGGTTGCAGTGAGCCGAGATCACACCATTGCACTCCAGCATAGGCAACAAGAGCGAAATTCCATCTCATAAAAAACAAAACAAAACAACTCAGAGGATTATCATGTGTGTGAACATACCCCTTTCTTCAGGGTGGGAATAGCACCTGGAATTAAAGAACATGAGAAAGTGCTCTGAAATTCAACAGGATAGCTGAAAGACCTGCCATCAACAACAGTGTAGGGGATGAAGCAAAATTTAAAAGGTACGATTTTGTAAGAGTTATGTTCTTTGAATATGCTCAGGGTTAGAAATCCAAGAGTGCAGCCTTATTTAAGAGTATCTGGCTAAAAGGTAAAGTAGATAAGAAGTAATCAGAAGTCTCCCTGGTTGAATTCCTCAGTGCATGATTAATCTGATGGCAACCAATGTCAAGGAGCACCCTAAAATATGCATTGGGTAAATTCAGAAGCAGACACGTTAAAATTTGGTAAAACAATAGCAGAATTTAAGGGGTTGGCAACTCAAGTCCTCTGTAGGTGCTAGGAAAAGCAAGAAGGTACAGATTCTAGAACTCTTTATTTAGACTAGGTATGGTGCGAGTGAAAACCATCACTCCATCAAGGCAATTTTTATTTTAAAAAATTACAGAAAGAACAAAGAACTAAAAGAATTTTAATAAAATGAGCAAGTTTACATTTGTACATTTTGTGTATCTGGGACCCAATCGGGACAAAGGATAAAGTTGCAAGGACAAAGGTTTCTGTGGGAGAGCAAGCAAAAAGCAAGGGCTGCCCCAGTTGCATCATGGGCATCCATTCAGAGCTGGGACCCCGCAGCCACCTGCCTGTGCTCCGGAAGTGAGAAGCACATGTAAGCACGCGTCAGTGAGAGCGTCGCAGTTGAACTCAGCCCAGTGCAACGCAGCCTGAGTGACATCCCTACATTAATACTTGATAGGGAACAGCAGATAAACAGTTCCAAAAACCAAATGGTATTGCCCATAGAATATGAATGTAAACTGAGTTCAGTTCATGCTGTTTTAACCAGAATGGTTCCACTGAACCTAATGAGGGGAAAAAGGTCTGATGGATCTAATTGCTCTATTCGATGGCACAGTTACAAATCAGCAGGCCTGTGAGAAAGAACCATACATTTCTCTCAGAAATATGATTTGAGAAAAGGGCCTTGTAGGAGTGAGAGAAAGGTTAGAGAAAAGTACAGTTTTAACATATGAGACAATTCTTCATACTGTAATAGAATGCTGCTTGTGGTGAAGGATTTGGTAGAGATGGAAAACTGCTCAACTTTAATTCCCATTATTCTAAAGGATGACAAACATTTTAGAGTATTGATCAATGTTCAGTGAAAAAATAAAAATGACTAGTGTTGGCTGGGCGCAGTGGCTCACGCCTGTAATCCCAGCACTTTGGGAGGCCGAGGCAGGCAGATCACGAGGTCAGGAGACCGAGACCATCCTGGCCAACATGGTGAAACCCCGTCTCTACTAAAAATACAAAAATTAGCTGGGCGTGGTGGCATGCACCTGTAGTCCCAGCTACTCGGGAGGCTGAGGCAGCAGAATCGCTTGAACCCAGGAGGTGGAGGTTGCAGTGAGCCGAGATTGCGCCACTGCACTCCAGCCTGGGTGACAGAGTGAGACTCTGTCTGTGTGTTAGGAATGAGAAATTACTAAGTTTTTTCAAGATTTTACCCATTTTGTGTACAGAGAAATAAGCTTTTAATGGCGCAATGTTGCATATACGGGTAACTTGTTCTTTGAGAAATATAAACTCAAACTCACAAGTTGTCATGATAACATATGCAGTAATATGACCATTCTACAACAGAGTCACCCACAGGTAAAACACATGACTGGGCTTTGAGCTCACACCAATTTACACAGCATACAGTTGTGCTACAAGGAGAATTTCTTCATCATTTATTCTTTAGTTAATTGAAACATAGTCAGGAAAAAATGGTGCCAATTCCCCCCAAACAACACATGGATGTTTTTGCTTCTTGACCCACTTAGAGTCCCAAAAGGACAAAAAATACATGGACCAATATTAGTTCACGAAACATGTTTTAAAGAACAGAGAATGAGGTCTTCATCCCACCTCAGTAAGGCTTGGGCTGATGAAGAGAGGGTGTATTCAGGGTCCTCTCTTGTCATATGTACAAGCTGACGCTTGTTTCCCAAGCATGATAGTAGTGGGTAGACTGCCTTTATTGTTAGCCCCTAATAGAATCAGTCAGCACAATGAAGAAATTCCAAAGAGGGCAGTGAAGTGACAACAGCTTCAGCTCGTCATCGATGTTATACAGAAACACAAAAGGAATCCCCGGCCTGTGATGAAGGAGAGGCCGTTGCTGTGTGTTCAGGACACCTCAGAGCAGGCACATAAAGTGCTGGAGGGTGACACAGCCTGTCTGGATGTCCTCGGGAGGGTGTGCCATCCAGGAGGCGACACCCCCATCCAGCACACGGGCCCTTCCACCCGCTGTCGGTCCTGCTAAAGGTACGAGGCTAAAACCGGCCTCTCCAGAAAAGAACGCTCAGTGTGTGCTGACCACACTTCCCTTTGAATTTCCCGAGTATTCAACAGGAGATACATTTTAACAAGAAAAAATACCCCTAACAAACAGGACAGATGACTCTCTCAACAAGAGAGCAACTACGAACATGATACAAATTTAAATAAAAATGTTTAGTTCAACGTGTTCGTCATGGAGTTTCAAATCAGCAGATGCCATGACAGGAAAGGAGCACACAGCTGGGCCCTTGCCCGCCGTGGGTTTCCCGTGTCCGCGGCTTCTTCAAGGAGGGGAGAGCAGCTTCTCTCTTGGAGCGTTCTCAGTTTCTCAACAGATCTTCACTTGCTAGGCAGCCAGAAGCATTAGTTCACCCAAGAGTGAGTGCTTGGGTACACAAGGCAGAATCTTTTGGGAGCTGAGAGCCGGAGAGGAAGAAAGAAGGAACAAAGGTACTTCTCCAGGGTCAGCCGTTTCTGAGGGCAAAGGCAGAGCCCACGAGGTAACCCTGGGAAATGGGCCCATGAGTGAGCGGCGTGGATGGAGAACGTGTTTCTGCAGGAGGGCAAGGCTGACCCCCATGAGGCTCTGTGCCCTCGCCACTCACCCAGGCAAGAGAGGACTTTGTCGCCAGCCATGGTGAAGCCACGTTTCCAGTGCAAACATGAGTCTAAAGGTTGGAGTGTGGGGGTGGTGGGGGATCCCCCACCTGGGTCTGGACTGCATGAGGAAGACTCCCTTTTTTTTTTTTTCAAAGTAGACCTCTGTCTTGGATTACTATGTACCTGGACAGGTGAACTCTTGTATGTTTCTGTTTTGGGGATTTTTAGGGGTTTTCCATGTACATTCATAGAGCCTGGTCATTCCATGTACATTCATAGAGCCTGGTCAGCAGCGAGGAGTCCTTGTTGCGTATGGACGGAAGGCTCCCTGGCACCCAGATGTCTCCCTTCGTCCTGGCTGACACAGAGCATGGTGGTCATCTGCTCTTCATGTCCAGCAGGCTCAGAAAGAACTCGGAGTTCCCCTCGCACCCTTGGGCCAAGCTTTTCAAGTCCGAGTGCCAGGACTGGATGAGCTGGGGTTTGTGTGTCTGCTGGCGGCACAGTGGGTGTGCACAAGACCACCATTTGGGTATCTAACAAACACAGGCTCACAAAAGGGATTTTGGCATATCTGACAAAGCTTTTTGTCTGAGAGTTGGATTGAGCTTCCTTTCAACTTCATCTGCAAGAAGAAACCAAGACTGAGAATGCTGTCATGTGTTAAGTATATTTAAAGTGGCTACGTTCTAGTTTTGCAGAGTTGACATGCATTACTCCATGGGTTATTATTATGATGAGGATTTCTTTAATATCAACTTCTTGAAATGAAATGCTAAAGGTGTAAATAAAACCATCCTTAGTAACTGGACAAGGAAGAAAGTTACACAATTGCTTTTCTTATTTCACAAAAGTAATTGTTGCTTGTCTGGCTGAGGCATTTCTACTTAAGATCCTCTCTCCAACATTCTCTGGCTCTGATCATTTCAAGCAAGGCCTGTTAGAAAGTCATGAATGTTAATGCTGAATGAGACCATATAATAGTGTAACTCCAGGGTTCTCTCATTTGCAAATAAGAAAAGTAAAGCACAAACAAATAAGGGATGTAGTCAAAGTTACACAGCTAACAAGTGGCATATTCCTGGTTGGTCCTGGGAGACACCCTTCCGTTTCCTTAGAGGTAACTGGTGAAACTGAGTCTTAATGCCATCGGTCCCTGTCTGATCAACAGGACTTGAGTTCTGAAAGTTATAAAGTTTTTCTACACAATTCACTCGTGTCAACCGAGGCAGGTTGGTCTATTGGCAGGATCAAGCAGCAACTTAGCGATTCATCCTGCACTCCTTAGTTGCATCAGTCATTCCACAAACACGGATTAGATGCCTTCGACATGGCAGGCTTAGCCCTACAGACACTGAGATAAAGAAATGAAGTTCCCTGTCCTCAAAGAACCCAAACTCTAATAGTAGCGGGTAACAGCTGTGAATGCGAACACCAAGTAAAAGTGGGTGAAAGAGAAGGTGATTACTCTACTTAAGAGGTATGAGATGGCTTCACCAAGGGAAAAAAATAAAGGCTAAATTTTGACTGGGCATTTGCTGGGGACAAAGAAAAAGGTAAGAATATCTCAGGCAGTGGGTACAGCATTTACAAAAGCAACAAAGTATGAAATACCAAATCACATCTGGAAGGTTGTGCTAAAGCCAGGACATGAGCTGGGAAGCAGAGAGAGGTGGGGAGGGATATGCTGAAGGAGGTGGGACTGCATCTTCCAGGACAGGGAGCGTCAGCAAAGGCTTCTAAGTGGGAGGGGAACACGTCGGATACCCGCTCTGGAAAGAAGACTCTGCCAGCCATGTGGAATTTAGGCCCACAAGAAAGAAGTCTCCCGAAGGTGAGTACAGTGTGGGGACGAAGAATGTGGGGTTCTCAACTGGCCTGGGAGGCAGCTCTGGGCACGCCCATTTCCTGAGCATGCGACTGCTCTCTGCCTCAATTTCCTCTCCTGTGAAATGGAGATGCTGACAGTAAATACTGCATAAAACTGTCATGATGACAAAATGCAAGCATGACGTAAAATGCCTAGGTCAGTGCCTGGCACACAGCACATGCTGGGTAAGCGCCTGATATTCTGATGCTGCTCTCCTCCCTACAGACTCTCTTAATCACCAGCGTCCAAAAGGGGAGAAAAACTACACCGATGTTACACCTACCAGCCCAGCCTCTGCCTCTGCTCACACAGACCTCAGTTTCTATGAGTAGGATCAGATATTGATGTGTTGTAGTCATAGAGACAGAAAAAAGAAAAACCAACAAAGACTATTTTTCCATCAGTAAAATCTACCTTCAGTACAATGTTGACTGACCAGGAAGCAGCTCGTGGGGGCCAGCACTTACCTTATCGTAGGTGTAGATTAAGTTTTCGGACCTGGCCAGGCCGAGAGCCACCTGCATGGTCCTCCTGGCATGGATGCTGTCCCTCATGGCCCCCATCAGGAATGGGCAGAGGAGCTGCACTGACCAGGTGTCAGGCAGCATCTGCAGCACCTGGGCTGCATCAAATTCGGTGGCGTGGCGGTTCAGCAGGTCCACGGCAGCCACGGCCAGCTCGTGGGCAGTGGGGCCAGCATGCAGGTAGATGGCCAGCAGCGTGTGAAAGAGTTGCTGGCGGTGGGGTGGGTCTCGGCCCTCGGAGCACCACAGGCAGTAGTCCTCGGCCGCTGCAAAGTCCTGCAGCTCGTGCACCAGGATATGCAGCGCCTTCTCATGCTCGCCCAGCTTCCCGTGCAGGATGGCGCTCTCCATGGGCAGGCCAGCTCCCTGCAGCCTCTCTGCAAGACAGAACCTGCAGCTCAGAAAGAAAGGGGCTCGCCGGCCACCCGCCCAGCGACTGGCCTCCTTGCTGCTCTGGGCTTCAGGAGGGGAAAAGTCAACCTGGCTCCCTCACAATGCCAAATGCTGCCACCCAGATGACTGAGGGTAGGTTTTCTTGCATTTTCACACTGTGAATCCAGGTGTTAGTAAAACAGAAGGCAGACTCTACTCAAAAGTATAGCTGGACCACAGAATAATTCCTTTCTCTAGTGTTCAGAGGATGAAAAGAACAAATGAACCACAACTACAGAAAGGCCCAGTGGCTCAGTGAGTATCAGCCTTCCAGGTCTCCAGTCACTCCATCATCACTCCTATCCTCCCAGGACAGTATCTTTTGACTAAAATAGAAGGACACTATGTCCCCTAAAATCCTAACAAACACTACTTCCCCCCAAAAGATGTGCTGAACCCCTTTATTCCAATGTAAAGTAGATTTCATTGAATGGAATATGAGCTCATATTATTCAAAATCCATCTCTACATTACTCAACAGAAGGTTGCCAATAATAGGATTTTTTTGTTTGTTTCACCTGCAATTAAGCTTCCAGGTCCTAAGGAAAATGACATAACCCAAAGCGTCATTCCTGACCAAGGCCCCACCCTTAGTGGGCTGTGTCTCACGGGCAAAGTCACCTTGCTTCCTACCCCATCTGTAACCCCATCTGTAACTTCCCACCCAGCCCGTCTGGAACTGCACCAGCCCTTATCTGCATTGCAATTAAACTCTGAGTCTCTAAGGACCAGAAGTGAGGCTCATCTGTTTTTACATCCTCAAGAGATTATAAGATCTCTTCCTACTGTGAAGAAATATTATGAGGACAACCCCTAGTTTAGGGTCAAGACTAATAATCAAATTATAGGCATTTGAATCTTGGCTGTCGCTTAGGCCTGAAGAACATGGCAGACATTGCTACCTGTGTAGCCAAGGGCTGGCCCTGCAAGGTACATCCCTTATAGCACTAGACACAGAAGCCACAATACGCAACGCCTTCATCCTCACAGTGGAAGGCCAACAAATAATTACTAAGTGGCTGCCATAGTTAAGACCCTGGGTGAGGTACAAAGACAGTTAAGAAAAGATCACTGTGGTGATTTACACTTCCACATCTATCATCTCATTTATATTTGACTCCCACAGCCACCCCGAGTGGATAGGTTGGGCTGGAATCGTTTTTACAACTTCCCTAGACTGACATTTCCCCAAGTCATCTAACTAAGAAGGGATACAAAATCAGTGTTTGGATTTCCAGTGCTCCTCCCACAGTGCTGCGGGGGATACCCCCATTGCCTGAAAGCTCCCCTGTGCTACCTGCAAGCCCAGGCTTATACCTAATGACTGCTCATATAGGGCCTCTTCCGGGAGGCTGCCTCTGACCCCTCCACCCCAAGGCACAGCTCGTGGGTTCCTCGGCCCTTCTAGAACTGTACCTGCCCTTAACTGCATTCCAATTAAACTCTGAGTCTCTGAGGACCAGGACCAAGTCTCATCCATCTTTGTATCCTCAATGCACAGTGACACACTCTACATACTCAGAAAAGCTGGCGGAATGCAAACATTGAACCACACACTTGTGGCTGGCCTGAGAGTTTTATAAGGAGATTTGTAAAGCAAAAAGAATAAGTCAGGAGTGAGTAAAAATTCAATAGCTGGGACACCCTGGCACTGATCAGTCAGGGACGGTGGCTGTGAGTGAACAGAGATTGCACAGCGGATCGCCACAGAAAGTCCTAATGTAGGTGCAGGTACAAGCCAGAACTAGTGTTTGCTGGTTTCATGAAATACCAACCCACACCTGTGTTCTGGCTCTACTGCTCGTGGGCTGTGTGACCTGTGGCAAGCGGGGTAACCTCTCTGGGCTTCAGTGCACTCTTCTGTAAAAATGGAGGAAAAACAGGCCTCACTTCACAGGGTTGTTGTGGAAACTGTGTCATAAGGCAGCCTCAGCGTTTCAACCTATGCTGGGCATATCTAGTCAATCCTCATTATTTGTGGATTCTGTATTTACAAAGTCATCTACTCGCTGAAATTTATTTGTAACCTCCCAATCAACACTCGCAGCAGCTTCAAGGTCATTTACGACAAGCACAGAGCCTGATGCAGAGCTGAGGCCAAAGAAGGAGCGCCCTCCTTCCTTGCTTCAGCTGTCGTACTAGCTACACGTTTCCTTTTCACGGGCTATTTATTGCCATGCTTTTTTGCATTTTGGTGCTTCTTGTTGGTGATTTCAGTGTAGTGCTGAAGTGCTGCCTAGCGCTCCTAAGCTCTGGAAGGTTGTGATGTGCTTTATGGAGACAACACGTGTGTTAGATATGCTTTGTTATTGGTCAAAAAATGGTATTAAAGGCCATTAAAGAAAAACACATCACTAACCCCAGTGAGTATAAATGCAGAAATTCTTAATGTGGCAAGAAACTAGTTAATTCTACCAGTTGCAAGCACCATGCTGCGCTGTGGAACTTTACACAATACAGAAACTGTGGCCTCTGTACCCCTGAGGAACAGAAACCCAAATGCCCTCCAAGACACCTGCATAACCTTCTTGCTTAGAGCTCGAGGGACCTGAGCCTTGAGCAGCTCGGGAATGGGTCGCTGGGGGCAGTGCCTACTGCAAAGCCTTGATCAGAGACTGAAGCCGTCAGAGGGAACTATGACTCAGTGCTTTGACATTGAATAAAGACACTGTGTGTCAAGAGACACACAGACGTCTAAAGTCTACCAGGGCAGCACCAACATCATCAATCAAAGGGCACCGTCCATCTAGAGGCACGGTCCATCTCTAGAGGCACGAGAAGCCTTATTTCTCCCTGCAAGGAGGCTGACTCTGTCAAAAGAGGCTCAAGGGCTGAGTGTGGTGGCTCACGCCTATAATCCCAGCACCTTAGGAGGCAGAAGCAGGAAGATCACTTGAGGCCATGAGTTTGAGACCAGCCTGGGTGACAAAGCGACACCCTGTCTTCATTTAAAAAAATCTTTTTAAAAAAAGAGGCTCAAAGAATCACCCTGTGCAATCAACCAGCAGCTGTGCCAAAGCCCTTCTCTCTGCTTCCTCCCACCCGCTTGATATGAGTTTTTTCCAAAGGGAGACAATACTGAGATCATCCTCACCGAGAAGAAAGTGGACTCGGTATAAATCAGATTTCTGGAGCAGCCGCCGCAGCTTGGCCTGCGTCTCGGTGGCCTCTGCACCCTTGCCACTGGCGGAGGCCCTCTGCAGCAGCACCTCTTCCAGGTACAGCACAGCTAAGTGGGTGTGATACTCTTCTTTCTGCAGGAAACAGGGGGAGCCAAGCAGACAGACAGTGTTTTCAAGTGGGAAAGTCAAAGCTCTCCCCTGTCAGCCAGGGCTTGGAGACCGCGGCTGCACTGACATGAGCTGGGCAGATGCTCACTTGCTGGATCGAAACCCTCTCAGAAACCATGATACTGAGATGAGTTTACCATCTATGGGGAATAGAACAAAATGTCACCTCTTATTTCAAGAAGTAAGGGCCACAGAATTTAGATAACCTACAAAAAGGTATAGCTCCCTTTATTTCCTTTAAGGATAATAACAAAGAAGGAAAAGAGAGGAAAAATAAAAGCTGAGTGGGTGTGAGACGGACGGAGAAAAAAATAAAGCTACCTATTGCTCCAGGTCTCTTTCCGCAAGCCTCAAGGCCGCCATCAGACCATCAACAAGTACGGATGGATCACCCAGGGAACAGACATTACACAGAATCACATGCCAAAAAGTGTTCTAGTTCAATTCCGTCTCTCCAGCCCACACTCTTTAGTCTAACTTCTGCAGTGCTCACCTGCAGTCTCTTGTCTATCACAAGATGTTCCAGATACTTCACAAGGGCTTTAGGGTATTTTTTAAGGCAATTGATAATGTCGTCTGGATTAAAACTGTTCTTCTGCTGTTCATCCAAAGGTCTCTTGGTGAAAACCTGAACTCCGACCTGAAAGAGGAGCGACAATACAGTGACTGTGCTTCCCAAACCCACCTTTCCTTTAACTTTATTTTGGTCATTGCACATTCAAGCTTTGGATAAAATCATCACTTAAAATATGATTAAATTATTATGTATGCACAGCTTTTTGTATGTCAATCATATCTCAATACAGTGGCTTAAAAAATATAATTATGGAGAAAAACAGCCCAGCATGAAGCACTGTCAAAGGCCAGAGGGCAAAAAATCAAGATAGAAAAGCCAGCCTATACCCTGAAGTCCTCCTCACACACCCCATGCAAATTGGAAACTGAAGAACAAAGCATTTACTGGTGACAGATTTTGACAACCTATAATAATAACATTAAGATCATCCAAGAACAGGGATAGCCAGTTGCAGAACAGTATGTGAAAAGATATCAAAAGTGCTGAAATTTCTGTACAGTAAACTCACTTCTCTGAACATGGATTATCTACTCTGGGTTATTTATGATAGATGGTTAATCTGAGATCTGAGCTTCCAGTCCCTGAGTAAGTTTCCGGGCTGCCTTCCTGTGTCCATCAAGTGGAGGCACTGGTCCAATCCTCTGGTTCAAGGAAAGGACAGTGAGGCAGGCAGGAAAGCAGCTCTCCACTGCACCTCCCCTGAGCACTTACATGTGGGAGGTTCTATCATGTGCACGCACACACGCACCTCCCCCCTCCAAGGCCAATACATTCACGTATCATGTATTATGGTATGAATTTTGGATTCTATAAGCCTGGATTTGTGTCCCAGCTCTACCAACTATAGCCTCAGTTTCCTCATCTGTAGCTAATGCCCACTGAGGGGCTGCTATGATGTTTAAGCGATGACCTTTGTCAGGGGATTGTCCACCGTGCAGTATCTGCTGTTATCATCCATAAGCATTGGGAGAAGCCTAAACCTTGCAACGGCACTGAGATCCATGTTGTAGGTGTGTGTGAGCAGGTCAGGATGTGCTCTGCAGGCGTGTGCACAGAGGCAAAGTAAAGATGGAGAAACAAGTATGCAAAGTGCAAGTGCCTGGCTCTGATTTTCCAGGGAAGCCAGCACCACGGAGGATATGAGAATATATTCCAACTCAGGTCTTAGAAAGGCAGATGCAGCACTCAGAAACTCTCCATTCAGGACCAACGTCCTGCATCAGAAAGCTCATTTTGTCTCTCCAAGGGGAGCCATGGAAGCGTATACGTTTTTCACGATGAGAACTGAAATGCTTGCTGTCTTCTTCCCAGTCACCTGTGGTCACCTGTGGGGCTTTACTAAGGATACTGTCCTGAGCCTGCTACCTTCCCTCTAGCCAACAGGTGCTTTTTCACTGCCAGCATTTCTCAGCCTCCAGGACAGGCCGAGTCTTGCTCATGGCTCCCCTCCCTCCTCCAGGCCCACAAGCTCCATGTTGGCAGTGGTGGGAGCAGGGATGAGGGCCCAGTGTGGCCCAGGTCTGGGTGCTTCCTCCTCCCAAAGATCAAGTCCTTCAGGGCAACCACCTAATCCTGCTCCAGAAAACAGCAGTGTCAGACTTCTGAGGGGTCGAGGAGCGGGGTTCACAGACACAAGTTCTTAAGAAGATGCTAAAAATGCAAGCTGGCTATGTCTTGCTTTTCTATACAAGTGACTTGCCCCAGCAAGGGGATTCTCAATGGAATGTCTCAGCAGCAAGATGCAGAACTGCCCTAGAGCTAGAATCCAGAGAGCTCAAGGGAAGGTATTAAAAGGGGAATAATAACAACAACAAAAAACAGAGGAGGAGGTTGAAATGTAGCTTTCTTTTCCCCTCCTAAAAGCAAAGCTTTTGGGGTCTGTTTTTACCACCTCCCCCAACCAAAGAGAATGCATTTTTACGAAGCACAAACCTCTTCACTTTTCTGCAGGACCCAATCAGCATAGGCCCACACTAGTTCCTCGTCTAAGCAGTAGGTAAGAAAATCCACGATGTATTCATACAGGTCTGAGCGTGTGGAGTCCTGGACATCGCCATTCACAATGTTCACCCACAACTGGAAAGGAATCAAAAAGAAAAAAAGAAAAAGAAAAGAAAAAACAATCATAAAGGCACATATCTCAGAATTAGTTGAGAAATGGCATATGTTTACTTATTTGGCTTTTTAATACCTTTTAAAGTAGTTGGAAAAACTGTAAATGCTTAAATTTTAGTTTTTTTGGAGAAATAAAGAAATGTAAAAAGACATAGTCCAAGAAATAAAAAAAAAAATTAAGCTCTAGGTTCTTTTATCTTTCTTTCTTTTTTTAACAATAACACAGTAAACAGAATATATGCAGGGAGGTGAATATATTAAAAATGTTTCTTCATGAAATAAAGAAAACGGTCACTGATAACATCTCGACACAGAGAAGATTCACCTACAACCATCAGCCAGGCTCTGTTTCCATCTTCTCCGTCACAGACATTCTTGATTTTGAAGTCCCCTTTGGACTGTGATAGGCAGATGTTGTGCTTTTACAAAAGCTTCAGTGATTCTGTCCCCTGAGTTCACACTGCCTTTTGCACAGGGGGCTCAGGATAGACTCCAGTGATAAAAGCCTTTTGCTTTTTCAGCCAGAAACTTCCCTACCATGTTAAGTGAAGCCTACTTTCAGGACCCCAGAATGAGGCAGCATCACTTGGGGGTAGAAAGGATGACGGTTGCGTGGGTTCCTTCTGCAATACCTGCATGGCGTGCCTCACCCACCCATACACAGCACCACCCCTCCAAGCCACAGCACCAGGAAGGAGCCCAGAAACAGGGGTGGCATATGAATTCTGGAATTCTGATGTCAGCATACGAACATTTTTTATGATACTAGTTTCTTCAACACAGAATTGCTGAAACCAAATAATCACACATACCTTGAAATATGCCATTTTATATAAAATTCTACCACGTATGGAGATTTATCCCATATCACTTCAAGTTTGCAAATCTATCTCTCTACAGCTCTGCTAAAGTTATTACTATACTTATATAAAGCTGTAACTGAGAACACCAGGTTTTTGAAAATGAAAATTTTATCACTGACACCCAAATCTACTCTTGGCCATTGGGTACGTGTTAATTCACCCAACTCCATTTTTTGTTGTTGTTGTTGTTCTGCTCTGCAATCAGGTTACCACAATAGTCTCACAAAGCAATCAAACACTAAATACATGTTCAGCCTTGCCAGAGTCATGAGGTTAACTTTAGCTTGGGGAACATGGCTGATGCTCTTGGCCCCTCACAAAATAAAGCAAAAAGGCACATCAGGAAACAACACGGTGCAGTACAAATGCATAACTAATAACGAAGGGGAGAAAGTCTCCCCCTGAGAGTGTGAGATGAGGCTTTTCTCAAGATCAGTAGCAAGATGTAAGATACAAAATGTGACAATGCTAATAAATCGATGCCATTTTGATTAGGGTGCAGGACCCCTGCCAGGCCAATGGAGCGCGGTTCAGATCCCAGATCTACCACGGACACATGGCCTCGGGCAAGCAACTGGCATGCATCAGCTTTGGTTTTGTCACAGGTGACACAAGGATAATAATGTACCCAGCTCATTGGCAACAGTGATCATCACTAACAGTGGAAATGGTAAATCCGACTATCATTCACTGCCTAAATTTTCTGATAAGGGTAGTGATATATTATGACTTGGAACTCTGTGAGATCATATTTTCATTTCTTAAGTTTTCAAAAACTCAGTCTTGATAATGTTCTTTAAGGAGATGGAAAGACAATGAGAAGAAAACTCTTGGCCAACATTTCTCCAGGAATTCACTTTCTAAAACAGAATCATTTTTATTCTGTATAAAAGGGTGTAGATCAGGCAAAAGTGGTCTCTATCAACTTGTGAATTTTTTTTAAGTAACACTAAGTATTACTTACATGGTGCTGATTTTTAAATCATGTGGAAACCCTTCTAGACTCACCTGAACTGCAGCAGCATCTTGGTTATTATAATGATAGAGCAGTCCAAGTGCAAAATACCTGAAACAGAACAACACGGTAAGTACAACCTCTCCCCATCAGCTCCTGGAGGCGACCTTCACACAGTGACACCCCCAGTCCAAGCTCCCCATATTCTATTCAACTCGAGTTCAGGCTCATGCCTGTAATCCCAACACTTTGGAAGGCCAAGGTGGGTGGATGGCTTGAGCCCAGGAGTTTGAGACCAGCCTGGGCAACAACATAGTGAGATCTTGTCTTTATTAAAATATTTTTAAAAATTAGCCAGGTGTGGGGCACACATCTGTAGTCCCAGATACTTGGGGTGCTGAGGTAGAAGGATCACTTGAGCCCATAAAGTTAAGACTGCAGTGAGCCCTGATTGTGCCACTGCACTCCAGCCCGGGTGACGGAGTGAGACCCTGTCTCAAAAAATATATGTGTGTGTGTGTGTGTGTGTGTGTGTGTGTGTGTGTGTGTGTGTAGTTCAACAACAACAAACAAACAACCAAAGGATTCTCATTGCTGTATATTTACTTATGGTACTAAAAATATATGCTCTATCAACTTCCAAAAAGAATCTGATTCCAATCTAAGATGAGCTGAAAAAGTAAACTATGGAAAAATCACAGCTGGAGTTGCTTTACAATTTGCTTCAAATATTAATATAATTTCATATGTCTTTGGTCTACTACTATTAACCCACATGAGGTACTAGAAGAATATGCAGAAGCTACTTTGCCTAAGCAGAGACTGAGAAGGAGGGCAGGGGCTCTGAACATGAGGAACAGCAGGAAGTGCTAGTGTCCGGGACTCGCAGACCACAGAGTCAGGGAGCGTCCTGGGGGAGAGTGCCCAGAGTTCAAGAACCTGGGTTTCAAGTCCAGCTTCATTATTTATAACCCGCGTGACCTTGAGCAAGTAGGTTAACTTGCCCAGCCTCTAACTCCTCACCTATAAATGGAAAAGATCGGCAATAGCATTGGCATTGCCTGGGCAGTGAGCCCTCAGCACCCTCCCAAAGTCTGCAAGGGTGCCACACTCCTGGTCCTCCTTCCCAGCAGGAAACTGGAGTAAGTTGACCAGTGAGGGGTCAAGCATCTTCCCTCCAAGGGCACACTCTCAAGATATTGAGGCATCTGCTTGAATCCTTCTCTTTTCCTCAACCTTTTGGAAAGTCATGCTGACTCTACGGATCCCACCATCCCTTGTCACTACCATAAGGTGGCAGTGTGTTTTCTGGCTCCTGAAAAAACTAACACTGATTCCATAGCATATCCGAGTGGCTGATGGAAACTGCTGAAAAGGCCAATACCCACGTGGAAGGCTCTGACATCTCAGATACTAGCACAGTGACCCCAGGGTCTCTGTGGGAGTTCATCCACGCTTTTGTCATTTCAAATCCTTAACGAAAATCATAGACCGAAAAAATCTTATCCTGTAAATGGAGCTGAGGGATCACCCAACCCCTCTCATTTTTAAAGATAAGAAAAGTGAGGCCTAGAATGGTTGGGCTATGTGTTAGCTGCCCAGAATGGAGAAGCTGCTGGCCCCAACTAAGCCAGGCACTATGCATTAACAGTCCATGATACATAAGGCCATCTACTAACTCATGCACATAAGGAAGGCAGAGTTTTTTGTTTTTTTGAGACAGGGTCTAGCTCTGTCTCCAGGCTGGAATGCAATGGTGCAATCACTGCTCACTGAAGCTTCAAACTCCTGGGCTCAAGCAATCTTCCTGCTTCAGCCTTCTGAGTAGCTGGGACCACAGGCGTGAACCACCACACCCAGCTAATTTCTTCTTAATTTTTAGTAAAGACAAGATCTTACTGTGTTGCCCAAGCTGGCCTCAAACTCCTGGGCTCAAGCAATATGCCCACCTCAGCTTCCCAAAATGCTGGGATTACAGGCATGAACCCCCATGTCCAGCCAAGGAAGGCAGAGTTTAAAACCATACCATGTATCAACAAAATCAAGAAGCCTCCCTTTGAATCTGTTTATCTAGCTATCTATTCAATTCAGTTGTCAGTAACTAAAATGCACTGTAAATTTTACCAATAAACATGTGGCATCTCCCACAAGTGAATACGAGGCTGACTACAAAGGAAATTGAAAAATAACTTCATGGCTGGGCGCAGTGGCTCACCCCTGTAATCCCAGCACTTTGGGAGGCCGAGGCGAGCAGACCACCTGAGGTCAGGAGTTCTAGACCAGCCTGGCCAACATGGCAAAACCCCGTCTCTACTAAAAATACAAAAATTACCTGGGTGTGGTGGCGTGCACCTGTAGTCCCAGTTACTTGGGAGGCTGAGGCAGGAGAATTGCTTGAACCCAGGAGGTGGAGGTTGCAGTGAGCTGAGATCACACCACTGTACTCCAGCCTGGGTGACAGAGCGAGACTCCGTCTCAAAAAAAATAGTCATTAAAAAAAAAAAAAAGAAAGAAAATTAACTTCATTTACTCACAAAGCATATTACTAGTTCCAAACTATACTCCAAATTATTAAAGAATGGGAATGAGAACAAATGCCCTCCAAGACCCCTTCAAGGGGTCTGCAGATGGTGGAGACAGAGAGGGCATCTGAGGAGCACATGCATCTGCTGTCACTATGATTTCGTGGCAGTCACCTATAGGTACTTGGGAACATAAACATCACACTGGCTAAGTCACTTCACGAGGATCTCCCCAGCAAAGAGCCTCAGTAAGGGTGCAGGGCGGGAAGCCCTGATCATATCAGGAAGGGAACACTCACTTTTTGTGCTTCTCTAGCCAGGCAGCACTGTCCGTCAGAAGACAGAAGTTCTCAGTGACCAGGAGGTCCAGCAGGCTGTCGTGGTCAGCCTCTGCATACAGTTTGAGCAAGGCTGTGTCGATGTCCTCCTTGTAGCCATTTGCTACCTCTGTGCTGCGGACCTCGTTCAGGTAGCTCATGAGGAAGCGTTTGCACTTGGCCATCTTCTCCTGGTCCCCCTGGGTCAGCTGGTTCAGGTCTGCGTACTCATGAAGAGGAGGGTGGGACCGGGTGAAGGAGGAGGAGGTGGGCAACAGGAAGGGGTAGAGAGAGATCAGCTCCCGGACATCAAGCTGGCCGCTTCTGCAATTACAGTGTCAAACTAAATGAAGCAAAAAGAGAGAAGAGTACACATAGGCACACAAAACAGCACTGGAGGGGAGCGCACGGTGGCACACGTTCACAGGGGGCTGGGGAGCTGGGGACAGGGTAATCATGTCAGAGCAACCGTTCTAATCTGAAGTGCAGCAAAGCACCATCCAAGTGGGTGCTGCCACCTGGCTCCAAAAAAGAACAGAAGGGACGAAGGTGAAAGACACATACAGAACTGGTGTGAGAGTGGAACACCAAAATGCCTATGATGAAGAGAATACCCAGCTGAGCCTGGAAACCAAGGCAGAAAAGCAACACCCAGGATAACACGCCATCAGAGTCTGCGCAAAGGCACCATCACAGCTCTGCTGAAACCAGCATTTTCCTGGCACTAAATTACAAACAGATTTGTTGAATGGTCCTTGAAGAAGGGACTTTATAAAAACAGTAACTTACAACTTCCTCACCAACATCTCACAACAGAAGACACAGAAATATTCATGTGGCCATTTCTGTGGGGACTCTCGTAGAATTTCAGAGCCTAACATTGTAATGCAACAAACAGTTCCTTTCCCATCTCCTCTCCGGAACCTCCTTGTCCTGGCTACAATCAGAGCAGGAGCTGTGGATCTCAAACCTGGCCCAGTGTCAGACCCAGCTGTGGAAAACCTCCTGAGGGAACAGAAGCAGGGGCCACCCCACCCCAGACACATGGAATGGCGAGGAAGGACCCAGGATCCATGCTGCCTGCGATGTTCAGAGCATCCTCCTTCATCCAAGCTCTGATCAGCTGTCCTCCTCTACTGGCTTCCACCTCTGGCTGCCCTTCCTTCCACTTCACTCAGCCTCTCCTGACCTCCAGTGATTTGTATAACCCACAGGATAAATTTCAAATCTCTTAGTATGGCATTCAAGGCCCTTCCCAAACTGATCTCAAGCTACCCTACACCTTCAGCCTCAAGCATCCCTCCCACACCCCAACACTTCTACTAGACCCACTTATGTTGCCAGTTTGTACATTTCATGACTCTCAGCCTTTGCTGTGGTTGTTTCCTGGCCTAAAGCAGTGGTTCTTGGTGAAAAGCAATTTTGTTCCCTGGGGAACATGTGGCAATGCCTGGAGACAATTTTATCATGACTGGGGCGGGGGTGTGCTATGGCATCTAGTAGGTAGAGGCCAGGGCTGCTGCCATTAAACACCCTGTAATGCACAAGACAGTAACCCCCTGCCCAAAGAATTATCTGGCTCAAAACGTCTACAGTGCCACAGCTGAGAATCCCTGACCTAAAGTACAATTCTTGATTTGAGAAATTTCTGCTCATTGTTTAAGATCCAGGACGAATCCAGGGAAGATTCCTCCACTGGCTGATGTGAGCCCATGCAACGCTCCCACAGCAGAGCAGCACCTGTGCTGCAGGAAAGGCACACATCCAGTTTCCAAGCTAGAATGGGCATGCCAGAGAAGCAGGCACTGGGTTACCCTTCCATCCATTGCTCAGATGCTCAGGCCACGTTTGCTGAATGAAAGAAGAGCTGAACCTAGCTGATACAACGACAGGGTGCAGGTGGTCTAAAGGAAGAGACACAGAGCCCACATCCCCAGGTTATGTATGATCAATTTTCTCTTAAGTTTCAACCATAACTAGCTGGTAACTGTGGCCTCCGGCACGGCACTGAGGAGTCAGAGGACGGGTCCAGTTCAACGAGGAAAAGAAAATCACAATTTATTAGCAACATTTGCTGTGAGCACAGAAAAGGAAGTGGAATCATCTTTGTCTTAGAAGTATCTTCTTCAAATATCAATTCTCAGGCTGGGCCTAGTGGCTCATGGCTGTGATCTCACCACTTTGGGAGGCTGGGGCAAGAGGATGACTTGAGGCCACGAGTTTGAGACCAGCCTGGGCAACACAATAAGATCCCATCTCTACAAAAAATAAAAGATTAGCCAGGTCCCGTGGTGGCATACACCTGAAGTCCTAGCTACTCAGGGGTCTGAGGCAGGAAGATCATTGAGCCCAGAAGGTCGAGGCTGCGGTGAGCTATGATTGCACCACTGCACTCCAGCCTGGGAGACAGAATGAGATGCTGCTTCAAAACGAAAAAAAAAAAAAAAATCCGTTCTCTCAGCCACACTTTGGACCAAAGACGAGCAGCAATTTAAAGTTAAGCCATTAAGAGAGTGAGGTGCGGAAGTACAGGAATGTCATCCTAATAACAGGCCCCACATCTATTCTCTTACAAAATCCGAGGACTCTTCTAGGAATCCATCTGTGGACAATCACCTAATGTTTCAGATTAACCCATAAGAGAAAGAAGACACCTTGGGATACACCCATGACCCCGGTGAGGAGGTCTTCAACACTGTAGGGCTAACACAAGATACGGCAGAAAAGAGCCTAGGTCCAAAGGGGCAAAAAACTGACTTAAACCCTGAAGCCACGGGTCTTTCCAAGAACAGAGAACAGCATGTAAGAGTTGTACAAGAAAAAGTTATATGGGGCATCATTATTCAAGGAATGATTCCTCCTTTACTTAGAAATCCATTCTCTACAACCGATTGTGTAACTGTAATCATTTTCAGTAATGCCATTCTTCAAATATCCAGCATAGAGTGAAAGATTAGAGCCACCGTGGATGTAAGGACGTGGCTGGTCATGGGCAGACCTCCTACAGAACAGGCAAGGGAGGCATTCTGCTCAAGTCACTACTTGGATGAAAATATCTATTCAGGGGCTTCCTATACATGTTATTTCTTAGATAGCTGTAAACTGTGCACAATCTATTCTGGAGAGACATTTTGAGAACTTACTCTAAAGGCAGTGCCTGAGTACGATATTTCAAGACTCTCATAGCAGGTCTAACTTAATCTTCTGCAAAGAGTGCTGAGCAAGGCCTGGGATGGCTAACTCCTGCCTCACTGAGCACTCAGCTGTGGGACAAGGGCAGCTGGAGGTGGCATGACAGCAAGGCGTGCCTGTAAGGCAGGTGTGGCGGGCAGGGGAAAGGGGAGAACACAATCAACAGCCCACAAGCACATCCGACAAGCACAAGAGTAATCACAGTGCCAGAAGGGACCTCCTTAAGAGAAACTCAACTTTCTGAGAGCTGACCAGGAATAGAACATTTAGAAAGTCTTTAGAGGATGACAGAAAGTTTCATAAGTCTTCCCAGAAGCACTGTCTTTTCCCCCCTGCACTAAGCTCATAGCTTCTTGTAAAAACACTGGAGAGAAGCAAGAATGAACCAAAGCACTTTCCTAGGGGTCCTTTGCGTGCTATCAGATCCGCTCTTTAGAATTTTCTCCTGGCAAAACAATCTCGATGCCTCCACAGGACTAGTGTCTGTGCCCTTTGTCTGCTCCCACTCTAAGACATAGGCCAGTTAAATTAAGGCTCCGGGTGAGGGGTGACGCTGAGGAACCAGCATTGGCGGGGTCTGCTGTCACGAGCTACCCCCACCGTATCCACCTGAAGCACAATCTAACCATGCAACACATCCCACCGCGACGTCACACCAGAAACGCAGGTTCTGGCCACAGAGGGACACTGTAGTGGCAGTCTTGCTACCAGCACCTCAAATTACCTGAAGAGCTCTTTAGCTTCCAGGAACTGAAGTTGTGCAAACTGTATAAATCCCGCCTGCTGCAGAATCCTTCTGTACATTACCTGCAAGGAAAGACGGGTGTAATCTCTTAGTGAATCTTGAAACCATCACGGCAGGGTTAAATTTGTCTAACCCTAGATAAGTGTTCGTTATAACATAGAAATGTAAAATTACAAGCTGAGGAAAAAACAAGGTGCATATGAAATTATATGTATCTGTCTCTTTATGGTTTTATTTTTGTAATTCCCCAATCTTTCCCAAATGCACGTCTTGATCTCCAATACTCCTCCTCATTAACTCACAGGGCTTCAACGAGTCCCTGTACTTGTGATTGCTGAGATGGATATCAACAACCCTGGTGTTTCTGGCAGTCCAGGAACCGCCTGGCCTTCTTCCACTCTTCTGGAATTGAACTCACAGTACCACCTTTCAGAGCATCCCTCAGAGCACAGGGCCGACTCATTTCATAATGAAACAGACAAACACCCAGGCTTTCTTAGTCAGAGATGCAGAAATGCTGCATGTTCCATCTCCTGCTGGTGACGTCCAACCCACATGAACACACCAACATCCGACACTCCTGCAATAAAGGGGCCAGTTTATCTTGTTTACTCCACTATGACCCACATTTCCATGACCACTTTGTTCTTGTTACATCCAGCAATAGCAAAATGCACATTAGGAACCTGCTGTGTGGTGTCTCTGATCCCACGCCCCACTCCGTCACCGTCCAGCATGGCTGGTGTCCTCGTCTTGCCATTGTCTATATGAAATGGCTCCTGGACATGTTTCTTCACTCTGTTCCTACAGATGCCAACACCATAGCCCAGGCTCTAATCGCCTCATGAGTAAAGACTGTGTTTTAATTACTCTCTCTGACTTTGACACCTCCTCCTTCTAACTCATCCTTCCATTTGACAGCCACACATTTTGTGAAGGCACGGCAAATACATCACTCACCTAGCGTCTCCCACTACTAGCCATGTGTCTGCCATTCAGTCGGTGCTTACTGATCAACTCTCTGATCCATTTGTATGAAACTCCACTTCCATTGTCACTCACTATCCCCATCTTACAGGTACAAAAACTCTGCCCAGAGATGCTACGTTTTTAGACCCAACTTACTAAAGTAAGAATTGTTGGACCATGATTTAAAACCAGGCCTTTCTGATTCTAGAGGCCAGATCTTTCCACTCACTGATTCCTCCAGGTACACAGCAGGCAGCTGGTGTGTTACCCACTGAAGGTACAACAGAAGTGGAACCTCGGTGTTGAAATGCTATCAACCCTGTTCTCTCAAATTACCTTTCAAAGGGCTTTCACTCAGCACCATAAGACAGGGTGGAAGAAAAAAAAGCTTTCACTACACAGTAGTTTTAAAGGACTCTCAGAAGCATAGCAACCATTCCTCACCTACTTCCAGTAGAAATCCCTTTAGAGATGTCAGACAAAGCAGGCTGCTTAAACCTTTCAGTTTTCCCTTTACCATCAGTCTTTAATTTTCTTCACTGAAACCAGCCATTTCTGACCTAAAGACCAAATCAATTATACCACCCAACAATAAGCAAAAGGGAGCAAGGCAACGTTCTGTTGCCTGGGAATGCCAGTAACATTTCTGAAAGCAGAAATACTAGAGGCCAGCCACTTAGCAAAAGGGATGCAAAGGACCCATCAGCTGCAGTAGAAGAATTCTCAATCACACCCAGGCTTGTTGAGGAGAAATCAGAACGGCAATTTATTCCTTATGGCGGTAGGATTCAAATGGCATCCGCTCTTCCTCTATCTGCAGGGAAATGGAAATTACTCCTGTGGACATTCCAAATCTCCAAGAATAAGGGGTTATTTTCTATAATCTAGTCTGGGAATGCTACATGCACACTTGGAAGGGGAATGCAAAGAGGTTCTTCATCCTGGATGTAAGCATCATGGATGCTGAAGCCCAGGATGATACAGAGAACACCGTCAGATTCCACCTAAAAATGCCTGATCAGAAATTTTACCAAGCATGGCCAATTCTTGGTTCTCTGAAGGTGACGGTCTCATTTCCAAACTGTCTACTACGATCAATGCCTCCTCCTGCCCTCTGCTCAGATGATCCTGAGCTATAAAACCTGGAGCCAGGTAGGCTGTCAGGGAAAAGACGAAAAGGATGAGTACATACGAAGGACAGAGAACAAGAAAGTCCATTTATCTCCAGAGCTAACTCATCAGTGGATGCTCCAAGTTTCTTTTTTCATTATCAGCTCATCCTTCATTATAAGGCAGTGGTGCAAATTGCCAGGTGAAGAGAGTAAGTCAGCAAACTAGCCCTCTAAGGAGCCACTCTATGTCTACTCTGTACAGAGGCTACAGGCCAAACACCTGGCTTCCGGCAGGCTTAAGAGGCTGCATGGATTCTGGAAGCAAGTTGAAACTGAAGTCAAAATCCTTATTATCAGTATTATATTTCTGAACTGAGATTTCTAACATTTGTGATTTGGGGAATTGAAAGAAGATTCTAATCTAAAGACTTCTAAACCTGTTTCCAAGGCTGCATTGTCCAAGTTAAACATAACACAAGCGCTTCTGGAGAGAACAGTTCTTCTAAGCACTTAATTCAAAGGGCAGCTTCTCTCATGGCTCTTTACTATGCACTGCCTAACAAAATACACCTTTCTAACTAATGGAATGCTACTCAGTCTTAAAAAGGAAGGGAGTTCCAACACAGGCTGCAACACAGATGAACGTTGAGGACAACGTGCTCAGTGAAGTCAGCCAGTCACAAGACAAATACTGTATGATTCCCCGGATGCGAGGTCCCTAGTGCAGTCAGATTCATAGAGACAGAAAGCAGAATGGGGGCTGCCAAGGGCTGGTGGGGGTGTAGGGTGGGGAGGTGGGGAGTTAGTGTTCGGTAGCACAGCGTTTCTGCCTGGGAAGATGAAAGGTCTGGAGATGGTGGGTGGTGACGGCTGCACAGCATGGTGAATACACTCAATGCCACAGAACTACACACTTAAAAATAGTTAAAATGGTAAAATTTATGTTATGTATATTTTACCACATTACAAAAAAAATAACTTCTCCAGGTAGATTTTTTTCCTTTACTGAATTTTGGTAGTAGCCAAAGGCTTCTCATGTCTGTGGTGATCTGTGGTGGAGGCTGAGGTGAAACGCTCTAAAATCAGAATGTGTGGGTCTGAGTGCAGGCTCTGCTTGTCATTAGCTGTGTGGCCCTGGGTGGGTTATTCTATCCCTCCACGCTGCATCTTCATCTTTATACAGGGAGCAGAACCGTGCAACCTCAGAGTTGGGGTGAGGATTAAGAGAGTGCAGCTGGGTGTGGCCGTCACAACAGTGCCTGGCATGCAGTAAGCACACAATAAATGTTGTCTGTCTCTTCAGGCTGAGTCTGTAATTAGCACTCCTAACTAATCCCAGGCTTTAACTTTTTCCATCACCTTCCAGGTCTATCTGCTTGATTCTGTCACATCTCTGTGAGTAATGGAGGGAGGTGGATAAATCCTTTTTTAATGAAAGAAAGACTTGAAGAAAATCAGATTTTAAAAGGAAACTTCCTACAAGCACCTGGAACAACCACACGATGGCAGCACCGACACCTTCACGTGACAAAAGCCAGTTCCTCAAACATGGGGCCTCAGGTGGCTACACCAACTCCTAGGCCAAATGTGATACAAAAACGCATCAAGTGGTGAGGCGTGGATAAGGAATATAATGGAGTCATTTACTGCAACTCAGAAAGATATTTTCTTTCAAGTCTGTAAAAACTGGGTAGGTCAAATGTGAGCTCAGACTAGAATATTTTTCACAGCTATAGTAAGAATTTTTTGAGAAAGATGACAACCACAACCAAATGAGTCTGCAAATATCACAGCAGGACACACACCATGTAAACCCTGGAGCTGAGGGAAGATGAACAGGCACACGGGGACGACACAGACCCCTGAGCCAGTGCACCCCTGAGCCAGTGCTGAGGACAGCACGAGCAGGCTGCCTCTCCCCTTCCTGAGCTCTCGGCTCTCCAGGGCTCTCGGCTATGGCTAATTCAGGGACAGGATGGGGCTAAGAGGCAGTGGGTCACCCTGGCTAGATTATACGATCAACTGCAGACCTGGAGAAGGGAAACTGGCAAACACAGTTGTTGCCAGCCAGCTACCAAAGCGCAGAGGACAGTCTACTCCTGGCATGGGGCAGACCACTGAGATTTATGTTATAATGCCCCATAACATGGAGAATATAACAGGAATATATGAGACATAAGTATCATTCTTGTAAGTACAGCTAAATTCTAAACAAAAATTGGCATGAGTGTTACCATTTTAACTATATTCATACCAACCCCTTTTTTTAACTTATTAAAAAACCATGTAAGTTATTGTCTAAACAGAAACATCTTTCCCGAAATATATTAGGTGGAACATGAGGACCATGGCATTCTCCTTGTTAAAAAGGCAATGTGTCCTGATTGAATAAATTTGTAAACAGGTGTGCATGTATATGTGTATATATATCCCTTTGTGAGGGTGCACAGAAAGACAATAAAAATATAATAATATATGATATATACCCTCTTGGGGAATCACAATAAGTGTTAGAATATTAGAGGCTCTGAAAAAACCTTCAATTAAGAAGCCCAATTAACTTAGCCTTCCAAAATAGAATCTTCTTCCCACCCTGCACCTGTTACTGTCCCTGCACATGTGTTTGGTGAAACAAACTGGAAAGCCTTGATTCAGAAGGAAGCCTGCAATGGACACATTCAAAGCACAAAAGGTGGTCAATTCCAAACATGGGAATGGGGAAGGGACGCAGCGAGGTGGTGGCAAGAAAAGAGGGAGAGCACACATAAGCAAAATTTACAAAAAAAAAAGTGGGGGGGTGCCAAACTCTCTTGGGAAGGATATACACAAAAAATTGCAACACTGGTGACTTAGAGAGAAAAATGATGTGCTAAGGAAGAAAAAGGGACTTGCCATTTGATTTTTCTTTTAACCACATGCATGTATTTTTTTCTCCTGTACTTTTCAAAATTCCTAAGTAATATATTCAATATGGCTCAAATTTTGAGGCATTGAAAACGGATACAGTGAGCCCTCTCATTCCTGTCCCTGCCAGCAGATGCCCTCCAGAAGGAATCAGTGCTATTAATTTCTTGGGTAGCCTTCCAGAGATATGTTATGTATTGAGGAGCAAATACTTTTATGCCATTTTAATAGTGGTAGCATGTTATGCAGGCTCACTTGCACTCTGTGTAACTTGTTCTACCTTAATGCTATGTGTTAAGCCCTACAGGCCTCGAAACTCTTCCTGGCTGCACAGCGCTGCAGCACCCCTCTGGGCCATAATACATTTAATCATGCCCCACTGGCAGCCTCTAGGTGTTGTGGTTGTTGCTTTTTAACAAACAATAATCGAGTGAAAAGTTTTCTACATTTGTTATTTCGAATTTCAGTGATCAGATCTGTAAAATACACTTCTGAGTATAGAATTGTAAGTTTTAATGTTGACAGATATTCTTGAATTGCCCTCCCAAGAGGCTGTATCAATTTAAATTATTACAGGACACCTGAAAGTGTCCATTTCCCCACTTTCACCAATACGGTATTATCAAACTCTCTGATCTCTGATAATCTAAGGAATGAAAAATGTATTGGTGTATTCTTATTGTGCATACCGCTATATGAGACAAAAAGCATCTTTTCATACATTTATTAGATAGGCAATTCTTTTTTTGTTGTTGTTGAGACAGTCTTGCTCTGTTGCCCAGGCTGGAGTCCAGTGGTGCAGTGGCACAATCTTGGCTCACTACAACCTCCGCCTCACGGGTTCAAGTGATTCTTGTGCCACAGCCTCCTGCGTAGCTGGAATTACAGGTGCATGCCATCATGCTCAACTAATTTTTGTATTTTTAGTAGAGATGGGGTTTCACCATGCTGGTCAGGCTGGTCTGGAACTCATGACCTCAAGTGATCCTCCTGTCTCAGCCTCCCAAAGTGCTGGGATTAGAGGCGTGAGTCGCTGCACCTGGCCAGCAATTTCATTTTCTATAAAATGTGTTCATATTCATTTTTCTATTGGGCTATTCATATTTCTTTCATATAGCCCAAGGAATTCTTCAGATATTAGAGAAATTAGCCCTCTTTTTGTGCTGCAAACTATAAATATTTTTCCTAATGTGCTATTTTTCTTGAATTTGTTTATAGGTTTTGCCATGCAGGATGTGTATATGAGAGAAAGACAGAGAGAGAGAAAGAGAGAGAAAGAGAGAAACAGAGAGACAGTGTGTGTGTGTGTGTGTGTGTGTGTGTGTGTGTGTGTGTGTGAATTTAAGTTTTCTTTGTGGATTCTGGGTTTTCAAATAAATTATTTTAAAATGTTCCAAAACCAGCTGGGCAAGGTGGCTCACACCTGTAGTCCTAGCACTTTGGGAGGCCAGGATCGGCAGATCACCTGAGGTCAGGAGTTCGAGACCAGCCTAGCCAACATGGTGAAACCTCATCTCTACTGAAAATACAAAAAATTAGCCAGGTGTCATGGCACGTGCCTGTAATCCCAACTACTCGGGAGGCTGAGGCAGGAGAATCCCTTGAACGCGGGAGGTGGAGGTTGCAGTGATTGCGAGATTGCGCCACTGCACTCCAGCCTGGGTGACAGAGAGAGACTCCAACTCAAAAAAATAAATCAATAAAATTTTCTAAAACCAAGGTATCTGGGAAGGTGGTGGCTGTTACGGACGGAATGCTTGTGTCTGTGTCTCCCTAAAATTCCTATGTTGAAACTATTCCCCTGAGGGTATTAGGAGGTGTAGTCTTGGGGAGGTAATTAGGATTACATGAGGTCATGAGGGTGGAGCCCTCATGAATGGGATCTGAGTAGTGCCCTTATACTAATCCTGAGAGAGCTTGCTTCTGTCTCTGCCACGTGAAGACAGAGAAGACAACCATCATGAATCAGGAAGCTGGCCATCCCCAGACTCCAAACGTACAGACACCTGGATCTTGGCCTCCAGAACTGAGAAATAAATGTTCCTTGTTGAGGTCACCCAGTTTACAGTATTCTGTTCCAGCAATCTGAGATGACTAAGAAAGTAGAGGTGTAGTTTTTTAATCTCTCAGTCTCCTCTGAAAAGAGAGAGAATGATTGGTTCATAACAGCACTACTCACCACAGCCTAAGGTGGTAGCAACTTATTCATCGACAGATGAATAAGTAAACAAAATGTGGTAGGTACATACAATGGAATATTATTCGGCCTTAAAAAGGAAGAAGATTCTTCCATGCTGCAACATGGATGAAGCCTGAGGACATTATGCTAAGAGAAATAAGCCAGTCACAGAAGGACAAATATTGTATGACTTCACTTATGTGAGATTCCTAGAGTAGTCAAATTCATAGAGACAGAAGTGGAAGTGGGGATTGCCTGGGCCGGGTGCGGAGGGAATGGGTGGGCATACAGTGGGAAGTGGGAGGTGATTTTGCAGGCTCCAGTTTGCCATGTGTGCCAACATGGAGAAATTTGACATAAAAGAAATTTGTATGCTTTGAGCCTCTAAGCAAAAAGATCAAGTCACTACAAGGGAAAGAAATCCAGATTGTCATCAGATTTTTCACTGCAATTCTATCATGGTAGAACATATTTAAGTTCCTCACTGAAAGATGAGTGGAGGATTTTGTCTCCAGCCAAACTGGCCCTCAAGTATAAAGGCTGCAATGAACTGTCACTGTCATCAACAAGCACAAACTCAAGAGACAGTGTCCCCATATTCCCATTGTGAAATATCTACCATAGGACTGCTTTAGAAAACCAAAATGACTGGAAAGACATCAACAGAAAATTCAATGGTGAGCATTCCACACATATTTGTCCACAGAACTAAGAAACCAAATAGCATGTGGAAGGCTCGATGCTCTGAAAAAGTACAGACAATATAACCATCAAAAAATAGGGAAGAATGAGAGATTATACAAAAAAGACAAGATGCTTGCTGACTGCCTTCCGGGTATCAGCTGGGAATTGAGGGCTATTCCTCCAAAGCAGATGCTGAGGAACACAGGGGAAGAGTGACGAAGATGTTACTGGCTAATTTCAAACACAGCTCCAAGTGGGGAAGCAACAGACAATAGAAACCCTCCCAAAAAAGAGAACATAAAGGAATTTTATAAGATGAATAATATCAAGGTAATCATTAAAACAAAAAATACAACACAAACATTCACATCAAAAGGCAGAGAAGAAGGGAGGCAGAGAGAGAGACACAGAGGGACAGTGGGAAGGGAAAGAAAGAACGAGGCGGGTAGAAAGGTGGGAGGGGGAGAGGGAGAAGGAGGGAGAGAGAGAGAGAAAGAATATATGCAAATAAAACAGACCAGACAGTAAAAGGGGGGAGGCAGTGAACAGAGTGAAGGAGAGAAACTGAGTTTAGACTTCTTTGAATATACTTTGTTTTACTGATTTGACTTTTGAGCTATGTAAATATTTTATAAAATTATAAAACAAATTAAATTTTAAAAAGCAATCCCCAAAAAACCAAAAGTCAAATGAAACAAATGAACCTAACTACATATGTAAGAGTTGGTGGCAGAACCACACAGAGGAGAACTATCCCATGTGACATTAAAACAGTAATTTGAGTGTACAGGCTAGCGAGATTTTTCCCTAAGGATTAAAAAAAAAAAGCAAAAACATTCACTGGACGAGTTTGGAAATATGAGCACTGACCAGATACCCAGCACACAAAGGAATCAGTGCTGATATGGGGGAATGACGACAATGGTACTGCGGTTACATTTCAAAGGGGGCATCCGTGCTTTTAGAGACATGTATTGAAATGTTTTTAGATGAAATGGAAAAAAAAATCTATCGGAGCCCAAGCTTAAATATAAACACCATCCATATTATGTGACAGAAATCAGGTAATATTTTGTGTGTGTGACACAAATCTTTGTCTATAAAGCAAGATGTCCCTTTACTGTCTCTTATTTTAAATACAGCATTCTAAACTGTAATATAATTTAAGGCTTGCTTTCTAAAGTTCTGAACAACCCTTTTGGATCTCCTGAAGAAACGATCCTTAATCCCAGCCCCACAGTCAAACTTCTTGACAAACCCCTTGCTAATTCAGAACTCAGAGAAGCGAAACCAGCCCTTGCTTTAAATGAAGGGAAAGGAGTGCAATGGTGAAGAAGTCTACTGAGCTCAAGCTTCTCATCCTCTCCCTTCCTGGTTTCTCTAAGCTTAGGGTCTAGCATGTGGTCACAAACACTCTAAGACTAAAAGAAGCAATGTAGTTAACCATATGAGCTGAATATAATCCTTTAAAACATACACATTTATGAAAAGTCATTTCTAAACCTTTTTTTTGCATCAATATTGTTTTATTGTTTAAGGTTTCTATTTCAAACAAAAACCCCGTGCTGCCAATCCATTATATCACAGCTCTGCTGGAAGGCCAGTTGGAAGCTCTGAATTACTCATTCATTCTTTCCTTGGTATTAAAAGGGAAGAACCTACCCAGGACCTAGGGGAGGGAGAAGTATGGCGCTGAGGGGTGACATGATAAATGGTATGGGCCACAAATCGCAGGTGCATGAGGTAAGAAGTCTTTAGCTCTGCCCAGAGGAAAGGGAAGGCTTAGTGAAGAGGAGATATTTATGCGAGGTATCAAAACTATTTTTTCGAGTAGAGAAGTACCCTCCAGTAATTGCAGGGTAAAGGGCCCTGTGGGAAGCGCCAGCCTGACTTAGCCAGCCTGATGCCCAGAGGCATGGCTGATCTGCCATGTCTTGTCTGTGAAATGAGGACAATTGTACCAGTCATTACCGAATTCTTTTGAGGGTTAAAACAACAAATGTTTTTAAATGCCTTGAAGCGTTCCTGACATACTATCCGGCTCACTGGTTGTTTGTTCTCTTTGTCTTCCACCCTTTGAGGCAGAAATGTAGAATGTAGGCATGTGCTTCATAGGAGTGAGGGTGTGTGTGTGTGTGTGTGTGTGTGTGTGTAAAAGACAAGGAGGCCACAGAAGAGGGTGGGGTCAGCCATGCTTCAAGGTTGTGGACTTGACCTGGGCAACGAGATGCCCCCTAAAGTATTTTAAGCAAAGGACTCGGTCCGTAATGGAAAAAGATCATTTCCATATAGTTGCATGGATGATGGACTGCAATCACACAAGGAGGCTGTTAAAAACGTGGGCAAAAGTGAGCATGGTCTGAATACCAGCAGTAACAGTGGGAACTGAGAATAATGGGTGAACTCGAGATAATTCTGAAGGTGTATTTCCAGGGCTGGAGATAGGAGCTTGCAGTAATACAGGGAGAAGCGGGAAGCAGGTTAGAAAAGAAACAAACAAACAAAAAAACCCTGAGATACCAGATTGGAGAACAAGATGACTAATATTTTCTAATACTGACTGTGTAGCTCTACCCTGGCAAAAAGCATAGGGAAGAAAAGAGCAAAAATCAGATACACAGCATTGAAAGCCTCTGTAAGAAAATGCTACACGCTTAAAATGTGCACATGGTGTGTGTGCAAGAAGGGAATACTCCACAGTGGCAGCTGGAAAACCTTGGAATGTGGCCCCCCTGGACTTCCACACATCCACCGAGAGCAGCTTGCAGGAGAGGAGAAGGGGCTGAGAGCACATGCGGCAGTGGCAGGCCTGGGACTGGCGATCTGCCTCTGGTCTGCACCCTCCCCTCCAGGGCACAAGAAGCTCAGCAGCTTTCTTCTTTTTGCCTTTGCTGCCCCCTGCTGAATGCTAGTAGATCAGTCTTACTCAAAAGTTAGCAACAAAGATGAAAACTTTATCAACGTTTAAATGTAGAAAAGAGGTCCTGCTCACCTTCACAGCCCACAACCATAAATCACACAACCTGTCTTCTTTCATTTTCAGAATCTACCCTTTTCTGCATAAAGCACCTGAGGCCAAAGAACATATCATTCCACAACAATTACACTGTCTTCTCTAAAATCTGACCAATATTAAGAACTTTTTCATTATTAATTTAGATATTCATACAAAGCACACATACATAGCAATATTATGTTTTGTTCCCCTCAAATATGGAATAACCTGTACAACCTAATAACTCATCAAGTAACAGTTTTTAGGAGACCCGATTTATATCAATTGCATTTATTATACCAAATTATATTTAAAATGAGTGTTTCTTAAGTGCATTAAAAATGTTCTCCTGGCCGGGCACGGTGGCTCACGCCTGTAATCTCAGCACTTTGGGAGGCGGAGGCGGGTGGATCACGAGGTCAAGGGATCGAGACCATCCTGGCCAACATGGTGAAACCCCATCTCTATTAAAAATACAAAAATTTGCTGGGTGTGGTGGCGGGCGCCTGTATTCCCAGCTACTCGGGAGGCTGAGGCAGGAGAATCGCTTGAACTCGGGAGGCAGAGGTTGCAGTGAGCCGAGATCGCGTCACTGCACTCCAGCCTGTCGACAGAGCGAGACTCCATCTCAAAAAAAAAAAAAAAAAAAAAAAGTTCTCCTAAGGAAATCAACTAGATGGGGTTCCTACAATACCAATTTAGTTAGCAAAATGGTTATCAATATGTTTAGTAAAGCTTTTCCTACAGATGATAGAAATCTAAACTTTAATTCAACCCCTTCCTGACAAATACAAATTCTAAATTCAGAGACAAATTAACCTGACCTCACTCTTTTGCTTTATAAGAACTATGTTATTGATCCTTCTCTGAAGGTCCACGGAAGAGGAAAGTTGATTAGAAATACAAGCCTATATCTAAAATAGCAGAATTAAGTCACAAGTTAGAAGCCTGACTTCTCCACTCTTGGCAGTGCCTTCTCAGTCACAAGCTGTTTGACCGCCCTAAAGCCTGTTTCCTTATCTACACAATATGTATTTGTTGAGAAAATTAAACAACAGATATAAAAGCAGTGTGTACAGCCCGGTACACAGGAAGGGCCGATGCATGTTAGTTAAATCTGAATGTCCTCTAACTGGTGACTTAGAGGCATATTTCTGTGACCAGTTAATTACAAACCTGAAATTTTTCCTTTGGAATGTTCCTCCGGGCTCCTTTTGCTAAAACCAAAGCCTCTTCTACTCTGCGGCTTGCTAGAAGATCCTGTATTTGTTTTTCCAAAGGTAATGGAACCAAGATGTAAACTCCTTTACTTGTGGCAACGATCACTCTTCCTGTGAAGAAATTCAGCATTGTTGGAAAGAGAAAAAACACACTGCCTGCAAAAAAACACACTGCTTTCCCCAAACTGGATCATTACCTGATTTGTTCAACAACTTCACCATAGTTTTCTCAAAGGAATTCCTACAAAAATTATAAATTATAATGCTTTTCTTTTTCCCACACTGTCAACTGTCAGAAAAGGGCAAACTCTTACTATGACATTTCCAAAGAATAATATCTTGCTTTCTTTTTTTGCCTTTTTTTTTTTTTTTTTTTTTTTTTTTACTGAGAAATGCTGGTAAATGTAAAATCAGTGTAGTAAACGCATAATACATAGTCCAGTGAAGATGCAGAGTTCAATCAGGGAACATTATCAATAAGAATACACAACATTTTTAAAACATTCTTTTCCCTCCAAGTTAGTTTATATAAAATTAAAATTTTAATGTGATATTTTGAAGCATGAGATAATATTTCATGCTCATCTGCCAACCAAAAATACCTCCAAAGTCTTGCCATTAATGTATTCATCTCCCCACAATCCTGCAAGTTAACCTGGCCCATGGTCAACACTGCCATCCTCATTTTACCTGTGAGCCCCTCCACAGGTAGTCTGTGGAAGAGTCAGAACTGCAGTCCAAGACTAGCTCCTACTACTAAGCTTCCAGATTAAAACTGGCTCCCTTCTGCAGAAACTTTCAGCTAAGCACCACCTGTTCATAGGAAACAATCTAACTCTTTCTGTCTTCTGTATCACAACTAAGGCAGTTTTTCTCATTCTCAAATGACATTCTGTCCCTGCTCTGCCTGGAGTCACTTTTCCCAGGAAGCCTCCCTGTGTTCTCACCCTGGGCCTGTTACATCATCCTTCTCTGTGTGTCCACCACACCCTGAGCCCGACTCTACCACTCAACAGGCACCGCACCACAACACTGCTCTGTGTGTGACCCCAGCGCATGCGCCAGAGCCCCACCGGAATTAGCCCACTTAATGGCAGGAACTGTGAGTCTTCTTATCTCCTATAAGCATCTATAAGACAGCACTTGGCACAGCAAGGGTAATGTTTGGTGAACAAAAACCCTTAAGTGGCAAATGCGATGCATAAATCTAGATTCGTTCCTGGTTGGAAGAAAATATGATAAAAGCCATTCTTAGGTCAACTGGGGAAATCTGAATATTGGCAGGACATGAGATGGTATTGTAAATTAATGTGAATTTTTTTCAGGTGTGAAAATGGCATTGTGGTTTTGTAGGAAAATGCCCTTATTCTTGGGAGATATGTGTGGAAGAATTTTGGGATTAAATATCATGATATCTTCCTCGTACTTTCAAATGGCTCAGCAAAATGTTAACAAGCGTTGAATCTAGGTGAAAGGTTTCTGGTGGTTTACTTTGTCTCTCTTACCACTTTTCGGTCTGCTTCAAAGTGTTCAAAATAAAACTGAAGAAAAGTAGAGTAAATCCTTCAAGTGGCTCACCATACACACGAAATGAAGTCCCTCCTGCCTCCGCCACCCTGACTACCCTGGTCTGCTGCAGCCTCAGCTCACGCTGCCCCTTCAAACACACCATGCACTACAGTCACAGTGAGCTGCTTGAGTGGCCTGAAGCCCATAGTACCCTCTTGAACAGATTCGCATACACCTTTCTCTCTACCAGAAGGTTCTTACACACAACATCTGCTTGGCTGACTCCTATGCATCCTTAAAGGTTTGGCTAAAACAGCACCTCCTTCAGGAAGCCCTCCCTGATATCTCTAGGAAATACTTTCTCCTCTGCTCTCACAATGGGCCTTATTCCATCGTGATCAAGCTTTTATACTGCCATAGCTATTTGTTTAAATGTCTGTCTCCCCACTAACTGTGCAGCCCCTGAAGCACAGAGACTGTATTGGAGTCATCTGTGTATCTTTTATGCTTAGCGCAAGGCCCAGTTCCTAAATGATATTTACCGAAGAAATATCATAAAAGAGTTAAGTAAATTTCACTAAGACTTCTATGTGAATGAGTACCTTCAAAGTCCTGTAGGATATGGCCCTCCTTAAAGGGCAGCGTCTGCTTCTGTTGCTGATCCAACATGCTGTGGACTGTGATGAATTCGTCATCGAGCGCTATGACGTATGGAAAGGACACAGCCGCCCCAATCACATTCTCCGACCAGTGCACGGGGGCGCGCTGGGATATCCCTGCGACTGTGGCAAACATGCCTAGAAGTAAGAAGAAAGAGTTAGGTAGGCTTCCAAATAAGCATGGTGTCATTTTCCTGTAGCTATGTCTGGATGCAGACCGACCCCTGCCCACCAGCAATTTTCCTGTACAGTCTTATATTTCAAGGAAGGAAAAACAATATAATATGCTGTATGTGTGAAGAGCCCTACAGGAATTTATTTCTGTGAAGAGAACTACCTTACCCAGAATGTATATCTGATATTTACTTCCAATTAAAAATGAAGTTGTAATAATATTACCACAAACTTAGCAAAATAAAAAATAAAATAGGCCGGACGTGGTGGCTCACACCTGTAATCCCAACATGTTGGGAGACAGAGGCGGGCAGATGGTGCTTGAGCTCAGGAGTTCAAGACTAGCCTGGGCAACATGGCAAAACCTCACCCTTACAAAAAATATAAAAATTAGCCAGGTGTGGTGGTGCACATCTGTAGTCCCAGCTACTCGGGAGGCTAAGGTGGAAAGATCACTTGAGCCCTGAAGGTCAAGGCTGCAGTGAGCCGTGATCACGCCACTGTACTCCAGCCTGGGCGACAGAGTGAGAACCTGTCTAAAAATAAGTAAGTAAAATAAAATAAAAATGAGGTTAAAAATACATTTCCATATAAGCCACATGAAGATTGACAAAGCATGTGTCCTCACGTGAGGACAAAGTGACTTTCAAATAGGGCGTAATCCTGAGGATTCTGCTGAATTTCTGCTCAAGTAACATGCTCTAGACAGCACAGCTCTCATGGTCACATGGACACCAATAACATCGCCCAGCCTCACCCTGGAGGTCAAAGAGGGTCACTGCATTTACCTGCTTAAGGCTGAACATCGCCCAACCAGAGAACTATGCAGCACAGAGGCCCTGATGAATGTTTTTAAAATAAAAAGGGCAAGGACCTGGGGCAGTGGTGCGTGTCTATAATCCCAGCTACTTGGGAGGCTGACACAGGAAGATTGCTTGAGCCCAGAAGTTCAAAACCAGCCTGGGCAACATAGTGAGACCCCACCTCAAAATAAATAAATAAAGGGCAAAGGATGAGGAGTCAGTAACAAAGGCATCCACGCAAAAAGCAAAGCAAAGCTTTCACTAGAATAAAAAAGCAAGCAGTAACTGGCAAAAGAGGAGTCCAGGACAAGCACTAGGAGAAGCCTCGAAGCCCCACTTGGGAACAGAGGGGACTGTGATCAACACCCACAAACTAATTCTATTCTTGCCAAATAGGTGATAAAGTCTATTGTTTCTGTAGTGCTGCAGGAGTGCAACTGCTGTCAACAGGCACATGTAACAAATGTGTAAATGGCACACCTTTTAAAACCATTATTTTCAATCGTGTACCCTTTATGTTTCATCCACCCCCTTATCTAAGCTGGGAGAAGGAGAGGGAACCATGTGTGGTGAAGAGTAGCTGAATTATTTACCTTCTTCAAGAAGCACTGTCATAGGACAGGGTTTAAGACTATAAACCTCTGGTTTAAAGTCTGGTGGTTACTATGCTGAAGATAGAATCTGTATATAGGTACTGTGTGATAGGCGTTACAAGTAATCTTTCAATTTGCTTATAATTGTGCCAGTTACAAGCAGAACAAAACTTAAGAAGGTTGGTTCATTTAGCCAGATGCCCATGTAGCTGAGACACAGTGCATCATAAAGATTATTGACTATTATTTCCCATCAATCCTAACACTACAACCAACATAGGATAATGGAGTAAAATCTTTTTTTTTTTTTTTTTTTTCCGAGACAGTCTCGCTCTGTTGCCCAGGCTGGAGTGCAGTGGCACCATCTCGGCTCACTGCAACCTCTGCCTCCCGGGTTCAAGCGATTCTCCTGCCTCAGGCTCCTGAGTAGCTGGGATTACAGACATGCACCACCATGCCTGGCTAATTTTTGTATTGTTAGTAGAGACGGGGTTTCGCCACGTTGGCCAGGCTGGTCTCGAACTCCTGACCTCAGGTGATCTGCCTGCCTCGGCCTCCTGAAGTGTTGGGATTACTGGCATGAGCCACTGCGCCCAGCCTATCAAATCTTTATAACTAAAACAGTTAGGTATTGGCACGTGAATAGGCAAATGAACTGACAGAATAAAACAGAAAATCCAGAGACAGACCCAATACATTAGGAAATTTAGTGTACATTAAAGGCCATCATCAGTGAGGAAAAGATAGACTCTTTAATCAGTTTGTTAGGATAACTGGACAGCTATATAAAAAAGATAAAATTGAGGTTGGCCGCAGTGGCTCACACCTGTAACCTCAACACTTTGGGAGGCCAAGGCAGGCAGATCACTCCAGTCCAGGAGTTCAAGACCAGCCTGGGCCATGTGGTGAAACCCGGTTGCTACAAAAACTACAAAAATTAGCCAGCCTTGGTGGCGGGTACTATTCCCCAGCTACTAAGGGGAATGAGGCAGGAAGATCACTTGAACCGGGGAGGCGGAGGTTGCAGTGAACTGAGATTGTGCCACTGCACTCTGGCCTTGGTGACAGAGAAATACCCTGTCTCAAAAATAAATAAATAAATAAATAATTTAAAGAGATAAAATTGAATGTATTCCTTACACTCTTCAGTATAAGAAATGAAACTGGTCAGGTGCGATGGCTCAGGCCTGTAAGCCCAGCACTTTGGGAGGCTGAGGCGGGTGGATCACTTGAGGTCAGGAGTTTGAGACCAGCCTGGCCAACATGCTGAAACCCTGTCTCTACAAAAAAATACAAAAAATTAGCCAGGAATGATGGCACCCACCTGTAATCCCAGCTACTAGGGAGGGTAAGGCAGCAGAATCATTTGAACCCGGGAGGTGGAGGTTGCAGTGAGCCGAGATTGTGCCACTGCACTCCAGCTTGGGCAACAGAGCTAGACTCTCTCAAAAAAAAGAAAAAAAACCACACAGGTACTAGAAGAAAACACAGGTGAATTTGTCTTTAACCTGGAAGACAGAGAAATCTTCCTAATTATGACTCAAACTCAAGAAGCAATACCTGAAAATATTGATACATTTGATTATACAGAATTTTCTTTTTCTTTTTGAGATGGGGTCTTGGTGTGTTGCACAGGCTGGAGTGTAGTGCCTAGTCACAGGCACAATTACAGAGCAACACAGCCTCCAACTCCTGGGCTCAAGCGGTCCTCCTGCCTCAGCTTCCTGTGGCTGGGACCACAAGCACATGCCACCACACCTGGTGAGATCATATCGAAATTTTTCAAAAAGCTTTTTCACGGTAAAATATGGAAACAAATACCTGAAACTTATATAACAGAGAAGTTGGTATCTCAAACATATAAAGAATACTAAAAAAAAAAAAAAAAAAAAGGCCTAGAGATAAGAAGAGATAATTCCCATCGGAAGAAATGTAAATGGCTTTTAAACGTGAAAAATGTTCAACCATGCACATAAACAAGAGAAATGGAAATTAAAACTACACTGAAAAACCATTTCTCATGTACTAGACTGGCAAAAACACACAAGTTTGGACAACATCCTCTGTTGGCAAAGCTGGAGGGAAACAGGTACTTTCATAGGTTGCTGGGGAAAAATAAAATGGTGCAACCTTTATCAAGGGAGACTATCGCAATACCTCACATTTATACTTTGACTCTGCTATCTCATCTCTAGAAAGCTTTCCAACAGATACACTGAAAACACACACACATACACACAAATATAAGTCCCCAGGAATAGCTAAAGACTGAAAAAGACCCCAAATGTCCATCAATAGATGGAACGCATTATGGTACCTCCACACAGCAGAATAGTGCGCAGCTATAAAATGAAGGAGGAATACCTCTACACTCTGAAGTGATCACTTTAGTATATTAAGTAAAAAAAAAAGCAAGGTGAGGAAAAGTACTCTACCATTTAGCCAAGGAGGAGATACAAATATTTACATATTTATGTTGTATTTTAAAATGAAAGAATAAACCCTAAAAATAAAGGTTACCTATGGGAGAGGGAGACTTGGTAAAAAGCTAGCTGTGAGCTTAGACCTCTTTGACGATATCTTGCTGTATCCGTCTGTCTTGGAACTTTGTAAACATTTATATAATAAAAAACACACCAAAGCAACTTCTAAAAATCAAAAGTAAAATGAAACAAACAAATCTAACTATAAATCTAGTTGATGGCATAACCACACAGAGGAGAACTACTCCAAGTGACTTTAAAACACAGTAATTTGACTAGATTTCTAATACCCTAAGGACAGAAAGAACCACAAACCATCAGAGTTTCCAATAATTATACTGTGGGAGCGGTAGTGCTGGTCCTGTTACTCTGTTGTATGTACTGTGGGATAAATCAAAGGAGTAATTATGTTGAGGTAGTAGAGAAGTCAGATCTTTGGTGTGGTTGAAAGGAGATACAGGTACAATGATGGATTGGTTCTATCAACATGATTTCACAATGAAATTATCTTTACAAACATATACTTTACCCAGGTGCAGTAGTGCACGCCTATAGTCCCAGCTACCTGGGAAGCTGAGGCGAGAGGCTTGCTTGAGCCCAGGAGTTCAAGGCCAGCCTCGGCAACATAGCAAGACCTCGTTTCTAAAAGAATAAAATAAAATAAAAAAGACATACTTCCCAGCACTGTCTACTGAAAGAAGGGCCTAGAAACAATGAGCAGTAAGCACCTCTGGCTCCCAGACTGTGGTCTGTAAACATCAGGGCTTTTTGGAGAAATGGCTGAAACCAGACCCAGGGCAAGAAATGTACGAGGTGATCTAGGAATATCCTGAAACTCAAGGAAGCAATCAGATTTCTAGTGGCATGAAAAAGGGACTGACAAGTCCACCTGAATAAACTCCCACCAGGCATGGATGAAACCAAGCACATCACATACATTTGCGTCCACGAGTTTATAATGATACTTTTCAGAAAGCCATTTCTGTAAGACAGAAGAGATCCCCATATTGAAAACTGAGTAACTGAATTGATCTGGGCAGTAACTGTCAACAGCTGCTAACATTACAGAGCGATGAAGGCATTATGCAACCTTGACAGAGGTACTCCACCACTAGGAAGTGGTCTTGCCTCCCCACAAAACAAGCAAATTTTTAAAAACCCTGAATCTCCTAATTACTATTTGAAGAAAACACAGAGGTCAGAGAGGCATGTTAAACAATACTATGGGAATGAAATCATTAAAATCCAGATTGTGGGACACCATACATGAAACCATCCAATTTCTTCAGCAAAAAAAATTAAAGAAAAGCAAAAAAGAGATGAAGCAGAAAACTGAAGATTAAAACAAAGTAACAGATCAATCAATTGCAATGTATGGGCCTTGTATGAAACTGATTCAAACAAACTAAAAATAAACATACAAATACTTAAACATAAGTGTATATATATATTTACATCGATTATGGTGTATGCTAATAGGGGAAATATGACACATCTACATATATTTGATATTTAGGAATTACTGTCAGGTTTTTTAGGAATTGTGGTTTTCTTAGGTATCTGTAACTTAGAAATATGTACTAAAATGTTTACAGATGAAATGCTATGATGTCTGGGATTTGCCTCAAAATAAACAGAGGGCATGATGTGTATAAACTGAGAGTGCCTGATGCTAGGTGATGTCTCTACCAGGTTCATTATGCTATTCTCTTTATTATATAAGTTTACATATGTTTTCTACAATAAAAAATTTCACAGTACAGAAATCCTCAATTTTCCGAAAAAAATGTGGCTGGGCTAAAGAATGTTTTCTTCAAAAAGTAAGAATCTATGGTGTGAAGCCATAAAAAGACATGGAGGAAACTTAAATGCATATTACCGGCTGGGCACAGTGGCTCACGCCTGTAATCCCAGCACTTTGGGAGGCCGAGGCGGGTGGATCACCTGAGGTCAGGAGTTCAAGACCAGCCTGGCCAACATGGTGAAACCCCATCTCTACTAAGAACACAAAAATTAGCTGAGCATGGTGGCACATGCCTATAGTCCCAGCTACTCGGGAGGTTAAGGCAGGAGAATCGTTTGAACCCAGGAGGCGGAGGTTGCAGTGAGCCGAGATGGCACCACTGCACTCCAGCCTGGGCGACAGAGCGAGACTCCGTTCTGGGGGTGGGAAAAGAGAAAACCCTATGACTAAGCGAAAGAAGCCAATCTGAAAAGGCTACATACTGTATGGTCCCAACTAGATCACACTCTGGAAAAGAAAGAAAAAACCCCATGGAAACAGCAAAAAGATCAGCGGTTGCTGGGGCTTAGGGGAAGGGAGGGATGAACAGGTGGAGCACAAAGGACTTTTAAGGTGGTGAAAGGATTATGAATGACACTACAATGGCGGATTCATGTCATTACACATAACACATTTGTCGAGCATGGCCCCTAATATAAACTATGGGCTTCGGGTGCTAATGATGTGCCCCCTGTACCACTGTCGTGTGGATAACGGGAGGGCAGGAGGTCTACAGGAACTCTCTGTACTTTCCCCTCAGTTTTGCTGTGAACCTAAAACTGCTCTAAAAAAATAAAGTCTATTTTTTTAAAAAGTGAAAAACAAGAGATATACATGAAATAGTTCATGACAGGAATTCGTTATCACAAGAAAATGTGTTTGCACTCAGCAATTTGAAATGAGGTGACTATACAAAAACTTGCCAAGGATAAAAAATACCAGTGTTAAAAGGAATGCGCTCTCACCAGCATCCCTGTACCATAAACACATACACTAACTCTAATATGAGCCACCCCTGGCTGGAAGAAAATACCAGGAGACATCACTAAGGTTAAAGCACTGATTCTTCATCTTGATAAGGCTGTCCAGAGAATTAGTTAAGTCCATAAGAGCACTGCTAAAGCCCCTTTTGAGGAGCTAGCTACAAAAAACTTTTTGGTGGGATGAAATGACAGGACATAACAGAGAGAAAATGTTATGGACATGACATTGAAAATACTTAGTGAGCTACCTCAAATCCTTTTTATTTTTATTAATTAATTAATTTTATTTACTTTTTTAGACAGAGTCTCACTCTGTCACCCAGGCTGGAGTGCAGTGGCACGATCTCAGCTCACTGTAACCTCCGCCCAAGTGATTCTCCTGCCTCAGCCTCCTGAGTAGCTGGGATTACAGGTGCCCACCACCACACCAGGCTAATTTTTGTATTTTTAGTAGAGATAGGGTTTCACCTTTTGGCCAGGCTGGTCTCGAACTACTGACCTCAGGTGATCTGCCTGCTTCGGCATCCCAAAGTGCTGGGATTACAGGCGTGAGCCACCTAGCCCAGCCTCAACAACTTTTTAGAATGAGGAGCAAAAACAATCAAATGACAACCCACTCTTGTGGGAAAATCTTACCAGGAACCCTTACGGAGTTTTCTGGTTTTTTGTTTTTTGTTTTTTGTTTTTTTTTTTTTGAGACAGTTTCCCTCTTGCTGCCCAGGCTGGAGTGCAATGGCGTGATCTCAGCTCACCGCAACTGCTGCCTCCTGGGTTCAAGCAATTCTCCTGCCTCAGCTTCCTGAGTAGCTGGGATTACAGGCATGCACCACCATGCCCGGCTAATTTTGTATTTTTAGTAGAGACAGGGTTTCTCCATGTTGGTCAGGATGGTCTCGAACTCCCCACCACAGGTGATCCACCTGCTTTGGCCTCCCAAAGTGCTGGGATTATAGGCGTGAGCCACTGCGCCCAGCCCAGAGTTATTTTTGTAGTTATTTACTTAAAAGAATTTTCCCACTGTTAAGAGTGGGTAGATAGCTAGCTAGACATGAATGGGAGGGAAGAGCCCCTGAGAAAAGGGAGGTCTGGAAAATCCCACATCCCAGAGACCATCAAAAAGATGCATGCTGGCCAGGCATGGTGGCTGATGCTTGTAATCCCAGCACTTTGGGAGGCCGAGGTGGGTGGATCCCTTGAGGTCAGGAGTTCAAGACCAACCTGGCCAACATGGTGAAACCCCATCTCTACCAAAAATACAAAAATTAGCCAGGCATGGTGGTGCATGCCTGAAATCTCAGCTATTTGGAAGGTTGAGGCAGGGAGAATCGCTTGAACCTGGGAGGTAGAGGTTGCAGTGAGCCGATACTGTGCCACTGCACTCCAGCCTGGGCAATAAAGCGAGACTCTGTCTCAAAACAAAACAAACAAACAAAACATGCATGCTAGATATGAGCAGAGAGGAGGGAAAGAGGGTAAAGGAGAAATTCCAAAGAGACATTCAGGTGCAGTAAGTATGGACCTAACCGCTGTACAACCTTCCTGGGGTGGAGGTAATGAGCAATGCAGCCATTAGGTGGGATTCACATCCAACACCGGCTGTACATGTGCACCAACTACTAGTAAGAGAGGGTCCCACAAGCTTAGAGTAGAAATTAGGTGGGAGGAAAAGGTGGGGACTTAAGGCAGAAGCGGGAAAACTAGACAAAGGAAAAAGGCAGAAACTTTAAGACAGAGGTGGGAACTTCAAGAAAAACTCCAGCATCATAAAAACCCGATGCAGAACTCTCAGGGCTGCTGGCTCACTCTCTCAGCATCCCACTCTGCCTCATCTTTCAGAACGTACTGTCTCTCTCCATATAAATTCTCTGTTCTCTATTTCCCTTCAGAAAGCTCTCTGCTATCTCTGAATTGTCTCTTGGCCAAAATCTTTCTCCCAAGATGACTAAGGGCTGAGAATATCCCCACTTCCCGGTAACACCACCAGAGCTGTCTTCAAGCTCCACTTTAATGTGAAAGAAACTGGTTTTATGACTCCAACCCCACGTTCACAGAACAATCGAACTGGATTTCATCAAGCACTGGTCAAGCACTGCTACCTCTGTCTTGCCACACACGCCCAATGTCACTGAGGATTTATTCTGCACAGCGCCAATCTCACTCTCCAGTTTCAACACGCAGTCACCGAGGCCACCCAAAAAGATCAGGCGCACAAATGCATCCTCCTCACCCAGCCCTCCGGGGCCCGCCAGCAGGAACTCCTGTCTCCCTATCCTCTTGACGATCGGCGGCCTCTCCTCACTGCAGTAGGGAAACAGGTCCTGGGAGACGCCTGTGCTGTAATTGTGGATGATGTACTGAGTGGTCAGAGCCAGACACAGGAAGTGGCCGTCCACAGCCACAGCGAGGGGCTGCTCGGCAGTCGACACCTCCTTGACGATCTGCACCCGGTCCTCGTACACCAGAAACATCTGGATGGTTCTGCGTTTGACAGAGATGATGCAAACTTCTACACAGAAGGGGTCCCCACTCACAGGGTTCTCGTTCAGTGCAAACGTGGCTGCCCCCTTGATGCGGGCCCCCGAAGGCACTGGCTCGAGGTTCAGCATGTTGACCAGGCTGATGGAGTTGTCACACAGCACCAGCAGCCTGTTGAGTGCTGAGGCCGCACGCAGCTCGTTCACGGGCTTCTTGAAGCCCAAGTGTCTCTGCAGCTGTTTGGTGGCAGTGAACGTGGCTGGCCCAGCAGGCACTGGCCTCTCCTCCAACAGGAAGTGGTAGACGAAGCAGTCGTTGGTGCCCACGTAGAGGTCCCTGCCGCAGCACTCCACGCACTCTATGTTGACGCGCTCCTTGTCGCCCATCAGCAGCTCCCGCTCCACAGCAGAGACAAGCGTAAAGGCTTTGATGCTCATCATGTCTACTGGCTGATCTGCTGGAAGAGAAAGAGGAAAACTAATTTTAGAGGAACAAGGAAGAAGCAGAAACAGAGGCTGCAATAATGATACGTGGATTCCCTAGTTGTCATTTTCATTAAAGAAAGTCATTCCACGCTATCAAAAAATGGAAAGAAACCATTTCCCCACAGACCTCCCCCATCAGACAGCAGAAGACCCAAGAAGAAAACCACAGACACATACACACACACACACCCATATACACATATGTATGTGCTTGTGATCACGTGCCATCCTGCTCAGTCCCCACACAGAGTCACCTGGAGCCTCCTCACATTGCTCCTGGGAGACACGCTTGAAGGCAGAAGACAAATGCATGCATTCACCCACGGGCAACATAACAAAAGGATTTCTGTGAGGCAGGAGGATGGCTTGACCCCAGGAGCTGGAGGCCAGCCTGGGCAATATAATGAGACCCCATTTAAAAAAAAAAACAAAAAGGATTTCTGAAAAAGGCAGAAATGATCCTCACTGATCTTCCCTGAGTTTCTACAGCTACTTGAATATGCACTTTAGTCAATGAACACAACCACAGTCACAGGATCCTGCCAGGAACACCGAGGCAGACGCCAGGCCTTGGATTCCTTTGTGTTCTTCCCAATAAGGCAGGCGCATCAGCCTCAGCTCCGGAGTAAATGTATTCATGTGGAGAGTAAAGGTGTGCCTCGGATCTCGAAAGGCTTTCAGATGGTGAGTGGAGCTATTTAGTGGATGTGTGGACCGACCGGTCCCTGGCTCCCATTGGAAGTGAGACTTTCCCACACACTAGCCCGTCGCCTCCTACTTCATCTTCTGCAGAGAACTGTGGCTTCACACTCCACAAAGTCACAGGGAGAAGATCAGGCAAGGTGGCCTTTCTGACTTCTCAGGCAGCCAGAAGCAAACTCAAAGGCACAGTCCCTGTGAGCGGGAGCAGGGCAGGGGATCAGAGAGCTGGAAAGAGGACTGCAGAGAATGACGGGAGCTGCAGGGCAGCTGGCTGGGCTTGCGTCAGCACTGCTGCATGTTCAGAGAGCTTGAAGTGAAAGGCTGCTATCACTGTCACTTCCTCATCTCAAGTTGTCTGAACATGGAACAGTGCTGCTTCATGAGAGCTTAAGTTCCTAATACTTGGAGGCATTCCAGCAAAGCAGGGAAGACCTCTCAGAAATATTCAAGAAAGGTTCACGCATCAGGGAAGGGAAGGAATCAGAGAACTTCTTTGGTGCCTTTCAAATAGAAAATTTGGAATTCTACAATTTTGTGTCTGCCCCCATCCATGGGGGCAATGACAGCTACACACAAGTGAGACTCCAGCCCCCTTCCTTAGCTCTACAAAACCCCCAGGAGGGAGGATACCCCAGGGTTGAGGAGGAGGCTTGTCTGTAGACACATCAGTCCTTCCTGTTTTCTTCCCATCACTTGAGCAAATTACTTGGTGCTATGGTCAGAATGTCTGTGTCCCCCTAAAATTCATATGTTGGAACTTAATCCCCAGAGTGGTAGTGTTGGGAGGTGGGGAGGTGATTAGGTCATGAGGGTGGAGCCCTTATGAATGGCATTAGTGCCCTTATTAAAGAGGCCCCAGAGAGCTTATTTGTTCCTTCCATCCACTATGTGAGGAGGCAGCTGCAAGGCACCACCCCTGAGGGATGGGCCCTCACCAAACACTGAGCCTACCATGCCTTAATCTTGGACTTCCCAGCCTCCATGAACGGTAAGCAATACATTTCTATTATCTATTAATTACCTAGTGTATGGTAGTTTGTTACAGCAGCTGGAATGGACACTTGGCTATTCCAGCCTCAACTGCCTCATCTGTGAAATGAGAATAACGGTACCTACTTCATAGGATTGTTGGACGATTAAGTAAGTGACCTCATATAAAATGCGGACAGCTGGCACACAGCACTCAAACTTTTGGATCTCATCATAAATACTATGATTCCCTCCCAGTCTGGATCAGCTCTCACTCCTCTCTCAAACTACCAGCTTGCTTCAGGTGTTTATTTCCCAAGCTGGGCACCAAGAGATTAGACTATGCTGTCTTCTGTCCTCAGATATGGGTAACCTGTTCACCTCCGCCAAAACACAGCCTGCATCATAAGCCAGAACACACACTCACACACCTGCCCCACCCCTAAGACATCTTCACACTCACCTACGGGAGCTCATCTTCACAGAAACTATGGAAAAGAGCTGGGGGAAGTGTAGAGGGAGGTTCTAAAGGCACCACAGAGAAGGAATCATGTCCATCTACCTCGGGGCTGTGGGAACATCCCCAGAATCCCAGGTGAGGCCGAGTGCAGAACTCTTGCAGGCTTCTACAAATAGTCTCTGGCACAAACAGCTCTTAAACAACATCATGTATTTGTCCCAACCAAACATAACCACCAAAACCCACCTAGACAACATTTTTTTCTCCATTTAAGAGCTAATGAGTAAAACCCAGATATTGAAATGTCAGCTTCCAGACATCTAAGTTAGTGAAAGTGAAGTAATACAAAATACTTCTTCCTTCATTGATTAATCAATCAGGGTTGTCTTTTTTAAATGGCAGGAGTAAGCAGTTCTGCCATTTAAAATATAAATTGTGTCTCCCTTTGCGGAAGGAATAGAGAAACAAACTCTGGGCACCTACAATCAAACTCCTTTTATTTAGCTTCTTAAAAGTATAATATTCATAATTCCAGCCCCTGTCTTCAGTTAGCATAAGGGATAAACTAAACACATTTGCAGTAAAGAATATTATAGAAAGAATCAAACGCCTCATATTTAGTCTAAATCCTGGGGTAGATAGAGAAGGGGAGAGGGAGAGAGAGCTGTAAAAAAAAAAAAAAAACAAAAAACAAAAAAACATATGGTTTACTAAAAAGTCATAACTCTATAATATTTAAAAACAAATGCAATATTGTTTCATTATCTAGTAAACTGTTATTCAAGCCTTGCTAAAGATAAGCTTCCTATTATAGGCCTTTAAATTAAGGACTTGCTTTGGTAATTAAATGGTAATAATGCAGAATTACATGGAGGTAAATGAAAGCTGAAGAAGTAACATGCTAGCACTTAAAAATGACTTATCCTTAACCCTGTCTCTACAAAAAAAATATAAAAACTTAGCCAGACCTGGTGGGGCACACCTGTATTCCCTCCTCCTCAGGAGGCTGAGGTAGGAGGGTTGCTTGAGCCCAGTGGTTTGCGGCTTCAGTGAGCCATGATTGCACCACCGCTCTCCAGCCTGGGAAACAGTGTGAGATGCTTTCACACAGAAAAAAAAAGAAAAAAGAAAAAAAAATTGGCTAGGAGTGGTGGCTCACACCTGTAATCCCACCATTTTGGGAGGCTGAGGCAGGCGGATCACCTGAGGTCAGGAGTTCAAGACCAGCCTGCCCAACATGGCAAAACCCCGTCTCTACTAAAAATACACACACAAAAAAAAGTTAGCCAGGCATGGTGGCGGGCACCTGTAATTCCAGCTATTCAGGAGGCTGAGGCAGGAGAATCGCTTGAACTGGGAGGCAGAGGGTGCAGTGAGCCGAGATCGTACCACTGCACTCCAGCCTGGGTGACAGGAGCAAAACTCCATCTCAAAAAAAAAAAATTAATTTAAAAAACTATTTTTTTTAAGCAGTGGGAAAATTCTCTCCATGATCTAATTCACATGATATATTTACTTAGATAAAATATGAATCATAAAAAGATAAACTTTAGGCCACACCTCTATTAAATATAACTTGCTGGGGTTCTGAATCAGAGAAGTTTCAACATGGTAATGTTTCAAAAGGAAACGTTTCTCTAAGGTGTAAAATTCATACTTTACTGTGTGATCTCAAAATGATCGAAAATTTAAACTTTTTGTTAGAACTTCACTTTAAGGCTTACCTATAATCCTAACACTTTGAGAGGCCCAGGCAGGAAGATCACTTGTGCCCAAGAGTTCAAGACCAGCCTGGGCAAAATATTGAGACTTGGTCTCTATTTTTAAAAAAAATAAGAATATTAAATTTAAAAAATTCACTTTAAAAGTATGATTATAATAATTTAAAAGATCAACATTTTAATGTTTTCTTAAAATTTCAAAATACATACCCAGGTAGGGAAGAGATTGGAAAATGCTAGGATGCTCAAGGACCATAATTTAATTAAGCTAACCTTGCATATGCAGCAAGCACCTCTAAGTTTGCAAAAAACTAAACAATTACAAGACACAATCCCACTTCCTAAGAGTCTCCCCGTCCTATTAAGGAAATAGGACTAGAAAAATAAATCAGTAATAGTATAAAGCAATACATGCTAAGGGTCAAAATAAAAATATTAGTAATTATTTCCTACCAGGTTAAGAATATGCACATTGTCATTTTAAAGATTCTGCCACTGGTGATAGTCAGAATCTTAGTCAGCATCTTTAAAGATGCTAATGTAAAAATACAAATCTTTTTCTACAAATGTACACAGAAACATTATCTTTTAGTCAGTATCTGGCATCACTTTAAAAGAACTGATGACTTTTGGCCGGGCATGGTGGCTTACACCTGTAATCCCAGCACTTTGGGAGGCCGAGGCAGGTGGACCACCTGAGGTCAGGAGTTCGAGACCAGCCTGGCCAACATGGTGAAACCTTGCTTCTACTAAAAATACAAAAATTAGCCAGGCGTGATGGCACATGCCTGTAATTCCAGCTACTTGAGAGGCTGAGGCAGGAGAATCACTTGAACCCGGGAAGCGGAGGTTGCAGTGAGCAGAGATCGCGCCACTGCACTCCAGCCTGGGCAACAAGAGTGAAACTCTGTCTCAAAAAAAAAAGAGAACTGATGACTTTTGGCATCTTCCCTTACTCCTTAGGAAGTTTCCTAAACCTCAGTTCAAAAATGACAATTCTGTTCTTTCCGGCTACACATGGGGTGGGCGCCACAGATTTTATATTACCCATAAGTTTCAAAGGAAGTTTCTGTGTTCTTTACTTGGAGACCTGTTACAAAAGCTATGTAGGCTTCTAGAGGTCCCACTTCTTTTCACAGCACAAGGCCAAGGCCAGGAGAGCTGACTGGGATGAGTTTATGGGCAGCACAGAGCACTGGCTACATTCTGATTTAATAGACACTGTCTATCCTACAAAGCAAGCACTGGGTCCAGATGGATTTCCTAGCGAGTTCCACTAAACACTTAGGAACCACCTAATTCCAATTTCACATAATAAATGTTTCTAAGGATAAAAAGATAAATAAAAGAGGGAACATATCCTTACTTTATTTTATGAAAGTAGTAGAAAGTAAAACTTTGATATTCAAGCCAGATAAGGATACAGGAAAAAAGAAAAATCACAGATCATTCTTACTCACAAATAAACCTGCAAAAACACTAAATATTAGCACACGAAATCCACAAATATATATTAAAAATGCAATATGGCTAAGTTGGGATGCAGTATTGGTTTAAGGAAATAAAATCTGTTTAGCTCACCACATTTATAAATTAAAAGAAAAAACTATTTCAAAAGATTCAGAAAAAGCATTAAATAAAATAAATTAATAAATTAAATTAAATTAAATTAAATTTTAAAATCTTTCCTTTTGAAACAAGGAACAAGACAAGAATCTGCCATCTGTTATGGGTTGAAATGACTCTCCCCCAATCATGCTGAAGTCCTAACCCCCAGTACCCATGAATGGGACCTTATGTGGAAATAAGATGATCAGAGTCATTTAGGGTGAGCTCTAATCAAATATGACTGTGTCCTTATAAAAAGGGGAAATTTGTACACAGAGACAGATACATACAGAGAAAAGACAAGTGAAGACACAGAAAGAGGAAGGAGATCTATAAGCTAAGGAATGTCTGAAGTTACCAGACCTTGCTCTCAGATTTCTACCCTCCAAAACTCTGAAGTAATATTTCTGTTGTTTAAGGTACCCAGCCTGTAGTACTTTCTCTTTTTTTTTTTTTTTTTTTTTGAGACAGTCTCGCTCTGTCGCCCAGGCTGGAGTGCAGTGTTGTGATCTCGGCTCACTGCAAGCTCCACCTCCCGGGTTCACGCCATTCTCCTGCCTCAGCCTCCCGAGTAGCTGGGACTACAGGCGCCTGCCACCACGCCTGGCTAATTTTTTGTATTTTTAGTAGAGACAGGGTTTCACCGTGTTAGCCAGGATGGTCTCGATCTCCTGACCTCATGATCCACCTGTCTCAGCCTCCCAAAGTGCTGGGATTACAGGCGTGAGCCACCGCGCCCAGCCACCTGTAGTACTTTCTTACGGCAGCCCTAGAAAGTAATACACGATCTCAGTTCAACACTGTATTAGGAGTCTTTGCCAGTACCATAAAACAAGAATAGTGATGAAGAATTGAAAACAGGCAGGGTTTGGTGTCTCATGCCTGTAATCCCAGCATGTTGGGAGGCCAAGGCAGGTGGATCACCTGAGGTCAGGAGTTCGAGACCAGTCTAGCCAACATGGTGAAACCCCATCTCTACTAAAAATACAAAAAATTAGCCAGGCGTGGTGGCAGGCACCTGTAATCCCAGCTACTTGGGAGGCTGAGGCAGGAGAATCGCTTGGACCCAGGAGGCAGAGCTTGCAGTGAACCGAGATCGCACCACTGCACTCCAGCCTGGGCAACAGAGCGAGACTCTGTCTCAAAAAAAAAAAAAAAAAGAAAGAATTGAAAACACAAACATAAAATTATAATTATTCACAGATAACATTACTGTTTACATAGAAACCCACAAAAAAGCTATTAGAATTAATGACTTTATAGTTTAATTTTTTTAAAAACCAAAGTAGTTTGTATTTCTAGCCCCAAAATTAGATACTTAAAAAAAACTTACAATAGTAGAAAATATAAGGTATGAAAGAATTATCTAACAGATATTTAAGATCCTTATGGATAAAATAATAAAATTTTATTGTTAGACATTAAGGAAGACCCAAATTGTCATCTTAGAAGGCTTTTCTGCAGAAATTGAAAAGCTGGTTTTAAATTTTAAATGGAAAGCACAGAACATAGCATAGTCAAAACAGTCTTGAAAATGAAGAACAAAACTGAAGGACCTACACTAACTGATTTCAGAAATTGCTCTAATACTACAATAATTAAGACATGAGGATAGACCAACAGGTCAAGCCCCAGACTGGGAGAAAAATTTGTAATGCATATATCTGGCAAACGACTCATATCCAGAATATAGAAAAACTCCTACAAACTAATAACAAGAAGACAAACATTTTTAAAATGGGCAAATGACTCAAACACTTCACAAAAGGCATATGAATGACCAATAAGAACATGAAAAGATGCTCCCTATCTTTAACCGAGATATTTATTTTAAGCCACAATGAGCTATCACTTCACACCTACTAGAAGAGCTACCATTAAAAAGATCGACAACACCAAATGTTAATGAGGATGTAGAACAACTGGAAATCTCATACGTTGCTGGAAGGAGTTTAAAAGGGTAAACTTTGGAGATCTGTTCAGCAGTTTTTTATAAACTTAAACATGCATTTGTCCAGTTACACCATGTTTAATATTTCCATTTCTCTTGGGTATATATCTATATCCACAAAAAGACCTGTATAAGATATGAGATATGCACAGCAAGCTTATTCATATTACCCAAAAAAAGGGAACGGCTCAGTTTTCCCCACTTACCCCCATTTAATTGTGGCATATTTATACAGTGGAATACTACTTAGAAATAAAAAGAAGTAAACTACTGACAAAGGCAACAAATAGATGACCCTCAAAAACACTGAGTGGAAGAAATCATGCCTATATTGTATATTTCCAATTATCTGAAGTTCAAAAGTAGGCCACGCTAATCTATAGCGACAGAAATCAGAACAGTGTTTACTTTGGAAGGAACTAGATGCGTAAGTGGAAAGGGACACAGTGAACTTTCTGGGTGACAGACATAGTCTGTATTTTATTTAAGGTATTAGCTATGCAAGTGTATGGAATTATCAAAATTCATTGGCTTGTGCCTTTATGTTCTGTGTATTTTACTGTATGCAAATTATGTTTTTTACAAAAAAAAAAAAAATTCCCCTACCTGATCCAGAGGAAAAAAAAAATGCCATTCCAATACAAACTCTTACAGGTATAGGGAGTGTGTGTGTGTGTGTGTGTGTGTGTGTGTGTGTGTGTGTGTGCGCGCGCGCGCGCGCGCACGCGCACATAACTCAAAAAGCAGATTCTAAAATTCACATGGCAGACTGGGAGCAGTGGCTCATGCCTGTAATCCTGTAATCCCAGCACTTTGGGAGGCCGAGGCAAGTGGATCACCTGAAGTCAGGAGTTCGAGACCAGCCTGGACAACATGGTGAAACCCGTCTCTACTAAAAATACAAAAATTAGCTGGGCGTGGCTGTGCACACCTGTAGTCCCAGCTTCTCAGAAGGCTGATGCAGGAGAATCGTTTGAACCTGGGAGGCGGAGGTTGCAGTGAGCTGAGATTATGCCACTGCACTCCAGCCTGGGTGACAGAGTGAGACTCTGTCTCAAAAAAAAAAAAAAATTCACATGGCAGAAAGGGCCAGAAAAAGTTAGACACTTATGAAAAAAGGTCAGGAGACTTGACTCAACATATACAATATAATCAAAAACCGTGGTAATTAAGATAATGTTGGACTAGCACGAGGACAGACCTAGAGAACACAACTGGGTGCCCAGAAACAGGCCATGCATATGTGGAAACTTGAAACCTGACTAGGTTGGCACTGTACATGTGGGGCATATACCGTGTATACACATGTACAGTAAACAGTACTTGTATGTCCATAGGAATACAAGTACAGTATTTGTATGTACTAGATGTCCATAGAAAATATAAGAAAGCTAGATTCTGCCAGGTATAGTGGCTCACGCCTGTAATCCCAGCACTCTGGGAGGCCGAGGTGGGAGGATCACGAGGTCAAAAGATGGAGATCATCCTGCCCAACATGGTGAAACCCCATTTACACTAAAAATACAAAAATTAGCTGGGCATGGTGGCGGATGCCTGTAGTCCCAGCTACTCGGGAGGCTAAGGCAGGAGAATTGCTTGAACCTGAGAGGCGGAGATTGCAGTGAGCCAAGATCGTGCCACTGCACTCCAGCCTGGCGACAGAGTGAGACTCATCTCAAAAAAAAAAAAAAAGAAAGCTAGATTCCTACCTCACACCACACATCAAAATTATTCCAGGTGATTAATATTCTTAAGTATAAAAGACATAACTTTGAAACACTGGAAAAAAAGCATGAAAAAATATTCTCATGACCTTCTTAGGGTAAGGGAGAAGTTCTAAAATAAGATATAAAAAAGCACAAACCCTAAGGAAAAATGATAAATTCTCCCATGTGAAAATGTACTGTTTCTGTTCTTCAAAAGACACCATGAAGAAAGTGAAAAGATAAGGGGAAAAGGGGGCTAGGGAGAAGACACTGACATCATGTATCTGACTAGAAACATCTGGATGATGTGGGAACTCCTGCAGCAAGAAAGTCAAGGATCTAACAGAAGGATGGGCGAAATACACAAACAGACCTTTCAATGGAGAGGAAACATGAATATCCAATAAACACGAAAGAACACAACCTGATTAGCACCTGGAATTTGCAAATTACACCTATAATGATACTTCATTTTCTACCCATTAAATTGACAAATATTTGAAGTCTGACAACATGAGGTGTTCCTAAGAACACAGCACAATGAGGAGGCTCCACCATGCCAGGGGAAGGTTCGGAGCTGGTAAGGACAGGTTATCATTACCTAGGAAGCCCCTGCCATGACTGAGTAAGCCATGACTCTACTCCTAGGCATCTGCCTTACTGAGTCTGTTTTGTGCTTACCAGGGCAAAGAAAGTCCACAGCAATCCTGTTTGAGACACAGGAAAACTAGAAACACCTCATGTTTCCTCCAAAGGCTGAAATACTGTACAGCTGCAAGAGAATGAACTAGAGCCGCCCACAAGGATGAATCTTAAGAGAATCTTAAGGGAATGATGAACACAAATCCGGGGAGGATGGGACTGGGTATGGGTGTGCATGAGATTCCCAACGGTCAGTAATGTTTTATTTCTGAAGCTGAGGGTTGCTTTTATTATGACTCTCTATATCTTATACAGATTACAAATATATTTTTATAGGCATTAAATATTAATTAAAAATATACACGTACATGTAGAATGTATAAAATTCTACTCATTTCCCCAAACCAGCTTACCCTGGAAATAGAGAAAGAATCTGTTTAATAAACCTGGTAGAATTCACAAACTGTATGTTCCTTGTTAAAAATTTCATTGCATGGAAGCACATTTATCAAACAAATAAGTGATTTATAATTTCTTAGTTTATCTAAATGCAGTGCTTAGCTTATTTTATATCCATATTTAATGGCCATTTCTCAGGATATCAAAGTCCAATTTGGGGCATTCCATCCATCATTTCCCATAAACATACCCTAGAAGGTAAAGGGAAAGACCAGCATGTGGTAGATGGCTCAGGGGGCGAACACCCTGCCCCATGGGCGTGTATACCGTCTGGGGCAGCAGCTTCTGTGAGGCTAGCCCCTTACCTCATGGGCCTCTGTCCCTCTCCCTTCCACTTCCAGGGCCACATAAGTATCTCCACTCTCAGTTTCAACCAGTTCAAAACTGGTTTTACTATCTTACTCTTCTTTCCATTTCCTCTATACTAAAACTCACCAAGGACAGGCCTCATTAAAAAAAAGTCACAGCAGGAAGAATAAACGTGGAATGAGAGCCTTTTTTTGTGTGTGTGTGTGAGACAGAGTCTCACTCCATCACATAGGCTGGAGTGCAGTGGTGTAATCTTGGCTCACTGCAACATCTGCCTCCTAGGTTCAAGCGATTCTCGTGCCTCAGCCTCCTGAGTACCTGGGATTACAGGCGTGCATCATTTTGCCCAGCTAATTTTTGCATTTTTAGTAGAGACGGGAATCTCACCATGTTGGTCAGGCTGGTCTCAAACTCCTGACCTCAAGTGATCTGCCTGCTTCAGCCTCCCAAAGTGTTGCAATTACAGGCGTGAGCCACTGCGCCTGGCCAAGAGCAATATTTTAAGTAGATAATCTAGACATAAAAAGAGGCTTGTAGGCCAGGCGCAGTGGCTCACGCCTGTAATCCCAGCACTTTGGGAGACTGAGGTGGGTAGATCACCTGAGGTCAGGAGTTTGAGACCAGCCTGGCAAACATGGTGAAACCCCATTTCTACTAAAAATACAAAAATTAGTTGGGTGTGGTGGCAGGTGCCTGTAATCCCAGCTACTTGGGAGGCTGAGGCAGGAGAATCACTTGAACCCAGGAGGCGGAGGTTGCAGTGAGCTGAGATCATGCCACTGCACTCCAGCCTGGGCAACAAGAGCAAAACTCTCTCAAAAAAAAAAAAAAGGAAAGAAAAAAAAAGAGGCTTGTAACTCCAACATTAACTATATAAATATTAGCATAATACATATATAAGATTTTAATATATATGTTTAACATATATAGGTATATATGTGTTTAATGCATATATACATATATGTATGTGTGTATATATTTGTTATATAGTGAAATATATATTTGTTATATATTGAAATATATATATTTGTTATATACATACATACATACATGTTATATACACACATACATACACACACACACACAATAGGAAACTCCTAATCTGGTACAGAGATAAATATATTCTGCCAAAAAGAATGCTATGACAAACTGGCATTTATTAAAATGGGCTCTTTACCAGTAATTATTCTTGAATCAAAGAATGACACTTTGTTATCTGCTCTACCAAATAATGTCCACCTGAGAGCCAACTTTAAGCTTGGCCTGGTGTCCTACGTGTCTGCAAAAAACCCTCACATTTTCTAATTACTTCACAGCTTATAAATGAAACAGACTCTTCAGAAACCTATGCAGCTATATGTGCACCAGAACTTCATCACCCTGGGGGAGGAACCGCAAAAACTCAGCCCTATAATAGAAGGCACTGTCCTATGAATAAGCTAAAAATTAATTCTGTATCTGCATTTTAAAAAGGACACACTACCTCAAGTAAGATTTGTTATTTTCTCATTTTACAGCAAGAAGTTTTTTTTTTTTCTTTATGATAGTCCATCAAAAATGAATAGAGATCAAGTGGTCATTCTAACATTTGGACCAAAGCCAGGTCAGATCTGAAGGCAATGCAGAAAGGAGGCAGGAATGTGGGCCACACACCTGAAACACTAGGTCATTATCCTCCTTATAACATACCAGAAGGTAGTTCCCTGCCCAAAAGATAAACTCCAGACTCAGCTTAAGAAGCACAGCCCTTAAAATTTTAACCTCAGCCAACCTTTCCTCCTTTATTTAGTAAGAAAAATTATAGCTATTAACCTATTCTTATTGTTCCATAATATCAGTCTCTTATTGTATAAGCTACAATCAGTTCGGAATTGCTGCTGAGTTCCAAAGAGCCTGTAAGTGTCCAAGGCACTCCACAAACCAAGCAGTTGTCAAAAGGGATTTCAGTAAACACTACTCTCTAGATACCTTTCCAAAGGATTAACACTATGAGTCAGAAAATAGTTACCATTAACTACAGTGGTGGGATCGAATTTAACAACGTAATAATCCCTAAAGGAAAACACACTGCCTCCTTCTCATCTGTCGCTAGTCCATATGAAAAGTAGCAACGTCTGGTGGACAAGGGCAGCCTCAGAATGGGCTCTGGGGGACGGCACAGATTCCCACACACTGGACTTCCTCTGACTGGCTGATGGCAGGGATCCTGGCTTTAGGCGTGAGTATCTTTCTTTCTTTGCATCTTCCTACAATTTACAGTTTTTGTATAAATACAATGACTTATTTATTTATTTATTTTTTTTTTTTTTGAGATGGAGTCTCTTGCTTTGTTGCCCAGGCTGCAGTGCAGTGGCACGGTCTCGGCTCACTGCAACCTCTGCCTCCCAGGTTCAAGTGCTTCTCCTGTCTCAGCCTCCTGAGTAGCTGTGATTACAGGCAGCCGCCATCATGCCTGGCTAATTTTTTGTATTTTTAGTAAAGATGGGGTTTCACTGTGTTGGCCAGGCTGGTCTCGAACTCCTGACCTCAGGTGATCTGCCCACCTCGGCCTTCCAAAGTGCTGGGATTACAGGTGTGAGCCACCATGCCTGGCCTACAATGATGTTTTTCAAGTTTCTATTTTGCCATTTTAATATAGAACTTTTATAGAAAAAAAAATGTTTCTCTGAGAAGCAGTTTCTCAATTAACCTGGATAAACATATCTACTAAGACCATGAAGCCATAGACAGATAGCAATGTCCATCACAGGGGAAAACTGAACACAGTGGCGTGCTGTATAATGACATTTCCATTAACAACAGACAGCATCTACAACAGTGGTCCCATAAGGTTATAATGGAGTTGAACAATTCCTATCACCTAGTGACAATCTAACTGTTGGAACATTGTAGCAAAATGCATCACTCATGTGTGGTGTTGCTGGCGTACACTAACCTACTGCAGTGCCAGTCGTTGAAAAGTCTAGCACATTCAATTACATACAGTATGTAGTACTTGATATAATAATAAATGACTATGTTACTGGTTTATGTATTTACTCCACTACACTTTTTATCATTATTTTAGAGCGTACACCTACTTATGCAGGAAAAAATAAGTTAATTGTAAAACAGTCCTTCAGGAGGACTCCAGAAGAAGAAATTGTTATCACAGACAACAGCTCCACACATGTTACTGCCCCCGAAGACCTTCCAGTGGGACAAGATGTGGAGGTGGATGACAGGGATAAGGATGATCCTGACCCTGTGCAGGCCAAGGCTAATGTGTGTGTGTTTGTGTCTTCATTTTTAACCAAAAAGTTTAAAGAAAAAAAAAGAAAGAAAAAACTTATAGAATAAGCATATAAAGAAAATATTTTTGTACAGCTATACAACATGTTTTCAGCTACATGTTATTACAAAGAGTGAAAAACTTTTAAAGAAGTTTATAAAGTCAAAAAGTTACAGTAAGCTCATTTATTACTGAAGAGAAGTATTTTTAGAATAAATTTAGTGTAGCCTAAGTGTACAATATTTACAAAGTCTATGGTACTGTACAGTAATGTTTTAGGCCTTCACTTTCACTTGCCACTTACTCACTGACTCACCCAGAGAAACTTCCAGTCCTGCGAGCTCCATTCACAGTAAGTGCCCCATACAGGTGGACCCTTTTTTTAGTATTTTATACAGTATTTCTACTATCCCTTTTCTGTGTTTAGATGTGTTCAGATACACACATACTTTGGTGTTACAAGATTCTCTTGTGCTTAGAGATTCAGGACAGTAGCATGCTGTATAGGTTTGCACCCTAGGAACAATAGGCCATACCCATATAGCTTAGGGTATGAAGCTATACAGGTGTATAATACACTGTACCATCCAGGTTTGTGTAATTCACTCTATGATGTTCATATGATGACAAAATTGCCCCATGGGAGATTTCTCAGACCATAACCTAGTCATTAACTGATGCATGACTGTATATCATATATTAGCTCTAAAAACCAAACCTATAAGTGAACTGACAAAAGTTGCCATAGATCCTAACAGCCTTTGAGACGGATGGGGGGCAGACAGAGCTTGGCACACTTCAGCCGTTCACAGCTCCCAATCAACCAGTCAGGATGCTGGTGCCATATAATTAGGAGAGAAAGCTAAATCACCGAGGACTCAGCCAAAAGCAAACCATGGTGGTGAGGAGGAAGGTGAAGGAAAAGGGTGGTATGCAACACAGTGGGACACCTTGCCTTATTCCCCATGTTTTTTGAGGCTGGTCCTGAGAAGTTTAAGAGAGAAAGACTCAGAAGCATGCATTGGAGGCCAGTTTTCTTGTGGTCCCAGTGATGGTGGCTCTTGTGACGCCTGGATGAGGAGGGAGAGCCTGGAAAAGTCAGGTGGTGACTTCAGTAGAGGGGGCGGGGGGATGTGCTGACACCCACCTCTGGCTTTGTCAGCTTCCTGAAACAGAAACAGCGTGGGCAGCTGCCAAGGGACCTGCTGCTCAGCCTCTATCTCTGCGACCCCTTGGGACTCAGTGCAAACTCAGACCTTCCTATCTCCCTTTGGCACAGGCACCAACCTCATGCCCATTCTTCCTCTCCTGACCATCATATCGTGGGTATTGAGCAGGACAGGCAGGTATGACTGGACACTTTTTTTTGCAGGCAGCAGGGAGTGAAGGCTTGAAAACCTCTATTTCCCATGCTGCATTCCTGACTGAATGAAGAGCCAAATCACAGCCTCAAAATTCTATATTGGGTGAGAAAAGGCAAACCTTGCCAGCAATATTCTCCCACTGCAAGCTACCTTCAGATGCAGTGTTTGTGCTAAATGAGTGAAATGAGATGTCAACAAAAGTCCCTACTAGAAAACAAACTGCCAAACACCTCCAATTCCCATGGGGGGTTTGATAGGCTCTCTGACAATCACTGAAGTCCCATCTGAAAAATGCATTTTGGTAGGTTTACGGGTTGACTTAAAGTCTTGAGATACTGATGTGGTTTTCTTAAATGTGTTGTTTCTATAGATTGTGAAGGTGATTGTCAGAGAGCATCTCGAATCCCCCATGGGAATTGGAGGAGTTTAGATAAATCCAAACTGAGGGATGGTCTACAAAATCTCTCACACCCTTTCAAGTGTGTTAAGGTCACGAAAAAAGAGGAAAGGCTGAGGAACTGTCACAGATTAGAAGCCAAGAATAAGTGACAATTAAATGCAAAGTGGGGAAACTGGATCAGAAAAAGGATCCTGGAACAGAAAAAAGACATTAAGCAGAAAAACGGGTGAAATTCAAATACTGTGTGCACTTTATAGTGGTATACTAGCACTAATTGATTCATTTTGATCATTATACTACAGCCATACAAGACGTTAACAAAAGAGGAAGCTGGGTAAAGTGTATTCATGAATTCTGCACTATTTTGCAACTCTTAGGTAAGTCCAAAATTACTTCAAATTTTAAAATGAAAATGTAATCGTGGTATATTGGGTAATTATCTCACCTTAGAGTGATCAAGAAATAGAAAAGAAACCTGGGAATCTCCTTTTCTAGCAGGAAAGGAAACAGTCATAAGACTGTGTCAGTGACTAAAAAGGACAAGCATGAACCAATACCCATCAGTCCAGCCCAGGACTGCGCTAGCACACTCTGGGCTACTGGAGCCTTTTTTATTGAGCCACTTTTAGAGGTGATTTTTCTCCAGCCAAGTGTCCTCGCTTAAAATTACAAGCATGAATAATACCCATAAGTTAAAAGTTTTTTTTTCCTTCTGAAAATGCATTTCAGAGGAGAGTTTGGGAGTTTTACTCATTTGGAGTCTTTCCCCTGACAGAGGGGCTGAGATTGGGTTGGGGTGAATGTGAGCTGACTCCTGCTGTGTTCAGAATTGGATATACCATGAGCTTTGGGAGAAGCAGTTAAGTGGGGGACTCTGAGGGTGGACACTCAGGCTGGGAAGGAGCACAGCCCCTCAGTAATAAGGATCAAGGCCCCAGAGCGAAACTGGGCCACCCCGGCAGTGAACTGTGGTAAATGTGGGCACGCTGCATAGCAGACATTCCCGACATTAATCTGGGAATCCTGAGCTCTGCTTGTTGCTTGGTCACTTCCTGATGATCTTAGGCAACTCACTAAGAGGCTTTGTCTGGGCCTGTGTTCTCTATAAAACAGAAATTTGGACTGGGCTGTGTGCTTCTCCTATACCATTCTCCAGCTACTTCTGGATGAAGAGGAAGGGAATGGAGGTCTTGAAAGGTGGAAGAGTCATGCTGGTAAGTAGAGAGCTGGGATTCCAACCCAGGTAGTCAGCTCCAAAGCACACATCCTTAATCAGATGCCACACTGGCTCCCAAGGCCAATGCTGCCCCAAGCCTGGATGATGGATGGCACCCATAGGCTGCAGCCCTGGCTGACACCCTGACTGCCCCCTCAGGAGAGCCCCAAAACTGGGTTTGGTGGGATACTGCACACTCGATATAGCATTATCCTTTCGTTCTTACCTTGACGCTGAGAGGTGGACATTATTATGGAGATACAGAGATCTTAGGTGGCTTGCTCAAGGTTACCTGGCTACAAGGTGATGAAACAGGGCTTTGACCCTAGTTTTTGTTCGTGACTCCAAGGCCATATTCTTATTGATTGAGGGGAACAAGTATGATTTCAGATCCTCTCCTAGAATTCAGTTCTGAACAAAGCAACAACTCTCAGCAGGAGGCCACTATGGTACTTAGAGTGGCATGCTGCTGCAGTTCCTGAGGAGTCTTTGCTATTGCTTCCCCACCGTGAGTCTAGAAGAGGAATCCTGTGGCTCTATCTGCTTGCTGAAATTCAGACACAGAATAGTATGTTGACACAGTTCTCTACTAACATAGTAATCTACCAAAACAGGATACACATTTATGTGACAGCAACTGCTTTTCCTGAGCTGCACCCCATGCTGGTCCCGTGTTCTTCTCTAAGTCCCACAGCCATCTGTTGAATGACTCAATCTTGAAATTTGTCAGGAATCAACAATAAATTTACTGGCTTGTACAAAAGTCAACTTTTCCCCCCTTTGAAAATGAAGATACTGCTTGACAACCATTTTATGTTATCTTTTGCACTCATGCAACAGAGACAGCAAGATTAGTTATAGTGCAATGAACCTGCTCTGATAATCTGCAAGAGTATCTAAAAAAAGAGGATTAAAAAAAGACAGTTAAGGTCTAATATCTAACTTGTCATCTTAATATTATCATGATGTATATTTAATATATGTAACTATTCATAGTTGGTATCCTTTTTACTGGGCAATACTAATCAAAATTATTTAAATACATATAAACATATATTTATATACACACACATATATACACATACTATATATGGTGTGTGTATACATACATATGCATAAGGGTGTATGTGTGTGTGTATGTACATATATATAATATACATCCTATAAGAGTACCATCAGCAGTTAGAATTAAAAGGGTTTAGGAAGAGAAGTGGGAGGTAGAAGAAGAGCAGAATAGAAATATGGCATTTACTTCATAACATCTTCCTCAATACTGAACCTTCAAACAGCCACAAAAAATTATCGAGTACTGGCCAGGAGCAGTGGCTCATGCCTATAATCCCAGCACTTCGGGAGGCCGAGGCAGATGGATTGCTTGAGCTTAGGAGTTCAAAACCAACCTGGGCAACATGGTGAAACTCTGTCTCTATAGAAGAATACAAAAATTAGCCGGGCATGGTGGCATGTGCCTATAGCCCCAACTACTTGGGAGGCTAAAGTGGAAGGATCACTTGAGCCTGGAAGATGGAGGTTGCAGTGAGCCGAGAACACGACACTGTACTGTAGCCTGGGTGACAGGGTGAGACCCTGTCTCAAAAAAAGAAAAAAAAAATTATTGAGTACCTACAGGACTTGATAGTCCATAATATCCAGTCAGTTGTCATCTTTAAATATGTGATTTTTTCCTTAAATCTTTAACTTTTTCAACAGCAGTTACTTGACTATCAAGAAAAGATCTTGATTTCAAATCATCTGCAAGATTTCATAATTCACTTTTCATGAGGCACTTAAAGTCATTTGGGGTAGCACCAAATTAAGTTGTTACTCTACATTCATTTAGTAGGTATTTATTTTTTTAAATAAAGAAAAACGAGTCAGGTTTGCTACAGAGATGAGTTGTAAAGTCTGAGCCAAATTATTCGGCAGTATCCAAACACCTGGCTGCCACAAATGACTACTTTAATGTATTTCTAATGAGGGCTGGATTCAGACCAAGATGAAGACACTTAACCCATTAAGTAAAATTTCTTCAAGTTTTCTTAAAAGATCACAAATTTGTAATATTAGCATGAAGGAATAAGCCAAATAACTTCATTTTTTTTTTCCTAACAGAAATGTTAGCTGCATATCAGACCCAGAAAATACAGCAAGTTTTTTGGCTGGGCGCAGCGGCTCAGGTCTGTAATCCCAGCACTTTGGGAGGCCAAGACAGGAGGATTGCTTGAGGCCAGGAGTTTGAGAACAGCCTGGGCAACACAGGGAGACCCCTATCTCTACAAAAAAAATTTTTTAAATTATCTGGGTGTGGTAGTGCGAGCCTGTGGTCCCAGCTACTTGAGAGGCTGAGGTGGGAGGATCCCTTGAGTCTGGGAGATCAAGACTGCAGTGAGCCATGGTCACACCACTGCACTCCAGCCTGGGTGACAGAGCAAGACCCTGTCTCAAAAACAACAGCAAAAAAACCACCCAGAAGACAACAACAAAAAGAAAATATAGCATTTTTAAAATAGTGAGCTCTATGCTTTTAAAACTCCTCAACTGGAGCTGCCTAAATGAAGAATGGGCCCTTTACAAATCCCTGTCTCTGGAGGGTTTAAGCTGAGGTTAGATTGGTCCTGGGATTCCTGCAGTGGTGAAAACGCTCTGCCTCCAATGCTATGACAAGAGGACTGCCATGCACAATCATGAGTGTAGAAGAAAAGGCAGAGTGAATGAAGGCTAACAGTGGCACCTCACCTCTCACCCAATTCAATTGTGTAATGCAAACCTTGATGCACATAGCAAATTGGAATTCAGAACCCACAAGTCTAACTCCAGAGTAAATCATTTGTTAGGTTAACAATTACTCAAAACATAAAACTACATATTTTCAGAGCTGAGGGAGACCTGGCTCTACATCCTCATTTATATTTGTCAGCAATAATTTATTGAGCACCTACTAAATGCCAGACCCTGTGCCGGATCCTTTCCAGGCACAATTTCTTATTAGAATTCATGTGCCTTTTCTAATATTATCCCTATTTTGATGGAGGAATTTGAGACTCAGAATGTCCAGCAAATTGCCCAAAGGTCACAGGAAATGGCAGAGGCAGGATTTGAACCCACACTCCACATTCATTACCACCACAGAGCATCACTCCCATTTCATAGATGACCTGGGGCAGGCTAGTTATGGACAGGTTCCAGCAGATTCCAGCCAGTAGACTTTCTAGTACTCCAGGCAGCGTTTTGCTACACATCACAGAAGCAGCTGCAATGACTGTTGAGGCTGCTCGGCTGGCAGAAATGGAAGGAAAAAGAAAAGGAAGCAGCTGACCAAATGTTCCTTCTGACTGACCATGGAACTGCGAGCTCTCAGTTGTCTGCCAGCTTCCGGCTGACCAACAGAGAGAAGCATGTCCACCATGAGAGAGTAGCAGCCACCACACAGTCCCTCTACATTCGTTCATCCTGACTCCAACCAAGCCAACACACACAACGCAGTAGGATCTTCCCTGCACACCTTCTCAGTGCCTTAACTTGCCACCACAATCACACCCGCAGCTGCCTTCCTTCCTGATAGACAAGGTGCTTGCCCATGAGCACTTCATCAGTGATTAAACTCTGCTCAGACATGTTTTGACCACAGCTGCGCGTGCAGTCCACGTGCAGTAAGGCCTGCTGTGTGATCTGTGAGCCCCCATTTTTAGCAGCCAGGTAGGAGGCTTCCTGAGGGTCACTCAACAGTCCTTGGGTAGAAGCCACGGCAGGTGCAGACAACCGGACAGCTTCCGTGTTTAAGGATATCAACACTTAACACAGGGAGGCAGGCGGACTAACTTGCACCTGCACCTCCAGAAGGCAATGGAAAGAAAACAATTCCACAGGGATGACAGCTTCCAGCCCTTGACCTGGTGCTAAAAACAGGGGCCAGGAAGCCCAGCACAGCACTTTTCCCTACTCCCCAACACACCCCTGCCTACTCTCCAGATCAGGACAATTCAGGCCTGAGTGTGACCCGAATTTGAGCTCTCAAATCCAAAGAGCTCCCAGAAACCTCAATCACAGCGCCAAAACCATTCCATACCAGGGATGGAGGTGCAAGTCCTTCCTGGCCCTTCTCCCCGGAAAACCCAAATCAAGGACGAGGTCTCTCAGGTCTTCCCTTGCCCTAAACACACACGCACTCCTCACACACAACATACACACTTGACCCCACACCCGTGCACACTTCATCCCACACACACGTGAACACTTATTTGCTCACCCCAGCAGGCTAGCCGGCCCCCACAAGGGACAGCTACCAAGTCGCACACCCGCACACCTGCCCCCAAGTGTATAGCCACTTGCTCCCCCCACCCCGCGTTCCAGCCCCCACTACACCTGCCCCAGCGCACACGCACGGGCTCGCCCTCCACCCCGCCCCGCCGCCTACCCCCCACTCCTGCTCCCCGCCCTCCTGCCCCACGCGCCCCGCGCCCTGAGCCCCGCACCCCGCGCCCCGCCGCCCTCCTCACTCACCGGCGCCGGCGCCCGCCGTCCCGCGCCGCCCCGCGGCCTGGGGCCCCGCCGCCCCGCTCCGGCCCGCGGCTCCTGGGCTGGCCCGACCCCGCAGCCGCCGCTTCCCGTCACGTGGGGCGGCCGCCAGGCGCTGGCGGAGGGCGGGAGCGCAGCCGTCTCCGCGCCGCCCGCCGGCCCGCGGGCCCTGCCGCCTGGCTCCGAGCACAGGCCGAGACGGGCCCTGCTCCGGGCCTCGGCGTCCCCCTCCGTGCACCGGGGCCACGACACGGCCCGCCTCGCGGGGCGGCCAGCGGGCGGAAGGTGTTCATTCGGGGGGCGCTGAGGCCGCCGGCCCCGGGCGAGAGCGTGGTCCGCGCCAGCTGTGCGAGCCCGCGGGGCTGAGGTCTCTTCTCCGCCCCCGCCGCTGCGGGGAGCTTCAGGGAAGCCGGGCTTTGCCTGGCTCGCTCGCCACCCAGTTTCTGTCACCTACACAGGAGGAGGGCGCCCGGGAAATACCTGCTGCGTGAATGAATAAATGAATGAAATGCTTGGGCCCTGGGAAATGCTTGGGCCCGCGGCCGCCTGACCACGCGGGCTGGAGGATCGGACGTACCGCCGGTGCCCCACCAGGAGACGAAGGCATGGTTGGGATGCGCAGCCCTCCCACGAGGCCCATGGCGCCCCAGGGCCCTAGGGATTGACCGGGACCCCCGACTGGCAGAGTCCACCTGCTTGATACACTTATTTGAGAAGGGAGGCCTGGGACTATCTTACTCCTTTTAGGAAAACCCAACTGTAGCTGCTATTCCTTTGGTTCAGGCCGCAAGGAAGAATTGTAGGTTACCATGAATCCATGAACCCCTCTTTAGTATACAAAGTCCACTTTCATGACGGAAGAATTGGAAAGCTCCCTCCAGAGTTGTCAGTACTCAATTATTAGCATATAAAAAGTCAAATTTTCCCAGGGATTTTCAGACTTTAGAACCTGCTAGTGACCTGTGGCCTCAGCTTTCTTCCAGCCACTCTGAGTATTGTAAAACAAAGATATTATCCCAACCCTGAAGGCAGATACCAGATTGTACGCCATGGTCTTCTGTTTCAAAGGGATAAAAAAAGAAAGAAAAGAAACTGGCCAAAAAAAAAAAAAAAAAAAAAAAACCCAACAATCTTCCTGTGACTTGCCCTCTACCCCTACCCTAGTGTGACTCATGGCCACATAAATGCCCCATCCCCAGTGGTGCTTCAGCTGTGACCCAGTGGAACCAGTGTCACCGGCTCAGCCTCCAGGTAGGGGACTGGCTTCCCAGGAGTGTAAAGCTCTGACCAGCAATTGAGCTTCAAGGGCAAGCAGCAGTGAATGGACCTTCAAGTCTAAGGTGGCCAACAGCTAGTGGAGCCAGGGATTGGGAAGGTACAAGAGCAAATCCAGTCTCTTCATTTTACCCAGGCTCACAGAGACTATGTGACTTGTCATCAACTAATCACTGGCTCAGGTGGTCCTAGAATTCACCCTTGTGCTTTTGTATCTTAGTCCTCTACCAGATCACATCACAGAGAGCTGCACAAGACTAGTTACAGAGGTGATATCTACTGACTGCCAGACAGTGACTTCAGAAACTGCTAGTGACTGAGCAATGAAGTAGACGCTATTAATTTACTTAATAGCGTCAAAGAATAAATTTAATTCTTTGAGGCAAAGAAAGGTGAATGACTTCCTGTGTTAATTCACTTAGGAAAATATAAATAAAAAAATTTAAAAAGGTGACTTGTCCCAAACCCCATGCTAGTAAGAAAGAGCAACAATAAGAATCCAGAATTCAGCAACAGTAATTCTTTTTATATAAAGTTGTTTTGAATGAATAGTTTATGAACAATCTTTGTGTTCTACTTTAGATGATCCAGGAGTGAAAATGTATAACAAGAGATAATTCAGATATATTTATTTTATGAAAGGATTTATTACAGGATTCTTACAATGGCAAGCTCCATATTATTCCATCTAGAAACATCTGTTCCTTCTGAAACTTGATGAGAAGTCTGTGTCACAAATGACAGGCACCTCCATGTAAATGCCTGTACCATAAATGTGCAAATATATGCACAGGCCAAATTCCTTATGTTGTTTCTATTGGTTACATTTAAGAAGAAATATCAACCATATGGCTTTCAAAACAATTATTAACTTCATTTTTAAATATTTATTAAATATTCCTTGGGCCCATACCGAGCGTTACTTTACAGAATGTGAAAAAGATGTGCTCCGATGAGAACAATTAATGAAGACTGAGTTGCATCGATATAACTGAATATTTTCATAGTTGCTGTCTACTCTCAAAACTTAGTATTTTTATGCTTACACATACTCTGTGCTTCTCACTTTCTCGCTGGGTATACGCTTGGGAGGGCAAGGATTGTGTCTATGCTCTCTGCTGTATCTTTCTGCATGTAGAAAACACTCAACCAATTTTTAAAAATTCTTGATGCTCAATATTGAAATATTAACTAGATTACTTTTTTTTTTTTTTTTTAGACAGTCTCTTTTGCCCAGGCTGGAGTGCAGTGGTACAATCTTCTCAGCTCACTGCAACCTCTACCTCCCAGGTTCAAGCAATTCTCCTGCCTCAGCCTCCTAAGTATCTGCGACTACAGGCATGCACCACCACGCAGGGCTAATTTTTGTATTTTTAGTAGAGACAGGGTTTTACCATATTGAACAGGTTGGTCTTGAACTCCTGACCTCAAGTGATCCACCCACCTCGGCTTCCCAAGGTGCTGGGATTACAGGCATGAGCAACCACATCCAGCCTTTAGTACTAAGATTCCATTATTCTAATATATAAGCTATTTAAGAGCACACATGTAGGATGGTTGGTGTCATTTTAGAATATAAGCAAAGAAAGGTTACATTTTTTATTTTTTTTAAAGCAACAGCTTACTATGTGCCATGTTTTAAGAGCTTTTACATGTAATAGCTCATTTAATCACATATACACACACATTCATATACTTGTAATCTAGCTTCAGTAAAATAAACTTTTTTGAACTATTGTTCAATCAACTACTTCTTTAGCAGCTCCTATGTGCCAGGTACTATGCCAGAGGCTTCAGCAGATACTGAAATGAGGAAGACAGTCTCTACCCTCAAGAGTTTAATGGGCAATGGTTTATAAGGTAGAGTTGGTAGCCAGCAGTATCAACATCACCTCTGGACTTGTTAGAAATGCAAATTTTGGTGTCCCCATCCCAAACCTCCTAAATCAGAAACTCTGGGGTTAGGACCCAGCAAACTATTTTTACAACCCCTCCAGAGGATTCTAATGGGCACACAATTTTGAGGACCACTGGATTAGTGTGGTATGTGCAAGAAAAACCCACCTAACGAGATCATAAGGCAAAAAATAATGTGCTCTAGAAGTTTGGTGATAGTGGAGCTCAGTTGGGAAGTATCTGAGGATGGGGAAAGGTTCATTCATCTGTATTCATTCAGCACACACTTACTGTTCTTGTGCTGTTGTAGCAGGCACTGAGAACCCAAAGATGAAAGGTAACCTATGAGTGCTGTCATCATCTGAATGTGTACCTCCAAAATTTGTATGTTGAAACCTAACCCTCAAGGTGATGGTATTTGGAAGTGGGGCCTCTAGGAGGTAATTCTATCATAAGTGTGGAAACTTCATGAATTATTGCCCTTATAAAAGAAGCCTAAGAGAGCCTGTTGCCCCATCCACCATGTGAGGACACAACGAGAAGGTGCCATCTCTGATGAATGGATCTTCACTACACACAATCTGCCAGCACCTTGATCTTGGACTTCCCAGCCTCCAGAATTGAGAGAAATGCATTCTGTTGTTTATAAACTACTCAGTGTATGGTATTTTGTTATAACAACTTGAAATGACTAAGACAATGGATTTAAAAGCAAGCTAGTAGTTTAACTGTTCTAAATAGCTAACAACACAGGTCCAAAATGTGAAATGTTGCTTAAATTATTACCTTCACATTGAAGCTCCTTTATGCTCATGTGTATGTATATACTATATATATACATTTTTTTTTTTGAGGCGTCTTGCTCTGTCCCCTAGAGTGCAGTGGTGCGATCTTGGTTCACTGCAACCTCTACCTCCCGGGTTCAAGCGATTCTCCTGCCTCAGCCTCCTGAGTAGCTGGGATTACAGTCACCCACAACCATGCCCAGTTAACTTTTGTTTTTTTTTAGTGGAGATGGGGTTTTACCATGTTGGCCAGTCTGGTCTCGAACTCCTGACCTCAAGTGATCCACCCACCTCAGCCTCCTAAAGGGCTGGGATTACAAGTGTGAGCCACCACGCCCAGCCTGTTCAAGTATATTTTTGATACAATATTTTGATACAATATTTATAACATATTTATAACATATCTTAACTATTACATTATCAACAAGAATCAACACCAAGAGTCCTCAGTATATATTTTGTTCATCATGCATTCATTCCACAAACATTTACTGAGCACTTACTAAGTACAAGCACTGTGCAGGCTAATGGCTAAGTGAGGGATTCTAAGAAAATGTACGGACCCTGTCCCAGAGGAACTCACAATCTAGTGAGGTGACAATGCCAGGCATTGCAGTGTTTGTTGGTTCCCCACAGCTTTGTTCTTGTCAACTATAGTCACCAAATAAAAATGTTAGTGAATAAAACCTCAGGATCTTTGAGTGAAGCAACAATCCTTATAGTTAGCTTAAAATGTTGAGTGCGTTATGGTTACAGATGATAGTGTAGCGGGAGTAACCTTAGGCCTGCAAACTCAAATGTGTAACAAAGATAATTTTTTTTTCTGTAACTGAAATGTATTTCTATTTGAAGCCTCCATTTACCTGCAGTGACAATAATCTTATCAACAGGAGGCCCTCCTCCTTTCTTTCAATTTGAAACCTCCATTTATCTGCAGTGATATTCTTATCAACGGGAGGCCCGGCCCTTTCTCCAGGGCTTTGTCAAGATTGGGGAGACTTCTGAAGTGCCAAGATGAGAAGAGAGAGACCTTAGGTCCTTGTGTCACTGGTCCCCACACAAGTTCAGAGATGTTCTTTGTCCACTGTAGTGTTGGTTTTCAGTCTTTTGGTTTCAGGCTTGAGGGTTAGAGATGTCTGTGACTTCAATTCCCATGTGGTATGGCAGAATTCTCTGTGAGGCAGCCCTTCTGCCTGGACATACTTGAAGCATCACCTCAGAACTTGTTAGAAATGCAAATTATAAGGCCTCCCCATCAACCTCCTAAATCAGAAAGTCAGCAGACTGCAAATTCTCCAATGTTCCATGCTACAAATGTTCTGCCCAGGAAGGAGTGGGCAGGCATCACCACTCTCTCCTTCCCTTGGAGGAGAGACGGTATGTGAATCTCATTCTAGTTCCTCCTCTCTTAATCTTGATTTTTTTTCCTCAGATGACAATCCTTCCATCTCAAGAGTTCTGCTTCAGAGTCACCTAGAATAATATTAATAGAATTAGTTATAAGCAAGGAAGTACTCTTAGTTTTAAACTGGGAAGTACTGGAAGAAAAAAAAGACATCTTACCTGCCACAAAACATTTTTGCAGATGAAGTTTAAGGCTTCAGGTTAGGCGATGGGTTCAGAAAACCACAGAGAGGAAAAGCATAGCAAGAACCTGTAACCACTTTTTCAGACTATTAAACTCAAGGTTCTTCCCACTTATGCCATCATCCTGCCACTTTTTTCCTTTGATGACAATCAATAGGATACAAGAACTCTCCAAGGAGAGCCCACAGAGGAGGCATTTTACACACTTGAGCTCCAATCCTCACAACACTGTGAGATGGCTTATAATTTCCATCTCAGAAGGGAGGAAGCTACAGCTAAAGAGAGAATGTATGTCCTAGGTGAGTAAAGAAGCCAAGGTTATAATACAACTGAGCTACTCCAAAGCCTGCCCTTTTCTCTAAACTGCCTTCTATGACCCATAACTTTGTAAAAATCAGCTACCAGTTCTTAAACACTTACTGTGTCAAGTGTGTTTATAATCTCCATAATCTCCACTCCTTTGATCATTCTTCACAGAAAGTGCTAACACAGCATTTTCCTGATGAGGGGACTGAGGCTGAGAAACTAACTCACCCAAGGTTTTGGTGCAACAAGAGTAAAACTTGAAATGAAGTCAGGTTTCTAGCCCCGGATTCTCCCAAGGTAGCTGCTTTTGATACTAAAACAATGTGCCTCCCGGTGAAGGAAATGGGGATAATACTAATCACACTTATTTCTCTATTGTAATGAAAATCAAATCAGATTTGAGAGATATGGAATATGATGATGTTAATACTATGACGCTAATACATTTAACTCCAATTTAAGACATTCAGACGCCTGCCTCAGCTCAGATTTAAGACTATTCAATTTTGGGCAAGTCATTTAATCTCTTTCTGATCAGCTTTCTTGGCACTAACATGAAAGAACTGGACTAACTTTTAAGTTCCCTCCCAGCTCTGAAATTCAGTTTCTAGACATAAAGTATTACATACATAAATGAGTAAGAAAAATTGGGAAACACTTCTCAGCTTTATCTTTTTGAGGAGCTCACTTCTAGTACTCTTTCACGGTTTATCTTTTGGCATCTTCAGAGTTCTTCATATTTTTGTAGACAATGCAATAATTTCCAATAAAATGATACCTCATAGAGGATGCATACAATAAACATTCAGAACATACCTGCAAGTTTTATTTTTTATTTATTTTTTCAGACATGGTCCCATTCTGCCGCTCAGGCTGAAGTGCAGTGTGGTAATCCTAACTGCAGGCTGGAATTGCTGGGCGCCAGTGATCCTACCACCTCAGCCTCCCGAGTAGCTAGTACTACAGAGACACTACCATGCCCGGTTAATTTTTTTTTTATTTTTTGTAGATACGGGGTCTTACTATGTGGCCCAGGCTGGCCTGGAACTCCTGGACTCAAGCAATCCTCCCACCTGAGCCTCCCAAAACGCCGTGATTACAGGCATAAGCCACCATACCCAAGTTTAAGTTTTAAATGTGCAAAATATTTAGGGATATGTATCTCTCCCATGAATGATGAAAGAGAAGCAGAAAATATTTCTTAGTAAGTGAATTACTGGGAATTAAGACTATGATTGATACCTACAGCAATTTAAAAAGTTACTTCATTGTACCTATTAATACATGCAGAAAAAAATGTACTTGGATTTTATGCTTGCTACTTCCTCGCTCTTGAGTAAATTATCCTTTCTATGCATCAGTTTCCTCATCTGAAAAATAGGCATTCTAGTAATATATACCTCATTAGGCTGTTCTGAGGAATGTGATAATACACGTAAAATGCAGTCCCTGGCACACTGTAAATGTCTAACAAACGTTTGGCGGCTATTACTGGCGTTTCCCAGCCCGTTATTATTTTTTACATGTGAGCAAGTTAATTCAGAGGATTACTTCAAGAAACAAATACTTGAATACCTATCTGTCCAAGCAGCCGGGGTTACAGGGAATTCACTACATAAAGCCTCTGGTCTTACATTATATAGAAAGGCGATGAAGAGACAAGAAACAGGTTAAACAGAAAAACACGATAATTTCACACATAACCACTGCCATATTTAAAGCACTGTACACCGGCCCTCGGAGCCAGAATTCTTTCCCTCGAGGTTGCCCCAGGAATCCCTTTGACCTCTGCCATTGGACGTCACAGAAGGCGCGACTAATCGTGGCTGGCTCCCGGAGCTTCACTCTTCCCTCTCTTCCTGCGAAACTTGACACGCCATTTGTTTCTACGTCTGACATCCTCCTCTTTTCTCTGGTCCGTGGGAGCTTTTGCAAGCGGGACCAGGCCCCAACACCCGAACCAGCAGCGAGAGAAGGAGCCCGGCATGCGGCGACTCAGAGTGACGACACACGCGAGTCTCCGCCCGAGTACGTCACTTCCGCAACGCTTCCTTCGCGGGGCTTTGTGGGTAGCCGACTGGGGTCTCCTGGCGACGACCATGGCGGGGGATGTGGGCGGTCGCAGCTGCACGGACTCGGAACTGCTGCTGCACCCGGAGCTGCTGTCCCAGGAGTTCCTTCTCCTCACTCTGGAGCAGGTTGGGCGCGCCGGATCGGAGGGTGGGCGGGTGGGCCTTCCCAGGTGAGGCGCTTGCACCCGAGCTTGCCTTAAGTAGCCCTCGGCAACCACGGACACTCCCGCCGGGTTTGTGTCACTCTCCACCCACACAGACCAGGCAGCTGTCTCCTCGCTCCTGCTCCTCGCCCCCTCTCCAAAAATGAGACGTCCGTAGAATATCAGGAATGCTTGGGAAATAGGGCTTATCTATCTGAGTCCCGATGGCTTGTAAAGAGGAGTCCCAGGCGACACCCCCTGCCTGTGTGTAAGCCCCGACCTGAGGAAGAAAGAAGCGTGGAATAGACATGGAATGTAGAAATCATGGACTGTCAGGACTGGAAAGCATCTGAGAAACCGTCCATTCCACACCTTCTAATCGTTTAAAGATGATAAAAACAGTTCCAGAGAGATGAAGTGACTTGTTTAAGGTCACAACATCTGTAAATGGTACTTCCGGGAGGAGAATTCAGGGCTCCTGGCTCTCCATGTAGTGCGTGCTCTTTTCCAGCTGGTGTGGCCTCTGATAATAGGAGAAAAGTGAGAAAGGAAAAAAGTGATGTTTTAAGTGATAGAGAATTACTGGAAGTTTCCTTGGGGTTTATGTAGCGTATTTTGTTGTTTTTCATATGGCTTTCCCCTTAGTACCCTATCTTTGTTGAATTTCAGGTCCTCTTGCCACGTAGAGCTTAATTATGTCAGTAAGTTTTTACCTGTGGTTCTCAAACTTTTTAGGTACTTAAGAATGAGTCGAGGGACTTGCTAAAACACAGATTGTTGGGCTCCGTCCTCAGTTTCTCGTTCAGTAGTTCCGGAATGTGGCCCGAAATCTTGCATTTTTAACGAGCTTGTTGCTGGCCCAGAAAGCATGCTTTGACCACCACTGTCCTAAGGCAATACTTTCCAAAGTAATGGGCTTATGAATTCTCTGGGAACGTTGTCCAAGAGAATCCTGGTAGTTTCCCCTACTTCTGAGCGAGTACGGGCTAAAAATAGATGAGTCTAATATACGAAAGAGAAGTAAAATGTGCTTTTATTAGTTTTTGTTAGAGGATATAGGCTTGTCGGTGGTACTAAACACAAATGTTTTCAAGCCTTTCTGAGTTGAAATTGAAGAGCCTGTGATCTCATTTCCATTCTCATTTCTCCTTCTTAAATCCAAACTCTGTCTTCATGACTACTCCTGTGCTTATGCTATGTTTTTCATGATGTCAAGAACAAATTGGAAAATGAGGAAGAATTTGGTGATTTAGATAGAGATGGTTGGACAATGACTGGAAGCTTACTTGAAAGGACCAGTGAAAATGGGGTGCAGGCTTTTCTAATGATGTACTGCTACTGTCGTCAGTACGGGAATAACAGTTTCTATTTGTGGTATTATTTGAAATCTTGGTAGTTAACTTCAATTTAGGAAGCACCAGATTAGAGAAGCACGAGAAATATAAGACAGACTGAGACCTTCATCCCACTAATCTGATCATGATAGTAACACTCAAGGTAGCTTATTGACAGAATGTGGTGATTGTTAATCATTGTTAGCTTTCTTTTGTCAACAGGCAGTCTCCCATTTTCAATCCCCTTTGTATATTAAGATAATTTTACTGGAAATGATCTTTCATGCTTGGTGTGTTGGCTGAGCAGTTGTGGACAGCAATCCCTGTCACACTGAGAAAATATGACCATTGTTTTTAAGATGAGGCTGAACCTAGTATCTACAGAATTTAACCTTTAACACTGTCTCTAAGTGCGCGTGTTATTGTGAAAATGGCTTTTTATAATTTGTTATTTAAGCAGTAATGTTTTACCATGTTAGGTAAGGTGGTTACTTGTTAAAATTAAAAACATTGTTTTGAAATTACTTTTGTTTCCTTTCCCGCAGAAGAACATAGCTGTTGAAACTGATGTAAGAGTAAACAAAGACAGTCTTACTGACCTTTATGTCCAACATGCAATACCATTGCCTCAGAGGGATTTGCCGAAGAATAGATGGGGGAAAATGATGGAAAAGAAAAGAGAACAACATGAGATTAAAAATGAGACTAAAAGGTACTTTTTGGTGGTTCTAGCTTTCAATTTATCTTATATAACTAAAGTTATATATAAGTTATTGATTTTTCCTGAGATAAACTTAAGTAAAAAATTTATTTACTCAATGACTATCTATTGAGCACCAGGCACTGTGCGTATAGCAGTGAATAAAACTGACAAAATTCCCTGCTCATATTTTTGATGGGAGAAACATAACAACAGTTAAAATATGGTATTGTTATATAGTAATAAAGGCCAGGGAGAAAGATTACAATTTTTGGTAAATTATCCAGGAAGATCTTAGTGAAAAATGACATTTTAGTAGAGAGACCTGTAGGAAGAAGAAAACAAGCTAGGATTCCAGGCAGAATACAAGAGGCTGGATCTGGAATGTGCCCATCATATACCAGGAACAACAAAGCAGCTATCAGGGCTGGATGGAGAAGTAGGAAGAACGAGTTGTACTGGGGGCAAACGGGAGAGATTGTCAGATCATGTAAAGCTTTGTAAGTCATTGTAAGGACTTTGGCTGTACTCAGATGAGAAGCCACTAGAAGGTTTTAAGCAGAGTGGTGACATCATTAGATGTACATTTTGACAAGATGACTCTGGCTGCTGTCCTAAGAAGTGATTTAAGGTGTGTGGGGAGGGGAAGCGGTGTGTATAAGACTGGAAGCAGGGAAACAAATTAGAAGCCTGTACTGTAATCCAGGCAATAGATGGCAGCAGCTTTGACTACAATAGTAAATTTGGTGGGTTGGAGCATGCATGTATTTTGAAGATAGAGCCAATAGGATTTCCTGAATTTTGAGGAAAAAGTCAAGTCAGGTAAAACTCTAAGGTCTTTGAATAATACACAAATGAAGGGCCTGTTAACTAGCTTAAGTTATGCTATTTAAAATTATTTAATTTCAAAAACAGTTTTATAAAACCACAAGCAAGTGATTTTTTCTTTTTTAAAGAAAATTACATTTGATTAATCAGTGTTGTTGATTGGTTAATAAGTACAAAGTGTCCTAAGATCCTTAAGTGAACTCTTCTGTGTCTATTATATCTCAAGTGGATACTATTGATCAATTAATTTTTTTTTAGGGCCTTCTATTTGTAAGGCACCGTCATAGGCAATCCACTAGAAGCAGTGAGAGAAGACAGAGTAGGAGGGTAGGGGTAAAGGGGAGTATGTTCCTCTGAGTTTTAATCTCTGTTTTACAAAGAAAAATTTAATGATTGAGATTATTCTCCAATTATGAAGAATAGTCGAAGAATACATGTCTGCTCATTGTCTTTTGGAAAATACACACACAGTCTGACCTTTGATCAAGAATGCATTTTAGATTGACCATTTTAGCTTGATGGTTACTTTACTTACTAGTACAGACTATGTAGTGGTGTTAACTTTCATAAATATGGGTTACACTGCATATGGCTTTTAATTTACTTTTGCTGTTATTCAGCCAGTATTTTCCTCTTGATCAGCACATTCAGGCATATTGTTCTAGTAAGCAAAACTTTATGTGCCAGTCATACTTTCCTTTGAAGCAATCTTTGTACAACTGTCTTGATTAGTCCCCCAAAATCATTTTGGAAAGGATCTTTGACTCTATTTTTTAAATACACAATTGAATCAGAGCATTAAAACTGGAAGGATCCAAGAGATCATCTTGTATTGTTGAACTACTTATTATTTTATCTGTGGAGGAACTGAGATCCTGAGAAGTGCTGTAACATGCCCAAGGTCACACAGAGCTAGGACCAGGTCCATAGCAACATAGCCCTGTGCTTCTCAAACTTTAATGTGCTTCTTGAATCTTAGATTAAGCAAGCTGTCAAACCCTGCTCTCAGTCCCTGTTTCCCTTCTACAAAGGCAGTGGGTATACAGTGAGCTTACTTCTCATTTTCTACCAAATGATGTTCAGTGATGACCCAAGAATTGTTGAGTTTGGCCAACTGCTAGAAATCTGGTTAAAAGGTGAGTTCTGATGTATTCAGGTTGATGCCCCAGATTCTCCATTTCTTACAAGCTCCTAAGATACTGACTGACGTTGCTGTGCTGGTGCTGCTGGTCCCTGGATCACACTTTGAGTGGCAGGGCTAAAATGTTCTTCCTGATAACTGGCTATCTCAGATTCTTTTAACATGTTTAATTAAAAGGGTTTTTTTTTGGGCCAAGAGCAGTGGCTCACGCCTGTAATCCCAGCATGTTGGGAGGCGGGCGGATTACCCTGAGGTCAGGAGTTCAAGACCAGCCTGGCCAACATGGTGAAACCCCGTCTCTACTAAAAATACAAAAATTAGCTGGGCACTGTGGCATGCACCTGTATCCCAGCTATTCGGGAGGCTGAGGCAGGAGAGTCACTTGAACCTGGGAGGCAGAGGTTGCAGTGAGCCGAGATCGCGCCATCGCACGCCACCCTGGGCAACAAGAGCGCAACTCCGTCTCAAAAATAAATTTTTTTTCAATTCATCTGTGAGATAGGTGATATAGATATTATCTGAGGTATAATAAGTAATAAACAAATGAATGCTTTCCTTATTAACCTTTACTATTAAGAGTGGAAATTAGATTTCCAGAAGGTAAGTATGAGACACTTGCCAGATTTTACAATTGAACTTGTACAAATGTCCAGTTACGATTAGTTTAGAAAATGTCTTGGCTTTAGAGACCTTTGCTGAATGGAGTAGAATGCTGTGCCCCATTTGTAGATTGCTGCTGTGGTAGTCTTGGTATAGTTTTATAGTTTATCATCCTTTTAAAATAATAACTGATTACATGGTTAAGATAACCCTATCAATAAGCTGGTGTTTGTTTTTTAACTAGGAAATCTCATTTTAAGTTCCAGGGCTAGATGGTTAATTGATGTTTTAAAAATAGCTGCATGTTGTGTATACATGAAAGCTAACTTTGAATTTCTTGTACATAAATATTTTAAACTTTGAAATAAAACACTAGGAAATTCTTTCATTTAGAATGAACATAGAAAATTTCATTTTTAATAGTCTCAGATTAGTCTTATCAGAAAATCTTTTTGTTTACTGCTTATTTTAACTTGAATCCCAGTGAACTGGTTTGCCGTTCCAGATGGTATTTTTCAAGAGTGCATCTCTTTGATTTCAGGAGTAGCACTGTAGATGGGTTAAGGAAAAGACCCCTCATCGTATTTGATGGAAGTTCAACAAGTACAAGCATAAAAGTGAAAAAGACAGAGAATGGAGATAATGATCGACTGAAGCCTCCCCCGCAGGCAAGCTTTACCAGTAATGCCTTTAGAAAATTATCAAATTCCTCTTCGAGTGTTTCACCCCTAATTTTGTCTTCCAATTTGCCTGTGAACAATAAAACGGAACACAATAATAATGACGCTAAACAGAACCATGACTTAACGCATAGGAAAAGTCCTTCAGGCCCTGTGAAGTCGCCACCATTGTCCCCTGTTGGAACTACTCCAGTGAAGTTAAAGAGAGCTGCTCCTAAAGAAGAGGCAGAGGCCATGGTAAGTATGGGGGTGGTTTCCATGCTGGTAAGTGGTCTGAATGAAACTTGAGCAGTCTGCCTCATGACGGGAGGTGGGTCGACTGTGCTACATTCTGTTCTTGAACCCTTTTGATGGTCTGTCTGATTTGTATAATACAACTTATTACTCCAGTACTTGAATCCTGGAATTTAAAAATCCATGGTGATTAATGTTTTTAAAAGTTCACTCAAGTTATTTCTGCTTAAAATACGTAGAGAGAGGATCTGTTAGGCAGTTTTCCTAGATTTTTCTCATTTAGTTCCTTTAACTGTCTTGGAACTAAAACAGATAAATATTCCTTTATTAGCAAGGTTTAGAACATTAAGTAATTTGTCCAGGGTCACACATTTATTAAGTAGCATTTGGGGCCTGACCTTAAGTCTGTCTGTTTGTGCATACCTTAAAACCACACCAGACACCAGAATCTTTTTAAGATTTACCACTTGCCTCGCCTACTGCTCAATTTACCTAGCTTTGTGGGGATAGCAGAAGTTGGGGAAATCTATTATGTTGTGCTCCACTATGTTGAATCATTTGGATGCTTGTTGGCACATTTAGTGCAGTTAACACAATGTATTAGAGTTTAATTTGTGAGATGATTTATATATATATAATATAAAATATATATAGGCGCTTCAGAAAAGTGCTTTTACTTTTAAATACCTAGTAGTTTAATAGCCATTATTCTGTAGAATACTTTGCCTTTATTATTATTATCATCTAATCATGTATCAAAGGGATCAAAACTCAGAAAATTCAAACATTCTAAAATAGTAGACTGGAAAAAGAAAACCACCTGACTGGTCATGAGTTTTTTACTTTTATTAGTTCATTGAATCCTTTCAGTAACTATGAAGTAGGCATCTTCGTTATTCCTATTTCACAGATAAGGAAACAGAAACTTAGTAAATTTAAATAAGTTTGTCCAGAATTCCAGAGTTATTAGTAAGCCACCAGGCTGCGATTTGAATTTAGGTTTGTTTGATCCCAGGGCACACACTTTGGAGGCCATGCTTCGTCCATACTCCTTTCAGCTACCTTTGTGGGAGAGAGGAGGAAGGTGTGGGATAAGAGTTAGAACAATAAAGCCACATCTCAAATATTGCCATAAGGAGTAAGCCTCAGAGAATTTTTTTTTTCCAGGCTCTTAAACAGCATTTCTCTACCCTACAAAATTTTACTGTTTTATAGATATGAGATATATATATATATAGAGAGAGAGAGTGTGAGAGAGCTATATGTGAAACACTAAGGATAAAAGATTCTTTTTTATGTAGGGCCCACATATAAATCTTTTTCTTCTTATTAACATTTCCCATTGACTTTGTGTTTTTGTTGTGTTGTTTGTTTTTTGAGACAGAGTCTTGCTCTGTCTCCCAGGCTGGAGTACAGTGGTGAGATATCAGCTCACTACAACCTCCGCCTCCCAGGTTCAAGCAATCCTCCTGCCTCAGCCTCCCGAGTAGCTAGGATTATAGGCGCCTGCCACCACACCCAGCTAATTTTTTTTTTTTTTATTTTTGTAGAGACAGGGTTTCACCAAACCTGTTGGCCAGGCTGGTCTCAAACTCCTGACCTCAAGTGATCCACCTGACTCGGCTGGGATTACAGACGTGAGCCACCTGCCCAGCCTATTTGCATTGACTTTGGATTGTTAAATTGTAAAGTTGATGGAGGAGATAGGCTGGACAGGGAGAAAGCAGATCTGGAGCAGTCAGTGGTTTTCAACTCTGATTGTATGTTAACATCACTTGAGGAGCTTCCAAAAAAAGCAAAAAGAAGTCAGAGCCTTATCCCCCTACCTTTTATGGATTCTGGTTTAATTGGTTCTGTGATAAGACCAGGCCTGGGGCATGTTTTTAAGTGCTCTAAGTTATTCTAAACTACACACATTTGAGAACCACAGAGCTAGAGAACTCACCCCTGTTTCTTTAAATATATTCCCACCAGATGGCAGCAGTGATCTTCCATTAATACATTAATAGTAAACCTTGGTTGTTTGAAATGTTCATTTTAGTTGTTTTCTGATATTTCTGCAAGTATAAACTGATTTCTGTTCATGTCTTTCAGAATAACCTGAAGCCCCCACAAGCAAAAAGGAAGATACAACATGTTACTTGGCCCTGAAGAAAAGTTTCCAAAAATGTAAATATACTGTAACTGTAGTTTTTCAAATATGTTCATATATATTGACAATATTTACAGAAATCCTGATTATTGTGGAATTTTCTTAAGAGGTTTCAAATAGGTTTAAAAAAATAAAGGATTTATTTTCCTTCCCTTCTTCCCTCCCTCCCTTCCTTTTTTAAAATTCTTGCCTGTCTTGCCCTGATTAGGAAAGAATATCTTTTTAAACCAATGGCTTAGTATATGTCATTTATATTGACCCTACTGAAATTATTAGCTACAAATGTGCTATAAAGCATCCATTGAATTGGCCAGGCGCAGTGGCTCACGCCTATAATCCCAGCACTTTGAGAGACTGAGGTGGGCAGATCACCTGAGGTCAGGAGTTTGAGACCAGCCTGACCAACATGGAGAAACCCCGTCTCTACTAAAAAATACAAAATTAGCTGGGCATAGTGGTGCATGCCTGTAATCCCAGCTATTCAGGAGGCTGAGACAGGAGAATCGCTTGAACCTGAGAGGCGGAGGTTGCGGGGAGCCAAGATCGCACCATTGCACTCCAGCCTGGGCAACAAGAGCGAAACTCCATCTCAAAAAAAAAAAAGCATTCAGTGAATTTTCGGAGTTACTCTCATTAGCCTTGTTCAGAGTCTTTGGGGGAAATTTGAGATTTTTGAGATTTTTTTTAAAAACTCAAATATTTTACTAGTTTGCCTGCCATTTTATTTCTTTTACAAAGCAGAAGCATATACCAATTTATCACAGTATTTTAGTAAATACTGCAACATTCATCCTTAAATGTTCACCAAGAAAAGCATCTTTGTAGTAGTGCTGGAAAACTATTCAGAATATACAGATAAAAATGCTGTTCTTTAATTGCTTACATTGCTTCTTCCCATAAAAAGCAAAAAGGAATCAGTGCTTGCTATTGCTCCTTTCCTTGAAGTTGTAACAATTGATACATATATTATGAGTTGACTGGTCGATTCTGTACCTGGCCCATCCTTTAGAATGTTCTTGTCATGTAGCAGTCCTACGTACTCTTTTCATGAGCAGTCTGTGATCTCACTCTGTGAGTTCAGCTATTACTCGCTCGTGGGAGCTTAATCTTTTCAAAATGAAGTTGATTTAAAAAGTCTTCAGGCAGAGTAATCATGTTAGAGGTGGTATTCGATGGAAGAAAGTTTAGAGAGTTAGGAGTGGGGGTAGAATTCTAGAATTTATAAGAGTCCAGGAAGCATAGCAGTCAGGGGCAAAAATTAGCGTAATATGGAGTAGGCAATAGAGGAGCTACTGGAGTCAGAAGTCACTGCAGAGTGCAACATAGGAAGATGGACTCCTAGCTTACATGAGATTCCCTGCAGCTGTAATATAGACAATTCCCACATGGCTGTTCTACACAGAATTACCTGCTAAGATTTTTTGTTTATTTTTGTTTGAGTGGTATTTTCACTCCAATTGTATAATGGAAATCAGTGGGAAAATAGGGTTTACCTTATATTCATGAGTTCTAGTTTCTACTGTTCTGCTATGTGTTTCTAAGCAAGAGCAAAGGATACTTCATACTTTTTTCGTTATATGATTGATCTTCAAATTGGGATTTACCTTTTTCAATATGTTTTAAAGTAGTCTTATTCCTCTTTTGATTTGTTAAACAAGCATTTTAGTTCAGCTATTGAATAGCCTTCCAAAAAATTAATTCAGCCTTGCAGGTAAGTACCATACTAAGACTTTAACCCAATAGTTTTTAATCATTCTGCCTTTATTCCAAACTGTAAATCTGTACACATAAGATAAAACATACTAAGTATTGCATAAATTGTTAACGTTACAGTAAATTGTTATCTGCAGGGCTGACAGACATAATGTTGGTGGGCAACTGTGATCCTATACATACATATATGCAAAAGGGGATTTTAAAAGTGCAGATTATAGAGTAGATTGACAAATTTTATTTTATATTCAGTTGTCCTCTCTGCTTCCATCTGTGTTGCTCTCTTAGTTGAGAGAGAGTTAGCCATTTGACGATTTTAAGTCAGTGGGAACTTATTTTTAGTTACTCAATAAAATTAATATTTTATTTGTATTTTAACTTACAGAGTAGGTTGGTAATAACAGCTGAACTGTGTAACATTGTTGCTTCAAATTGAAGTTTATATTATGAACATTCAGAATCAATGCTCATGTAGCAGCATATTATTGAGCTATTTTGAGTTTGAAATGTGGAGAAACGCTAAACCATGTACTATGTGTTAACATAATCCCACCTTCTTAGAGCTTTGTTCCTTCTGAAGGTGTATAGATACAGCTTGTCTTGAAATGTCTTTCTCCACATAATGAAGCATGCTGAATGCTGGGAATCTGGAGCAGCAGCCCTGGGAGCCCTGAGTTTTGAAGTGTTTTGGTTTGCTTCAAAGGTTAGAAGAACTTGATATGTATGGCAAACAACTTTAGAATACTAGTTACTCACTAACATGAGGCGGGTAATGTTGCTCTAGATTCTATATTCCAGTAAAGCCAGCTTTTCTTATTATTGGAGTAGGCAAATGAATGGCATTAGAATTAGTGGGTGGCTTGTAAGTTGTAGTTATAGGCACTTTACCACTTCCTGCCATTAGCAGGCATCCTTGTTTTTTCTTTTCCCTCTTTGTTCCTTCTTTTCCCTTTCTCCTTATACATTTTCTTTCTCTACTTTAATTCTCCTTCCTCCTTACTGTAGATCCCAAGCTTCTAGCTTAGGTTTGCAAGTCATATTGCTTGGCCCTCCACATTCACTGAGAGGTGAAGATAGGCTGACCCCCTGTCCTCTTACATTTGAGGGATCATAGACTGCTGTGTGAATTCTGGAAAGTCTCAGGTCCCTACCAGGGCACTGAATGGCTTCTCAATGGCTGTAGAGACAGTACAGTTTTCCAAAGCAGCCTAATTCATCTGGACAGCTACCAGGCACTTTGGAAAGTTGGTTCAGTTACTACTATGAGGCCATAATATATTTGCTGGTATTAAAATTCTTCAGAATTGGAATTACTATTTGAAATAATATTTTGGTTGACTTAAGTTTTGAGAGACAATTCTAAAATTGATCTAGAGACTCATTCAATAGCAATGTGACCTTTTAAATACTTACATTAAGTAAAACTGCCAGTAGATTAAATCATATATATATATATATATATATATATATATGTAAGAGCTTCCTCTATTTACTACTGTTGAACTTCAGTAATTTTTAGAGGCTAAATAATGGTCAGAATGTTTTTAAGTGTGCTCTTTTATTACATGCTTGTGCAGGTTTTGTAATTCAGTACAGAAAAGTTTAACCTTGTACATTTTTGTATGTAAAAAGTCTTTTAAGTAGTCTTATCCTTATTTAAATAAACAGAATAAAATTACCTTGAGTAGGTCTGTTATTCTTATTAAAATGGAAAAATGCTCTGTAATGACTTGATCTGTTTTTATTTGAGTGAACAATTTTGGAAAGTATTCTTTATAGTACAACTTTCTATACCTGGATTGATTAAGATCAGATGTGATTCGAGTAGTCCAGCCATATCTTGTAGCCCTTCTTTGAATGAGAGGGTGGCTGGAGTGGTCTGGTGCTGGGATATCACGGTGCTACAGAGCCTGACATGTTGACTGTCACTACATGTTGAGGGATGGAAATAGAAGTCTCTGAACTTCCCATGTAATATTAAAGCTCTTAACAAAATGAGACAAACTAGAGATTCAGTTGAGAGATTTTATGTTAGAGTGATCTGAAAAAAAGTTAATTTCTAAACTGCTATCTTAATATTATTATATTTGGAGACTGATGCTGTAAATTAAATAACTTGGAAAAGACTCAGGTAACTTTCTACTTTGTCTTTTGTTTTGTTTTAGAGATGAGGTCTTGCTCTGTCGCCCAGAGTGTAGTGCAGTGGCATGATCATAGCTCACTGCAGCCTTGAACTCCTTGGCTCAAGTGGTCCTCCTGCTTCAGCCTCCTGTAGCTGGGACTACAGGCATGCACCAGCACACCCAGCTTCTACTTTGTACTTAACACATAGATTCTTCATTTTTTTTGTCTGGACAGAAGAGACAAAAATCTTATTTCCACTTAGATTGTTTTTACTAAAGTGCATTTTACTAACTAAAGTGCATTGCTTTTTCAGTTGTTTAGTAGCTTGATCATCTTATTGTGGAATAAAAAATAGAGATTAGAATTGCCTGTGTATTTGTTGAGTACCTACTATGCTAGCTCTTTCTTGGGAATGAACAAGGCAGATTAAGTACTTGCTTTCATAGAGAAAACAGACAGTGAACCATGAAATAATGGGTAATTGTAATGGTAGAAAGTAAAACAGGGTCAAGAAATGGTGAAGGATGAAGAAAGTAGGATGAGAAGCTATTTTAAATACAGTGGTTAGGAAAGGCCTCTGAAGATACTATATTTTGAAGAGAGCATGCCTAAGGCATAGCTATGGAGAGCTTTCAGGAGAAGCATTCTACATGTGTCCAGTTTTAGATGGCTGCATACTCCTCCCATCAAGGCTGGAGTCAGCTTCCCACCACTTGTATGTGGACCTGGCCTTGTAACTTGCTTTGATCAAGTGAATGCTTCTACTCTTACACTTGGACTTCTGCTTGCAGCCATGTGAAAAAGCCCAGGCATACCCACTGGAAATACATGGCTCACCCAACAGCCAGCACTAACTGCCAGATGTGACCACTAGTCACCTATCCCCCCCGGTCTAGCTGCCGGCTGACTAAAGTTGTATGATGAGCTTCCTGGTGGGATCAGTCCAAATTGATGACTCTCAGAATCATGAGTGAATAAAATGGGAGTTGTATAAAGCCACTAAGTGTCGGGGGTAGTTTGCTACCCAGCAGTAGTTAACAGGTCCCAGACAAGGACAAAACATGAAAGCCCTAAGGCTTACTAGGTTCTTAGAACAGAAAGACTGGTGTGGCTCCAGTGAATGAAAACGGGCAGTGGTAGTATAAAATGAAGTCAAAGAAGGTAGGCAGGAGCCAGATGATGTATGAATGTAGGACTTTGGATTTGATTCTAATACCAATTGGAAGCTGTTTGTTAACTCTGTTGAGACTTAACCAAGCATTCAGTTTAATCAAAAATAGACTAGTTGAGTAAGTCTGTAATAGCCCTGTCTTTTATCCTCAAGTAAAATTAGCCAAGTGTTGTTTTCTTTTTTAATCTTCAGGTAAATAGTTTAAACTAAAACTTACTTCTTTGACTAACAAACATTTAGGAGACTGTAAAATGCTTTACCAGTTATGGTGAAAGACAAATGCTTTTCATAAATATAAAACCATCCTATCTTTCGAAGCCTTCTGTTTTGTCTGTTCTGCCTTGCTATATAAGTTTTTAAAATAAACTTTTAAAAAATAAACTAGGACAGTTAGATTTCTGGAGAAATTGCCACAGTAGTACAGATTTTTAACATACCCCACACTGTTTCCCTACTAACATACATTCATATGGTACCTTTGTTGAAATGACTCATTGTTAACTAAAGTTCTTAATTTTTTTCGATTTTCTGAGTTTTTCCCTAATACCCTTTTACTGTTCCAGGATCCTACCCAGGGTACCATGTTATTTAGTTGTCATGTCATGTTAGGCTTCTCTTGGATGTGACAGTTTCTCAGAGTTTCCTTGTTTTTGATGACAGTTTTGAAGAGTAATGGTCAGGTAAATACCTGGAGAATGTTCCTCAATTGGGATTTTTCTGTTTTTCTCATGACTAGACTGGGGCTATGTGTTTTGCGGGGAGGACTACAGAGGTAAATTGCCATTTTCATCACATTATTTTGAGGACACATGCTGTAAACATGATACTACTTTTGAGGTTAACCTTAACCTCATTTGGCCGACGTAGTGTTTGTCATTTTTTTCCACTATAGTTATTGCTTTTCCCTTCTAAATGTCATTTTTGCCCACCGCGCCCCCCCCCCCCCAAAAAAAAAGGTTATTTCTGTTTCCCCTTTTCATACATACTGTGCTCTTTGGAACAAACTCACTTAAGGAATGCAGAGTTACTTTGCTGGTGAAGTACCTAAATTATTTGGAATTCTGCACAGGAGACTTAAGTATTCTCTACCATTAATTTTATTTAATGATTTATGTCAGTATGACTCATGGATACTTATTTTATATTTTGGGTTAAAGTCTAATGTGTGTTTTTGTTTTGTTTTGTTTTTTAACTCCAGTTCTTTCTGCTTTGGCCATTGAAAGCTCTTTCAGTTCGCTCCCGTTTCCCTGTGACTTATCCCATGATTGTGTTTTCTTTGAACACATCCTTTCTGGTATTATAGGATGCTCTAGCGTCATTTTGTATATTTCTTGCTCAAGCCGTAGAATGAGCCATTTCTCTAAGGAGCCTTTGCTCCTTTTATTAAAAACTGAGATCTGGGTACTAAGTATGCTGATTGCTACTGGGGTGTCATTGTTTTTAGGCCTCCTCAACTGACAGAGCAAGGAAATATATGTACCTATATTAACCCCTATAGGTGTACATTTCTATAGATATTTCTATATGTAACCATCTGTATCTATAGTAACTAAAACATGAGTTCATACTATGTCTCTAACTCTAATCTATTACCATATTGATCATTCCAGACTTCCCTTGCATGTCTGGAACCTCCCACTCCAACAGTGAGAAACATGGCTCCTACCAACCACCGTCCATTTACTTAATTGTTCAATTGCAGTACACATGTATAGAGGTTGCAGAATTGTTAGCCTCTACCCATGTGAGAAATGACTTTACCAGCTAGATGAGAGTGATTATGTTCATTCCTTTTGCCTTTAATCTTACAGACTCCACTCATTTCTAATGTTGCTTAAGTCATATCATTTAAGATAGTTTCACAGTTTTGTTTTAATGAAAAAGAATGTCAAATAGACTTTTCTCTATTAACAACAACAAAATAAATCCCTAGACAAACATCCATTCAACAGTTTTAAGGTGTCTGTACTTAGGCTGTAAATAAGGAAATGGAGTAAATAAAACATGGTCCCTGTCCGCAAGGGCCTTTTCTTCTTTTGTTTGTTTGGGTTTTTTTTTTTTTTTTTTTTTCGTTTTTTTTTTGAGATGGAGTCTTGCTCTGTTGCCCAGGCTGGAGTGCAGTGGCAGGATCTCGGCCCACTGCAACCTCTGCCTCCTGGGTTCAAGCGATTCTCCTGCCTCAGCCTCCCAAGTAGCTGGGACTATAGGCACGCACCACCACACCCGGCTAATTTTTTGTACGTTTAGTAGAGACGGGGTTTCACCATGTTAGCCAGGATGTTCTCGATCTCCTGACCTTGTGATCTGCCCGTCTCGGCCTCCCAAAGTGCTGGGATTACAGGCTTGAGCCACCGCACCCAGCTGGGTCTTTTCTTCTTCTTAATCCCAGTTGTTCAATCTAGATAAAAATTTGAGAAGGAATCTGAAGAACATTTAACAATTAAAGTCGCAGTATTCTGTGCACTAGGTAGTTTACTAGTTATATTTTTTTAATTCCTTGAAGCCTAGAGAAACCCATCAAAAACAAACAACTGGATTTTTCTTGTAGAAGATCCTCTCTTAGTCCATTTTCTCTCCCTATAACAGAATACCACAGATTAGGTAATTGATAAAGACCAGTTTATTTGGCTCACAGTTCTGGAGGTCCAAGAGCATGGCACTGGCACCTGGTGAGGGTTATCCCATGGCAGAAGGCAGAAAGGCAGCAGCGAGTATGCAAAGCACAGAAGAACTTGGGCTGAACTCATCTTTCTTTTTTTTAATCAAGAAATCACTTCCATAATAACTGCCCTTGTGATAATGGTATTAATCCATTCATGAGGACAGAGTCCTCATGGCCTAATCTCTTCTTTAAGGCCCTATCTCTTAATACTGTTCCTATGGCAATTAAGTTTTCAACACATGAACTTTTGGGGGAGACATTCAAACCATAGCACCCTCAGAACGTAGTGAGTAAAATGCATAAATGCTAATAGATGTCAGGGATGAAGTCAGTCTGCTCTTATTTTTATAATGGAGTTCTAGTCTCAATTTTTTTTTCTTTTTCACTGAAAGGTCACTACATACATTTTGGCATGTATGTCACCTGGACATTTCCATCTCAGTGTTTAAAAACTCATGTATTTAGTTTTTACCCCATCTTCATCTCTGTGTAAGAAAAAAGCCCATGTTTTAGGGGACGGTGGGCTAGGAGTCAAGATTTCTGATTTCTAGTGTGTTGGCCTCTTTGCAGTCTTGAGTAAGCTTTATTCTTCCTGGGCTTCCACTTCCTCCTTTGCAAAGCAGATGGATTTCACTCTTATCCTTAAGACTCTTCCAGATCTTACTTCTTGGTATTTCTAGAATTAACCTTATCCTTATCCCTGAGCCTCTGTAATCTATCATTTAATAACTAGGCAGAAAATGAGAGGTACCCTCAAGTCTGAATGGGCATCACTAAAGATGATTGAGAATTGAGTATATATTTTAAGTTTCTAAAGTAATATGATTAAGTGATATGCAAGTTAATATAACTTTTATTTTGCTTTAATATAACTAGTTTTACAAAGTCTTGTCCAAAGGAGTTAGGGTTTATTTATTGTGCTGACTTAAAGACTTGAGGGCAGCCCTCTGCTTACAAATTGGATAGTGTCTAGTTGTAGCAAGTCAACAATGTTCAATACATATACCTCGGGCTTCATTTTTGTGATCACAAGGTTTTCTTTGCTAGTTTCTAAAGTTCTGCTCTATTAACACCACTGAGTTCTTTTGCAGGCATTTCTCTAAAGTTTTTCCAGAGATAAAGCTTTCACTAAGGGCAATATTGAGGGAGTAGTAACCATTGTAGTTCCAGGGCACATTGCACCACAGCAGATATATTTAATGAGTTTCTTGCCTTGTTTATGGTTCATGTAGAATGATTCCCTCATCAGTGAAACTGTTTCTTTGACTTACTTCAGTGACTAAATTTTCATTGTTCCGGTTGAGGGTAGACTAGTTCTATTAAGCATTTTATTATACCCTGGCCAGGTGTGGTGGCTCACGCCTGTAATCCCAGCACTGTGGGAGGCCGAGGTGGGCTGGTAACTTGAGGTCAGGAGTTCGAGACCAGCCTGGCCAACATGGTGAAACCCCGTCACTATTGAAAATACAAAAGGTCAGCCAGGAATGGTAGCAGGTGCCTGTAATCCCAGCTATTCGGGAGGCTGAAGCAAAAGACTCAACTGAACCCTGGAGGCAGAGGTTGCAGTGAGCCCTGATCGCACCATTGCACTCCAGCCTGGGCGACAACAGCAAAACTCCATCTCAAAAAAAAAAAATTAAAAAAGAATTTTATAATATCCTAAATATTAAATATTATCACAAAGTTTAAGTATGTAATTTATTCTACAAGGTAGTTGTGCATTTAAATTAAACCTTAAGCCAATGAAATAGATGTGATCAACGTAAATCTTAACATTGTAGAATGTGTAACAAAGTAGAGGTAACTAATACAATATTTATAATTAGGTTTTTCATTTGCTAAACAGAGAAAAATGCTTGCTGTTAAATGGAAGGAGCAATTCTGCTGGGAAAAAACATGGGTTTTTCAAACATAAAAGCACAGAAGAGCTGACAGGCTAAGAGACAGCAAGAACCCAGAGAAGCAGGCAATCTTGTTTGATGCTCTGTTGAAACTCAGCTGTAGTTTAGGTGACTGTAATGTAAGGGAGAGAGAAGTCAAATCTCTGAGTGTTCCAAGAGGGGAACCTAATAGGTATGACCTCAAAAAACACCACCACATATAAGTGTGAATTAGAAATACATCTTTCCTTTTCATGCATGGAGGGAGGGAAGAAAAAGAAGGAAAAGAAGGAAGGAAGAATAGGAAAGGGAAAGGGGACACAGTGGGGTGGAGGCAGGCAAGCCGACTCTCATACAGACTTGTAGCTAAGATTTACATCCCCAGGAAGGTGAAAGTAACTCTGGAAATGACTGGGAAGTAGTTCTAGTCTGGTGGTAGCCCATGTGTCTGGTAAAGACAATGACAATCGTCTCTGCAGGAAGACATCCTTATTCTAAGTCTCAAGAAACACCCCGGATAACTTTTTAAAGGTAGTGATTAACACAAGTCAGAGTTATCCTTGCATACAAGAAAACAGTGGACCCAGTGTGGGCTGCAACAGAAACATCAGGCAGTAGAGACTGACCCCCAAAGGTTTCACATATTGTAATAATCAAGTAAAGATCAAACAAGTTGGCTTGCTGTTTAATGAAAAAAAAGACAAGCTTTAAAGTAACTCAGAGTGTACTCAAGTGCACTCAAGTTCAAAGTGTAACATATTTTAAACTTTTAAAATTTTTACTGAGTTACAATAAAATGCTGTAAAGTTAGAAAAGTTCTAAGTTATATAGCTCAGGAGAAAAAATTTTGTGTGTGTGTGTGTGTGTGTGTGTGTGTGTGTGTGTGTGTGTGTGTATCACTACCCAGATCAAGATACACAGTACAGCACAGGTGGCAGGTTTTTCTGTAAAGGTCCAGATAGTAAAAAATTGCCAGCAAACCAATGCGTAAATGAACATACATGGCTGTGTTTGAATAAAACTTTTTTGTTAAGAAAACAGACCAGGTGTGATGACTCATGCTGGTAATCCCAGCGTTTTGGAATGCCAAGATGGGGGGAATCGCTTGAGCCCAGGAGTTTGAGACCAGCCTAGGCAACATAGTGAGACCTCATCTCTACAAAAAAAATTTTAAAAATAGACATCAGCCAGGTGTTGTGGCTCACACCTGTAATCCCAGCACTTTTGGGAGGTCGAGATGGGTGGATCACCTGAGGTCAGGAGTTCAAGACGAGCCTGGCCAACGTGGTGAAACCCTGTCTCTACTAGAAATACAAAAATGAGCTGGGCGTGGTGGCAGGCGCCTGTAATCCCAGCTACTCAGGAGGCTGAGGCAGGAGAATCACTTGAACCTAGGAGGCGGAGGTTACAGTGAGCCAGGATCATGCCACTGCACTACAGCCTGGGCGACAGAGCAAAACTCTGTCTCAAAATGACAACAACAAAACACACAGGCACACACACACAGCCAGGCATGGTGGTGCGTGCCTGTAGCCCTAGCTACTTGAGAGGCTGAGGTGGGAAGATCACTTGAGCCCAGAAGTTCAAGGTTACAGTGAGCTGTGATCATGCCACTGCACTCCAGCCTGGGAAACAGAGCGAGATCCTGTCTCAAAAAAATAAAATAGGAAAGAAAACAGGCAGTGGGCAGAATTTAGCCCAGGGACCATAGTTTACAACCCCTGATACAGAATATTCCAACATCTCATTGGTTTAGTTTTGCCTGTTGACATTTGCTTTGTGTACTTTTGTATATGTATGTTTAATTTCCCAATTTAATAAAAAGTCTTAATTATATAGCTATATTATTTTACATCTAGCCAGAGTTTTCTCATTATCTTTGGCATTCAGCATTTTGAATGTAATGTGTCTGGGTATGGTCTCTGCATTTATCTTACTTTGAGTTTATTGAGCTTCTTGAATATGTAGATTAATATTTTTCATCAAATTTGGGGCCTTTTTCAACCATTAACTCTTTTTTTCTTTTTCTTTTTTAAGAAGGTCTCACTATGTTGTACAGGCTGGAGTGCAGTGGCTGTTCACAGGTGCTGTTTTCTCACACTGCAGCCTCAAACTCCTAGACTCAAGCAATTCTCTCACCTCAGCCTCCTGAGTAGCTGGGACAACAGGCGCATGCCACTGCACCTGACTAGTCATGAACTCTGAAAAAATATTTTCTCCTGTTCTTTTTTTCTCTCTCCTAGCCTTCTAGTCCTTCCATTACACATATGTTGGTATGCTTAATGGTTTCTCACATTTCTCTGAGGCTCTTTTAATTTCTCTTCACTCTTTTTTCTGTTTTTCAGATTGTATAATTTCTGTTGTTCCGTCTTCAAGTTCACTGGTTTTCTTCTCCTAACTCAAATCTACTACTGAGCCCCTCTAGTGAATTTTTCATTTCATTTAGTATACTTTTCAACTTCAGAATTCCATTTGATTTATTAAAAATAATTTTTATCTCTTTATTGGTTTGTTTGGTGAGTAAAGTCATCTCTTGGTATCTGTGGGGGATTAATTCCAGGACCCCCTACAAATACCAAACTCCATGGATGCTCAAGTCTCATATAAAATGGCATAGAATTTGCATATAACCTATTCACATCATTCTGTATACTTTAAATAAATCTCTAGATTACTTATAATAATACCTAATACAATGCTTACACATCACTTCATTTGCATGGATTCAACATAGTACTCAGCATGTGGAAGATCCAAGTTTTGCTTTTTGGAACTGTGTCAACTTTTTTTTTTTTTTCCTAAATACTTTTGATCCACAGTTGGTTGAATCCACAGATGAGGAATCCATGGATATGGAGGAACAACTGTAATTGTTCCTTTACCTTCCTTTTTTAAATATGATTTCCTTTAGTTCTTTGAACAAACACATTTATGTGTTCAGCCAGTGTTTGGTCAGAGGTTCTGCTTAAGCACTTTGAGCTAATAAGATTTCTGCTCTTTGCTGATGGATCTGTGTATGCCTTAGAGAATGCTTTCAAGTTTGTTTCACATCTGATTGCTCCTGAGTGGATACAGCCCTGTCCATACATACTTCCCGAACCTCAAGGATAAACCAGATTCCAGGAGGGCTCTTCTTGGCTATCTCTTTCTCTGGTTTTCTGTGTTAAACTTCTGGCTGGTCTGTCATTTTGCTTTTTGCTACTAATAGCATGGAGTTACCAGCCCCTTCCTTAATGGCTCACTGGTAAGATGTCTTATTGTTTTTGACAATCCCCTTAGGCAAAGATTTCTCGTTCTCCGTACCAAATACCAGTCCCCTTGGGCATAACTGCTGGGTTACCAGTCTCAGAGCCTGGATCTCCTCTGGGGGCTGGACAGCAGCCTGCTTCTCCAGGACTGACATCCCTTCTCTGTGAGTGGGTTGATAGCCGCTGGTCTTCTCAGATTGCCCCTCCCAATGTGGAGCCTCCGCACTAAGCAGGCTAGGGTAGGGGCAATTGGAGCTCTACGATTCTCAGCCTGTCGCACCTGGGGCAAAGCCCTAGACTGGTAGCTGGAGGAAGAGAGACCCCTTAATTTTTGGCTGCATTGGTCCAGAATAGAGTTTGTCACATGAAGCTGGGGAGTGGGGATGGGATAGGATGAGGCTGTGGCTCAAATGCCACAGACTCACTGTTCTTTCTAAGACTTAGTAGTGGATTTTCCTGAATGAATGTTTATTTGTTGTATGCTTCTGGGGAAATTTTCAGAGACTTTGTGTTGTGTGGTTTATATACAAGTAATTTCCTTCAGTAGGAAGAGGGTCGGTCAGCTAAGCCCTGCAAACCACTATCTGTAAAGTCCTGTCAGTCAATGCTTTTAGCCTTGGCTGGGCTGCTTGGAGTCTGGCCTAAGTATACACGGTTCAGTTGTCAGCCAGAAATTTCTAAGTTCATGCGACGAACTTGGGGCTCTCCTTTTCAGGATTTTCTTCCTCACTTTCCAGAGGCTGTTTGTCCCGAACTCTGGCCTCTGGTTCCTCAGGCCAGTAAGACTGCAGGTTTCCTAACAGAGTTTTAGATCCCTGGCGGGGGCCTGCCATTGGATAAAAGGCCGAAACAGGAAAATCACCCAGTGTCGTTCTCTTCTTCCAAGTGTCTACTGCCCTCCAATATCTGCCTGCTTTGGATCGTGCTCCAGTGTTCTTAACAATTAAATAAATATTTTGTCCAGAATGACTGTTAATTTGGAGGAGAATTAGTCCAATTGGAGCTATTTACTAGAAGTGGAATTCCCCCTAACCATTAATTTTAGAATGGGTAATTTAAGGTTGGGAGAGTCTATGGTTTTAATGAGGAACAAGTAAGATGTTCCAAAATGAAATTTGGAGTGCTTTTACTTTTATATTATGAAGTAGAAAACAGCAAAACAACTAACAAAGGATGAAATTATTCTTTTTAAGCAAAACCTCAAGTCAACTATAAAACCAAAAGACTCATTCCAGACATTATCAAACATTCTAACAGTGACTAACACTCAGATTAAGAAACTGATTTCACATATGCTCAGCATATATCAGACTTGATTTCCACCAAATTTTTCTGTTGCTCAGCCTATCATTTTATTATATTGCATTGTCTTAGAAAACTAAGGACAAAAAGGTCACTGATGCTCCCATTCTAAAGAGAACTGTGCAATGTTCTATCCCATACATTGGCTCCGTGCTTCCCAACTGTATACTGCTATCTGAGATTATTCCACAGACTACTGCCACACTAGTAGCTCAGAATGTTATTTTTACTGTAATGACTGTGTGTCTCTCCTGCTTTACTGCCCTTTTCAGAAACACTGAAGGCTCCCAGTGTGCCCTCAGTTGCGAGGGTGTTGAGAACATAAAGATGAACAGGATGTCGTCTCTGGCCTCAAGTTGCTTATGTCCTTGTGCAATCTTTCACTTTATGGAAGTCGGTGTAAGATGTGGATCCATAACACTGGGACAGAGCCGATAAGCTCTGCCAAGAAAAATGACCTGAAAATTGGCTTCACTGTCAGTTTATGTTACTGTGTCAAATGCAGAGGATTACATTCCAAGAGAAAGAGTATGGGAAAGACAGAGAAGGTAGCTGGGTGCGGTGGCTCATGCCTATAATCCCAGCACTTTGGGGGACCGAGGCAGGTGGATCACCTGAGGTCAGGAGTTCAAGACCAGCCTAACATGGTGAAACCCCATCTCTACTAAAAATACAAAAATTAGCCGGGCATAATGGTGGGTGCCTGTAATCCCAGCTACTCAGGAGGCTGAGGGCAGGAGAATCGCTTGAACGCGGGAAGTGGAGGTTGCAGTGAGCTGAGATTGTGCCATTGCACTTTAGCCTGGGCGACAGAGCGAGACTCTGTCTCAAAAAAAAAAAAAAAAAAGGGAGAGAAGGTAGCAAGGAAGAGGTGCCTGGTGCTGACTGAAGGCTTTTTTTTTTTGAGACGGAGTCTCTTTGTCTTCCAGGCTGGAGTTCAGTGGTGCCATCTCAGCTCACTGCAAGCTCTGCCTCCCGGGTTCATGCCATTCTCCTGCCTCAGCCTCCCGAGTAGCTGGGACTACAGGCGCTCACCACCACACCCGGCTAATTTTTTGTATTTTTCGTAGAGACGGGGTTTCACCATGTTAGCCAGGATGGTCTTGATCTCCTGACCTCATGATCCACCCGCCTTGGCCTCCCAAAGTGCTGGGATTACAGGCGTGAGCCACCGTGCCCAGCCGAAGGCTTCCTTTAAAGGGTGTGATGCTGTTCCAGTTGGCAATGCCCCAGGCCATTGGAACATTGGAACTGCACTTCATACAGTGACCATGGGACCATGCAATAAAGTGTTACTTAGACTCAGTGCCTCGACCTGTAATCATGATTTCACACTCTGTGCCTGGCAAAAGATTCTGTTCTGAATAACTTTATTGCAAGTCACATAATCTTGGTTTAGACTTGACGCAACGGGAGGTTACAGAGCTGTAAATAACAACTGGTCATTACCTTATTGAGTTTAGAAAACTTTCAAGTTCGTGACATATGTTAATTGCACTTAAATAGACAGTGAGAGAAAGATTTATAAAGGCATCATTCAAAAGGATTTTTACATTTGGGTGTGCCTTACTCGATTACAAAAATTTCAAACCATCTTCCCACCTAGGGCCTAGGGCGAGTTTTCTCTTTCCCTGGGACTGAACTATCACAAAGCACTAAAGGGTTTAAGCAAACGTGAGTATCACTGAAAAGCACTAGAAGAAAGTCTCAATGTGGCTGGAAGAAACCAGAAGGCAAGATTGCCTGGGTGAGAAAGAAAACATAAAAATCTGTGTGTGAGATCACAAGCAGCAACTTCTCTGTGTTGAATTCAGATGTCTTTCCCACAGTCGGGGCACAGGATGTCGTCCCTCTCTGTGAGGAAGCCACGCCCCACCAGTGAGAGGGAGCACTTCTTACAGTTAAAGCAGTCGTTATGCCACTGCCGTTCCTCAAAGGAGATGTATTTTGTGCCACCAAGTCCTGTTAACAGAGAGAAAATAATACCGGATGAAGAAAGTTAGAATCAGGCAACTGGGACTGAAGAAGGAATTCTGGTTTGATCCATTTCAAAGTTTGGATTGTGTAATATGGATAATGTGAATTTCTAGTGACTGGGTGTTGGGAATCCATATGTAAATCAGATTCTATGCACAGCCTGGAGGATCTCGTGAATATCAGAAGAGATATATAAACTGGTTCCAAAACGATGGGATAAGTGCGATCAAAGAATGCTGACTGTGTATTTGTTATGTGTTTTCCCACAAAATGAAACTCCATGAGAAGAGGGAGCAGATTTCTCTTATGTCTTCACTAGGTGCCTCACGTTGCCTGGTGCTCAAATTTTTATGACTTAATGATTGAAGCAGTGAAGGGAGTGTAGAAGAGGAAAAGGTTAATCCTCCCTGGGATGGCCAGGAAAGGCCTCACAGATAAAGTGCGATGTGGGTGGGAATGAGGGGAGAGGGATATTGTCGCAGTGGGAAGATCCTGAGAAAGCTGCAGACAGATAGAATGGAATCAAATATTTAAGGTACATTGGTCCGTGATTATAATACAGTTGGTTTTTACCTAGTGTTTTTTCTCAGTGCCACAATAACCACAATTCACATTCATATCTAATGTTTTACATTTAAAAGTGCTTTTATATAGATTGTATCACTTTATAAAGCTTAATGTTATAAACATTTACCTCAACAGAAGTTACTGCTGAAAACAGCATTAAAGATGAATATGTTCTGGCAAAAGATTACATTTTCCCCCTAAAAGATTCCAAGGGAAATCTGGTATATAAATGACCAGAAACAGATATTTTAACATAGGTAAAGTGTAAATACTGTGCTTTTCTTCATATTTTAATTTCACATGGAAATGTAATGAGCTCTGCATTACACATGAGAGTACTGTTTTAGCGACCTGGGAAGGTGAGTTAGCTGAGTTAGGTGAACTTGGTTCTAGGCCTAAGGGAAAGGAAAGTCAAGGACAAGTACACAGGGGGTGTATAGATGTGTTTCTGTAGTTACACTGAAAAGCCACACAGGAAAGCCAGGCCACCGGGTACTCCAAGTGTCTGCCACCTTCCTCTGATAGGAACGAACCAGTCAACTGAATGCAACGGGATTGCAAATCCCACATCATAAAACTTCTCCTGTGTTATTACAGAACACACACTTTTCTCTCCCCACCCAGTCACTCATTTGTGTAGCGATATGTGGTGACCATTTAAAGGACTTTAGTGTGAACTCCTCTGTTCTCCACACTGAATTTCTCCAGCCTGCTTAATAGTCTAGTCCAGAAGCCTGGTCTGCCAGCCAGCCAGATTTTGGGCTCTCACTTAGCTGAATTCTTTGGGGGAATACAATATGAAAAACTCCTTAGAATGTACCCTCTGCCCTCATATAGCTATGGCCTTGTGGTAGAAGTTTCCCATTAAGATGTTTTGGAGTACAACCGTCCCACTAAGATGCTAGGGGACACTTCTAAGAACACAGCACAGCTGCTAAGCCTGAAAAGGCCAGTTTTTATTGTGCTTTTGTGATGTCACAGGCTCACAGACTGCAGTTTTAGCGATAATCCAACCCAAAGCAGAAACTAAACTGGAGCACTGGCCATATGGTTGTGATCAGGTGGGCTGCAGAGGAAGGAATCATTACTTGCTGAAGCATAGCCAGTGCACCAAGGAGAGGAAAGCAGATAGGCAGAAAAGTCTGCTGTGTTCAGAGCCTTAGGGAGGTCTGGGGAGTTGAGGGATATAGACAGGGTCACAGGCTAAAATGCTAGGCCTTGTTCAAGCTTCCAATCGCCCCTGGAAATGGGAACCCCGGGACACTCACCGCTGATGGGGTTGGTGCACCCAGCACACTTCTTGGCATACAAGTCACAGAAGCAGTTCAGGCAGTAGGCAAAGTCATCGCGAGCTGTGAAGCGCTGCCCAGACAGCTGCTTCCTGCAGGCGGTGCACACGAAGCACTCCTTGTGCCAGGGCTGCTCCCGGTAAGTGACCCCTCCCGTGGTGATGGGCTGCAGGGACGAGGGGGAGAGTTAGTGTGGCCTCTGTGCTTGGCAGACATCTTCAGTCTCAGCTACTGCCACTGGACGATGCAAGATCCTCATCCAGAAACGTCCAGTTTGTTAAGTCACCAAGAAGCTGCTTTACAAACTTCACAGTCACTCGTCACCCTCACCACACGCTTTCATTCCAGTGTCATAGGCCCTGGCTTTCCCGTTAGTGAAACTGGAGCTTGGGGTTGCCCTCAGCCCTTCCCAGGGATGCTGGGGATCTAAGGCATAGGGTGCCTCAGTGGTGTTGCCACCTTTCTGAGCAGGGAAGCAGCACAGTGGAGGGGTCGGGATTCAATACAGCATCAAGGAGACCTGGGTTTGAATCCTAACCCTACTCCTTACCAGCCCTGTGGCTGGGAGCAGGTCATGATAAAGATCTCTGCACTTCAGTTTTCTCATCCAGGAAGTGAGGGTGATGAGGTTAATTGGGCAAGTTGATGAGGAGTCCTTACTTAGAAGCCTGGCAGGGCTGGTGGCTCACACCTGTAATCTCAGGACTTTGGGAGGCCGAGGCAGGTGGATCACTTGAGGTCAGGAGTTCGAGACCAGCCTGGCCAACATGGCGAAACCCCATCTCTACTAAAAATACAAAAAATTAGCTGAGTGTGGTGGTGCACCTGTATTCCCAGCTACTCAGGAGGCTAAGGCAGGAGAATCGCTTGAACCCTGGAAACAGAGGTTGCAGTGAGCCAAGATCATGCCACTGCACACCAGCCTGGACAACAGAGTGAGACTGTCTCAAAAACAAAACAAAACAAAACAAAACAAAAACCCTGGCAAGTGGTAACCTCTCCAATGCCACTCACGAGCCTGTCTCTCCAGCCACTTACGGTGAAAGAAGGAAGAGGCTTAAAGGACAGCCGGGACTAGCACCTGCTGATGCCACAAGAAGAGATGGGCATCTTGGAAGTTTTGGGAAAAATAAGCTGGATGCCTTCATTCTCACCTGTCTTGTGGTCTTAGAACATCTGTGAGGTGAAGCTGCAAAGCCACATGAGGTGGAACTGGCCATCAGTACCTCAATTTTACCTGATATTTTTCTCCAAATGTTGCATCTCACATTCTATTTAAAAATGAGTGCTTGGTGGAGCTGAGTAAGCTATCAGAGAGGAGTGTAGGTGGCCTCAGCTTGGCAAACGAAGGCTGTGGAAGATGGAGTGCAAGCACCTCACAATCACACTTTTTTGCTTTTTATTTTTTGAACATTTCAGTATCATGCAGTAACTCCTTTGGTCTTTACATAAAGCTTGTGAAGTAGGAAAGATATTATCTTAATTTTATGGATGAGTAAACTGAGACTCAGAGAAATTAAAAAGTGACTTGCCAAAGAATTCATAGCTGGTTAATGACGAAGCAGGAACTAGAATTCTGGACTCCCTTCTATCTTGTATTCTTTTCATTAAACCATAAATCATGAAGCATCTTAGTATAACCCACCCCACTGCACAAGAGAATGAACACCAAACACGCTTGGTTGCAACGTATCCATGTGAATGCAGTAGCCTGTGTGTGTAAGACATCTCTGCCTGCAACATGTGTCCTCAGTCCTCCCTTGCTCCGGATTCCATGCTTCCCACCCACATCAGCTAACTCAATGCCTCTGAGCATAGCATGACTTTCTCAGAGACTCCTTCCCTCAACACCACCCTGGCCCCCAACTCCTCAGATTAGTTGAGGTCCCTCCATTCCACACTCTGCTCTTCTCCTCCATAGCACACTGCTCAGTAACTACTGACGGGTTTGACACTGGAGTGTACTTCCACCTAGACTACAGTTAAGTGTCTGCATCTTGTCCAGCATCAGATCCCCAGTGCCTGAGAGGGCCAAGTTCATGTCGAGGAATGGATGCTTCTGGCATGAATGTTTTTGTGTATTTAATGAACATGCACACAAAAAGCATGCATCCCAGAAGGATGTGTTGCTTTCATTTCTGCAAATGAATAAAGCACACATTGGAAAGATGACAGAGGAAGAGCAACTCAGATGAACTTCCGTTAGGTCTTGATGAGAAGAACAAACCAAAATAAAAATAAAAAGGGGAGAGAACAGGGAAGAGGGTTCCTAAAATAAAAGCAGGAATGAGAGCTCAATCTAAGAATAAAGAAAAAAACAGGAGTTTGTGACCAGTCTGGCCAACAAAGTGAGACACCGTCTCTACTACAAAAAAAAAAAAAAAAAATTAGGTGGGTTTGGTGGTGGCACCTGCCTGTAATCCCAGCTGCTCAGGAGGCTGAGGCAGGAGAATCACTTGAACCCAGAAAGCAGAGGTTGCAGTGAGTTGAGATCATGCCACTGTACTACAGCCCAGGTGGCAGAGTGAAACTGTCTCAAAAAAAGAAAAAAACAGAAGCATAAAAGGAGAGGAAATAAAGAGAAATAAAATTTAAAATAACAGTAAAGAACAAATGGGGCCAGGCATGGTGGCTCACGCCTGTAATCCCAGCACTTTGGGAGGTGGAGGCAGGTCGATCACCTGAGGTCAGGAGTTCCGAGATCAGCCTGGCCAACATGTTGAAACCCCGTCTGTACTAAAAATACAAAAAAAACCGGCTGGGCATGGTGACGCACGCCTGTAATCTCAGCTACTTGGGAGGCTGAGGCAGGAGAAATTGCTCGAACCCAAGAGGCGGAGGTTGCAGTGAGCCAAGATCGAGCCACTGCACTCCAGCCTGGGCGACAGTGTGAGATTCTGTCTCAAAAAAAGAAAAAAAAAAAGGAAATGAGAGAAAGACTGAATGGAAATTGGTAAGAATACTCAGCACTTAGAAAAGGTGTGGGCAAGGTGGGGATATTCTTGCCCAGGCCAGCCAGGTACAGGTAGCAGCATTGGGGATGTTTCTCCATGGCCCAGACGCAAGGGTAGAGGCCCCAAGGGCAAAACAGCAGAAGCTGGGTGAGCAGAGTCAATAACAGGAGGAGAGCGAACAGAACCTGTGATGAGTTCCACAGCTGGCGCTGCCCAGGGCGAGTGAGCAGTGGGAGGGTGCCACTCAACAGGCTGATGCAAATCCTAACAGGACAGAGACGCTGGAAGCTATAGCATAATAAGAATTGCGTGTGTCTAAGAGTCAGAGGGCACAGCAGAAAACTAAGCTACACCCTGAAGGGTGCAGGTCGGGGGGCAACTGGGCAGAGAGATGGCTTCCTACAGATATGCAGTTCCCTTTCTTTCTTTAACCCTAACAGAGCCATGACTGGAATAGCACATTATCGAGTAGATAAGTTTATTTATTTATTTTTTTAATTTTTTGAGATGGAGTCTCGCTCAGTCGCCCAGGCTGGAGTGCAGTGGTGGGATCTTGGCTCACTGCAACCTCCACCTCCCGGGTTCAAGTGATTCTCCTGCCTCAGTCTCCTGAGTAGCTGGGACTACAGGCGTGTGCCACCACACCCAGCTAAGTTGTGTATTTTTAGTAGAGATGGAGTTTCATCATGTTGCCCAGGCTGGTCTTGAACTCCTGACCTAAGGTAATCCACCAGCCTTGGCCTCCCACAGGTGATCCACCAGCCTTGGCCTCCCACAGTGCTGGGATTACAGGCATGAGCCTCCATGCCCGGCCAGAGTAGATACATTTAATAAATGATCTGTCCCATATCCATGGAGGCAGACTTTTCTCCTTTACTTTTCTTCTCACATCCGTCTCTCTCTCCTCCCTTCCTCTCCTCCCTCTTCCTTCCATCTTTCTCTCCCTCTCAAGTTTGCAGTTGTTTTCTTGTTTTATTCATGGAGAGAAGCTGAACAAGACAGCTTTGGGATGGTGGCTCCCCTTCCCTCTAACCTCAGGTTATCAACATAAGAACATATTTAGAAATGGTCTAGAAGAAGGCAGGGTTAAACGATTTGATCACAGAGCTCAACAATGTTGATGTCTTTGAAAGAAGGATGGACACCCAGACCCGATGGATAAATGCTCAGAATGTAAGGCAGGACAGGCACAGCTCCCACGCCACTTAAGTATCACAGGTATCCTTGGTTTTGGAAAGAGAACTGACAGACATGGACCATGGAGGCAAACCAGCCAGAACGTGCAAGGGCCAAGGGGGCATCTGAGATACCTTTTTGCACTGAACGCACTGCATGGCATGTTGTTTCTCATAGCAGGGCACACAGAAATTCTGATTGTCTTTGGGGATGAAACTCTTGGTTCCAATTGGCTGCTGGCAGCGGTGGCAGATGAAGCAGGTCTCATGCCAGCTGCTGCCCTTGTACTCCATCTTGCGGGTACCTGTCATCAGGGTCAAGAGGAACACAGCAGAGTTATGGTTAGAGGGGTGTGGAGTCCCAGCAATCTGCCTTCAGAGCTTGCTGCCCTCTAGTTTTATGACCAGAGCAAGCCACTTCAGCTCTTGAAGGCTCGCCTCTACATGGAGGTAATTCCTATTTTGTGCAGGGCGTGGACTTTGTCTTTTGGTTCACTACTGTACACCCAGCTCCTAGAACAACACGTGTACATTTTAGGCACTTAACATTTATTTATTGAATACCGTGGTTAGGAATGTTAAATCTAAAAAAAGTTAAGTCTCTCTCAGCAATGCAAAGTATAAAGAGAAGTGTGGCATAGCTCCGATGAATTCCCATGGAGCATGACTTTTGGAGTCTAGGGACTGTATTCACCTATTGCACACCTGATAATGAACACCCCGTCTGGTTCACAGCAGGATGGAAATGGCTAGAGTGTGAATGAACCTGGAACCTCGAACCTGATTCAGTGAGCAGCCTCTACAACACTCACTTTACATACTGCCTGTTGAACCAAGTTGTGATGTATCTAGGTAGTTTTATGCACTGTACTAAGTGCTATAATTAAAACCTACATGTAGTTTTTTTTTGTTTTCGAGACAGGGTCTCACTCTGTCACCCAGGCTGGAGTGCAGTGGTGCGATCCTGGCTC